>NC_000016.10:33442411-33742411 GCF_000001405.40 Homo sapiens
GAATTCCCACACTGAGTAAAAACCTCCTTGGTGGGCTTATAATCAATCTCACATATTTAACAATTTGGATTTTATCTTACGTTCCGCTATAAAATATGGAACAAAATCGGTTTGATTTACAGTAGATGTAAAATAGAAAAATTAGGATGGGCTATTCTGGACATGTAGAATTAGTTCCTTTCATGGGTTTTCTACAAACCTGTATTTATTACACTAAAATAATGCTAAAATATATTTTGTTTTATTGTGTGGAGTTTAAATGGATACACTGGATAATGGAATAACATTAACTAAATAAACATTGATGCCTATTTTTTTCAGTGTTTTAAAATTTTTTAACAAAGATTTCTTTTTACGGTAAAATTGCACTTCATTAAATCTACTCCTAAATATTTCTTTCTTTTTCATACATACACAAATGGATTGTTTTTTTAATTTTATTTTCAGGTTGATCATTGTTAGTACATAAAAGTACAATTGAACTTTGCATATTGATTTTGTATCTTGTGACCTTGCTGAACTCATGTATTGGTTTTAGTGGGTTTTAATGAGTTTTTTATAAACTTTTATATTCACTTATGTCCTCTGCAATGATAGACAATTCTAACATCTTATTTTCCCACATTGATGATTTTGTTTTTTTCTCTCATGTAATTTCTTTGGATGTTAACATTTTTGCCTTGTTCTAAAATGTCAAGACACAACAACCAGTATTTTACTATTATGGCGTTAGGTGTAAGTTTTTCACTGATGCTCTTTAGCAGATTTAGGAAGTTTGCTTGTACCCTTCCTTTCCAGGGAGATTGTGAATGAATATTGGATTGGTCAAATGCTCCCTGTGTCTGTTGAAAGGCTCTTTCTGTTAATTTCCTTTATCCTATTACTTTGTGTAAGGCACTGATTGATTATCGGATAGATCAATATTGCATCTGTAAAATAATTCCATTTGGTCATGGTGTACATTCATTTTGATATATTCTTGATTCATTTCGCTTTTTTGAGAATTTCTCTGTGTGTATTCATCAGGGAAATTCATCCATACACATATTTACTTCTGATGCTTTTGTCTGCCTTTAGTATCAGGGTAATACTGGCCTCACAGAACAAATTGGGAAGTGTTCCCAATAACTGTCCCATATTTTCTGGAAGGTCTTGTAAAGAGTTGGCATTAATTCTTCATTAAATGTTTAGTAGAATTTACCAGTTAAGCCATGTGGCTCTGGGCTTCTCTTTTTGTGAAGATTTTTAATTAATTGAATCTCTTTACTTGTTATATGTGTATTCATATATTCTGTTCCTTCTTGGATTTGCTTTTATAATTGGTGCCTATTGAGGTATTTATTTCTAATTTGTAGTATTTCATGTGTTTAGGTTTTCTAGACAGTTGGCACAGAAGATTCAAGAAGTTTAATGTAGGAGAATGTTTAATGTAGGAGAATGAGGCTTTGGTGTCATCAATGAATGACTTGAAGTTTCTTATGTTGTAAAGAAAGATATGACCGTAACTGCCATAGTTAATATTTATTGTGCAAGTCAAATAAGAAGGCAGGAGGAAAGGACATCCATCACTCAATCACACACCAGTGTACTCATTAAAGCCTTTGAGAAGGACCCTCAACATTTTCCAAGAGAATTCCTTTCCTGGAATCACCATTATAGAGAAACTGGCTAAACAGACAGGCATTTCAGAGTCCAAAATTTACATTTGGTTTCAGAACCAAAGACCTCAGCTCCCAGGCCACAGCAGAAGCGGGCTTGTGAATTCCCTGGCAGCGGGTCCAAGACCAAGACCTCATCTGACTGTTTGGCTGGAACAAAACATGTGCACTACCCCAGGCAGGTCTCATCTTCTTCCTGCCTCCTATTCTGTCAGCAGCCACCTGTCATTTGTACCAGCTCTTCCTTCACCTCCCACAACCTGTGATTTTTTGGATCCCTCTGCAGGCTGTGTGAGCCAGGCACCAAGGGTCACGATGCACATAGCACCCTGGCTGTGCAGATGGGAGAGTTCTCTCAACCTCTTCTGGCACTTAGGAGTCATATGTCAATGGTACCAACTCTAGGAGGGAGGCTCTCCCATACACAGACTTGTTTCTGGCCTCAGTCGAAAGGAAAACTTTAGGATGACAAGAAAAATAAGACACTGGCCTGGAAGTTCTGCCTTAAAGGGACAGCCACAGCCTGGTCATCCTTAGCCACAATTTTAGAGTCTGGGTCAACAGGACACATCCCACCTTCAGAAGTGGTGGAGCTTAGGCAACGGGTCCCAGGATGCCATGATTCAATGGCAACCTGGAGCAGGAGCACCTTAGTAGCCCATGCACATAGGTCTACCTGTGGCAGAAACAGGCACAAGCCATGAAAGAGCCATCTATCTGCTGGAGCAACCACACCAGTCATCTGCATGATCTTCTACAAGTCCCAGAGTTTCAGGAAAAGGCACAATCTTTTCGGAATGCAGATCCACAAGAGGAGGGCCCTCCGTGGTCTGAATCACCACTCAGTGAGAAAGAATTTCAGGCTCTGCTTAACAGGCTGCAGAGCTCACCAGGGGATCAGCTTTAGCAGGCAGGCATCCTTCTCAGCACTGCCATCCAGGACTCTTTCCCTTGGACACAAACAGCAAAATGCCAGGAAGACGGGACCAGGAACACAGTGTGGTCAGAAGCAAGACTGATGCAAGAAGCAACCACTTGGAAATCCAAAGGGAGCATTTTGGCCCTCTCCTGTGGGCAGCCCTCAACTTTGGTGCTCACTTCCTAACCTCAGTGACGGTTTCTGAGCTTCATCCTGCCTCTGGAGTCCACATGGGCTCCAGGCGGTGAACAGTTTCACTGAATCCTGATGCAGCAAAGCAGCATTCTCATGACAAACAGGACCTCTTCACTTTGATCATAAGCTCCTGGGCCATCTGGACAATGCACAAACTGGAAACCCAGCAAGGGGAGGAAAGTAGCTCTAAGGGGGACACATTCCCACTTCTTTCCCTTCTAGCAAGTTTGAAAGCTAATTGTAAATGCAGGTGGATATGTAGAAAATGAGGGCATGCTATAACTTCTCATCACATGAGGTTATGACCAGGAGTTTTTAATCCTAGCTCTGAGAGCTGCAAATGGGAATTGGAAGTTTTTCCACTAAGCATCTATCAATGACTGATTGTGCAAGCTTATCTTCATCATGCTGAGGAGTCTTCACTGAGAATTTTCCTATTGAACAAATAAACATAGAGATAGTGACAAGTAGGCCAGGCATAGAGGCTCACGCCAGTAATCCCAGCATTTTGTGAGACCAAGGTGGGCAAATCAGTTGAGGCCAGGAGTTCGAGACCAGCCTGGGCAACATGTCAAAACCCCGTCTCCACTAAAAACACAAAAAACAGCTGGGCATGGTTACTCATGCTGGTAATTCCAGATATTCGGGTGGCTGAAGCCTGAGAATCTTCTGAACCCAGGAGGCAGAGGCTGCAGTGTGTTGATATTTTGCCACTGTACTCCAGCTTGGGCAACAGAGCAAGACTCTGTCTCAAAAAAAAAAAAAAAAGAAGCAAGTGAGTAAGAGAGAGAAAACTATAAAATCACTGAACAAAGTGTAAAGATGTTAATTTTCCCACAACGTTAGAAATTTTGTGTATATTTACATGCATATCTACACATAAAGCTGATCTCCTTATATGTTAAATCAGTTACATGTTCAGTGAAAAATACATTATTTTCTCTGTTTTAACACTGAAGAGGGGTGCACGTGGTCCAGACATGTCCTGTTGGAGTTGAATGGGGCATGTTCTGGGAAAAGGGGAAAGGCAGAGTAAGGGCCTGGTGCATTTAGGTGGGGTAAAGTGGGACTCTAATAGAGAGGCATCCAGGGTCTGGGCCCTAGCAACACTGAGGCTCACGGGGGCTTCTGCAGGTGAGGGAAATGGTGCAGGGTGCTGAAGGCTAAAATATCCTGTAACAGGCGAAGATCTGGCCAGATCGTCCTGCATTCCAGCATCATTGCCAGCCAGGCCTAACTTGACCCTATATTGAAGACACCTGGGATGGACAGGCGTGAGCCTCCAGGCTTCAAAGAGCCCCCAAATGAGATCTGCCCTGCGGCAAGGGTCCAGACCGTTACGGCCAGGCCAATTTAAAAGAGCCCCATCTCCTCTGTTCTCAGAGGCTTAAGCGGGTGGAGAACAGATAAGAAGTGAACTGAAGTCTCCTTGAAAAAAACAAAGTCCCATGGGGTTTGCCACCCCCTCCCCCCACCCACCTAAAACTGGAACCAGTCAGCCACCTCTGTCTCTTCTCCATGCCAAGAACCTCTGTTCAGGGCTCCTGGCAAACCCCTCCTCCCTGCTGCCTCCCCGCCACAGTACGCTTGCCAGGAATGCCCGAGATCTGGCACCTGAGCATGTTGCGTGGCAGGCGGGGGAGCAAGCGGGACAAGGGCGGCGATGTGTCCTGCACAAAGGCCCAGGCTGCAGACCAACTCGCCTCGCAGCAGGTAGCAGCTGTGTGCCCCCTGCCAGGCCACTCCCCCTCCCGGAGCAGCAGCTCCCGCTGCCACTTCTGTTTGTTGAACACAGGATGTATGAATGACGGCTAGGGAGCCAAGGATGGGGATGGTGGCGACATCTGATACTGTTGTAGTAAAACTCCAGCCAAGGAACACGAAGAGACCTTTGGAGACCAAAGAGAACTTTATTTAATTCAGGCACCTGAGCCAACAGCAGGCTCATGCCCAAAATGGCTGCCGACCCCTGCAAAGAAAGCAGGCTTGCTTAAGTGCCGTTTGAGGCGGGAAAACAAGGCAGGTTACAGGTTTCAGACAAAGACAGTAAATTATCCAACCCGTGACAATTCGGAGAGAACTTACAATTTAGTTATTTTGTCCAGTCAACTTTGAAGCTGAACAGAGCTGGGGTAAGGGAAAACACGAATTACAGGAATATGCGGGGGTCTGGAGGCAGGCAATAAGCTTGGAAGATTGAGATAAGCTCGCAGCTGCAACTTGTTAGCAATGCTGGAATGGACTGCTGAAATTTCTTAGCCTATGTATAACTTCTAAGTAACCTATGCTGAATGTTAACTATTACCTATGTTAGGTTTATTATTTTAAACTTTATTATTACTTATTTTATTTTATTTTATTTTCTTTCCACAGTATCTCTTACCATCCGGCCCAGGCAGCAGCCAGCCCTGCCTGGGCCGCGGCCGCCGGCCTCATGAGCCTGGCATTCCTGTCGCCCCCTCTCCCCATAGCTTGCCTCCTCCTTCTCACAGTCGGGCGCCCGGCTCCTCGAGACGCAGGACCACCTCAGATCTCCAGTCCTGCACCTGCCGGCTGAGCAAACGAGGAGACGGGGAGAAAAGCTGTCTGTCGTTCCTGAAGGAACAGGACCTCCGCACTCCAAGAAGGAATCCGGCGCCCAGTGGGGGCTGCAGGAGCAGAGGACCGTGGCGGCAGTAGCAGGAGAGGCAGGAGTAGGAGCAGTGGCTTCTCTGGAGGTGGCACTGTCTGCCCCCTTGAGCCTCTTCCTAACGCAGTCTTGATTCAAAATCCCTGCTCACCACGGATGCACAGTCACAGCTGAAGATTGTAGTTATCTAGGAGGATTCTTTCTTAGTTGTAAATCTATGTTTTATATAGGAGTTTTTTCGTTGTTTCTCTCATTCTTTTTTGAAATTTCATATTACTATTTTTTTTTTTTTTGGTAAGTTCCTTGACATTCGTGTTTTGTGAGTTTGGTTTTACCTACGTATTATGATTTTGGATGTAAATCTGCAACTCTATATACATGTTAAGTCAATGTGATGTTTAATCAAAATATGAATCAGCCATATCTACCACCAATAAAATCGTGTGTTTGTTTGCCTCTATAAATATAGTCTATTTCTTCTTAATTATCTTGCATATTTCTCTTCTTGGCTGGTGTCAAAAGTTGTTTTATCTTGTTCAGGACAGTAGTCATATAAGTAGTCTTAACTTACCCACGTATTTATTGAACAAATCTATATTTTCTTTGTGTGAGGAAAACACATTTATAATTTGAAGGTAATTTTCCAAAAAGTTTGTAACTCGGTATCTCTTTTATGTATCACTTTACAATATTTTAACTGTAATAAAACACAACAAAATTTACCAGTCTATACATTTGTAATTGCATAATTTATTAGTGGTACATATATCCACATTGTTATGCAACAGGCTTCTAGAGCTTTTCCATTGCAAAACTAAAACTCAATACCCATATACGTCAACTGCCCATTTTACCCTCTCCTGAGCCCTTAACATTTTACTTTCCATTTCTGTGAGTTGGACTACTTAAGATATCTCATAAGTGGAATCACACAATCACTGTCACTTTGTTTCCTGGCACATTTCACTTAACATCATGCCCTAAAGGTTTATTGTCATTGCAGCATGTGATAAGATTTCCTTTTAAAATCATATTTCATTGTATGTATATATCATATTTACTTATTTATCTGTCAAGGGACATTCAAGTAGCTTCTACCTTTTGGATTTTTAGAATAATTCTGTCATAAACGTGGGTATGTAAATGTTTCTTTCAGGTCCCGCTTTGCACATTTAGATAGATATCTAGAAATGGTATTGCCAGACCACATCATAATTCCAATTTTAATAATCTGAGGAAACTCTGTACTATTTTTCATAATGGCTGCATGATTATTTTTTCCACCACCCAGTGCACAAATATACCAATTTCTCTACATCCTTGAAAACACTTGTTATTTTCTCTTATTTGATAGTGGCCATCCTAATGAATGTGAGGTAATATCTCACTGGGGTTTTGCTTTTCATTTCTCTAAAGATTCATGATTTGCAGCATCTTTTAAAATTCCTCTTGGCCGTTTGTATATCTCCTTTGTAGAAACATGTGGGTGTGAAGGATTACCTAGGTGCCGAGGCAAGAGACTGAAGGTAAAAACTGTTGCAGTATAATAAAGAAAACAGTTAGAATAAAGAATAGTTATAACACAAATTAGATATAGAGATGATCATGGACATTATCCATCATTAGTATAAACATTATTAATCACTAGCTTTTAATATTACTCTTTGTTGTATTACTCATATAACCAAGGAATAACTGGTGGGTATAGGGTCAGGTGCTGAAGGGACATTGTGAGAAGTGACCTAGAAGGCAAGAGGTGAGCCCTCTGTCACACTCACATAAGGGCCGCTTGAGGGCTCCTTGGTCGAGCGGTAATGCCAGTGCCTGGGAAGGCACCTGTTACTTAGCAGACCATGAAAGGGAGTCTCCTTTCCTTGGAGAAGTCAGGGAACACTCTGCTCCACCAGCTTCTTGTGGGAGGCTGGATATTATCCAGGCCTGCCCGTAGTCATCCGGAGGCATAAACCCCTCCTTGTGGTGCTGTGTTTCAGTGGTCACGCTCCTTGTCCACTTTCACGTTCCTCCCATTCTCCTGGTTCCTCTTTGAAGTTCTTAGTAGATAGCGGTAGAAGGAATAGTGAAAGTCTTAAAGTCTTTGATCTTTCTTATAAATGCATAGAAGAAAACACTGATGTATGCTGCCTTCCCTCTCTGCTTTGGCTGCCTAAAAGGGAAGGGCCTCCTGTCCCATGATCACATGACTTGCTTGACTTTATCAATCACCTGGACGACTCACCCTCCTTACCCTGCCCCCTTGTCTTGTATGCAATAAATATCAGCGTGCCCAGCCATTCGGGGCCACTACTGGTCTCTGCGTCTTGGTGGTAGTGGTCCCCCAGGCCCAGCTGTTTTCTCTTTATCAGAAAGCTTACTACATTTGAGGTAGTCCCATTTTCCTGCTTTTTTCTTGTTACTTCTGCTTTTAATGTCATGTTAAAAAAATTATCAAGACAAATGTCATGATTTTTACCTTATATTTTAAGACTTTTATAGCGATCTTACTTACATTTAAGTGTTTAAGATAGTTTTCTATATGGTGCAAGTGAAAAGTCCAATTTTATTTTCTTCCATTTTGATACTCAATTTTAGAACACTATTCTGTTCTTCCCTGTTGTTCGGTCATGGCAGCCTGATTGAAGATTATTTGATGATATTCATAAAGGTTTATTTCTGGGTTCTCTATTCTATTCCATCATCTATTTGTCTTTCTGTTTGTATTGCTATAGCTTTATAATATATTTTGGAATCAGGAAGTGTGATACCTCTAACTTTGTTCTTCTCCACAGCTACTTTGGCTACTCATTGTCCCTTGAGATTCCATATGAATTTTAAGACTTAATATTTCTGAAAAAAATGTAACATTGGGATTTTGATAGAAAATACTTTGAATTTGTGCTTCACTGTGAGTAGTATTGACATCTTAATAATATTAAATTTTCTGACCCTTGAACAAGAAGTCAAGAGTGTTCTGTTTTAAGTTTCACATATTTTTTCATTTGCCAGTTTCCTTCTGCTTGTGATTTGCAGCTGAGGTCTTTTTACGCTGCCCATGCTGGTCTCCAACTTTTGGGCTTAAGCTATTCTCCCTCCTCAGCCTCCTGATGTGTTTCAATTACATGGATGAGCCACTGCACCTGGCCTCTTTATTGTTTTTCTGATATTTTTAGGATTTGAAGGTAATTTTTGAAAAGATTGATAAATATGTATCTCTTTAGAAAGTTTTTCACTATTAATGTAGTCAAAACCACATAAAATTTACCATCTTAAATATTTTAAGTACATAGTTAAATAATATTAAATATATTCACATTGTTATGCAACATATCTCTAGAATGTTTTTATGTTGCAAAACTAAAATTCAATAGCCATGAAACAACAACTACCCTTTTATCTCCTCCCCTGAGGCTCTGACTGATACTATTCTACTTTCTGTTTCTAAGAGTTTAACTATTTTAGATATTTAACTGGAATCACACAGTGTCCTTTTATGACTCATTTATTTTATTTACATAATGTCCTCCAGATTTATCCTTAGTGTAAAAATAATCAGATCTCCTGCTTTTAAAAAACTGGATAATATTCCATTATTTGTATATTCCAATTTGTCTTTATTCACTGATTCATTGAGGGACATTTGGGTTGCTTCCACCTATCAGCTGTTGTGAATAATGTTGTGCAATGAATATGGATATACAAATAACTCTTCATTTGGCCATATATATGACAGTTTATTTCTGTGCTCTATTCTGTTCCATTTGTCTGTGTGTCTGCCTTTATGTCAGTACTAAATAGTTTGGTTACTGTAATTTTGTAATACATTATAAAGTCAAGGAGTGTGATGCCTCCAATATTATTTCTTTTTTTGAAGGTTGTTTGGCTCCTGAGAGTCACTTTAGATTCCATATAAGTTTTAGAAATGTTTTTTGTATTTCTGCCAAGTGAAATGACAGTTAAAATTTGATAGAGATCTCATTGAATCTGTAGATCATTTTGGGTAGTGTGGACATCTTCACAATATTGTCTTCCAACCCTTGAACGAGAGCATGCAGAAGAGTGCGTTGTTTAATTTCCACATATTTGTAGATTTTCCATATTTCTTCTGCTATTGATTTCTAATTTTATTCCCTTGTAATAAAAAATGATTGTAATATTTTAATCTTTTTTTTGAAACAGAGTTTTGCTCTGTTGCTCAGGCTGGAGCACAGCGGCTCAATCATGGCTAACCAGAGCCTCGATCTCCCAGGCTCAAGCAATCCTCCCCCGTCAGCCTCCTGAGTAGCTGGACGCACAGGCATGTGCCATTATGCCCAGCTAATTTTTAAATTTTATATTTTCTAAAGAGAGGGTCTCTTTATGTTGCCCAGGCTGGCGCCGAACTCCTAAACTCACTAATCCTCCCACCTCAGCCTCCCAAAATGCTGGAATTATAAGAATGAGCCACAATGCCTAGCCCATATTTTAACATTTTAAAATTTGGTAAAACTTGTTTTGTGTCCTAGTAGGTTATCTACTCAGGAGAATGTTTCATGACCTATTGGAAAAAGTGTGTATTCTGATATTGTTGTGTGAAGTGTTTTTTTTTTTCTTTTTTTTCACTTCTATTTGTAGCCTACACAGACCTATTGGACTGAACAAAGCAGGGTGAATGCAGGAATAAAAGACAAGAGACAAAGGGGTATATTTGGAAAAAGGGGTCAGGGGCACCTTGCCTCTAGTGGACAAGGTACCTGAGCTTTACACAGCCCTCCATATTTATTAGGTAAAAGAGATAGTGAGAAGGCGGGGGTGGTTTTCCACCAGCAGCTTGATTCACAGCTGACTCGAGAGACTGCATTCTTAGAACAATAGGCACTGGATTTCTCAGTAGATAACTTCAAGGAGCCTGGTGCCAGGGAATGAGGCCCTCAGCAAACCTTTTGGTGGCAGGGCAGTGTGAGTTTGCCCACATCCTGCATTCATGATAAAGAGTTTGCTGTTTGATCATATAGCCTCCAGTGGAATGCTGAGTTGGTCATGTCCCATGGGCCTTCAGCTTCCTGAATCTATTCACTGTGATGAGTGTTTTCTATATGTCTGTTCGGTTTACAGAGTTTGCTACTGATAGTCGGATAATTATGTCTCTTACTATTTTTGCATAGCTATTTCTTTCTTCATCTGGGTCGATCTTAGCTTTATACATTTGGAAACCCCGATGTGAAGTGTACATATATTTATTATTAACACAGCTTCCCCAGTGAATCAACACTTGTATCATTATATACTATCTTTATTTGTCCTTTAATTCAGTTTTGACTTAATGTGTATTTTGCATAATTATGACCCCTCTTGCTCTCATTTGATTGCAATCTTCCTAGAAGATATTTTTCATACTTGCACTTTTAGCCTATCTGTGTGCTTAGATCTAAAGTGAGTTTCTTATAGACAGCAGAAAACAAATCGTTTTTTCTTTCAATCTCTTTAGCCAATTTACACATTTCTGTTGGAAATTTTACTCTATGTATATATTCATTTTAATTGTGAAAAGAATGGACTACTTCCATTTTGTTAATAGTTCTATTTGTTTCTTGTAGGTATTTTCTCCTCTTTTCTGCTCTTACTGCCTTCCTTTTTATTTAATTGATTTTTATAGTGACATATTTCTATTTAATTTGCCAAGGCCAAGTTGCAAGATAAAAAGTTTGCCTTTAATCTAGTCTCTCCACATCAGATCAAGCCTATGGACAGATCTAAAAACATGAGGTTTCCCTCTTCTGGGGCCCCACTTTTTGGACTGCTGTATGATCTCTGGAGGTTTGATGAGTCCACACCAAGCAAAAGTGGACAGCAGTGTTCTACCTGTGAACACTTGTTTCTTGTAGGCCCTACTGTCTCTCAGGGCACCACCTCTCTTATCCTTTAAACAGGAGTGATATTGGCAGAGAAGGGGCATTCACTCCTATCTGGCAGAAAAGGAGGATTCAGGCCCTTTAACCTCCCTAAGGTCAGAAAAGTCAGAGCCCTCAGAGATGCACTTGCAATGTGGCAGCCACTGGGCACAGGGGCTACTGAACAACTGTATTGTGCCCAGCATGAACTAAGATATGCTGGGGAGAAATACAAGAAAATATTTAAATATTTAGTTACATATACATATGTGCATAAAAATATATAATGCTGGGTTAAAGAAACATATGTCTATGTGTGTGTACGTATATATGTACACATATATATGTTTCTTTAATTATTTCATTCTGATTATATGTTAAAATATTTCAGATATATTGAGCTATGTTGTTAACATCAATTTCACTCATTTTTCTTTTTCTTTATGCTGCTACTAGCAAATTCTAATTGTCACATGTGGCTCACATTTTACTTCTATTGCACATTGGTGCAATAGAGGATTGCCTAATTTCAAAGCTCAGTTTGCCTCAAAAGCCAAGAGGCCAGAAAGATTGTAAAATCTAAAAATTAAAAATAATTGTAATTGGTTGGGCATGGTGGCTCATGCCTGTTATGCTAGCACTTTGGGAGGCCGAGGCAGGCGGATCACTTGACCTCGGTTCGAAACCAGCCTGGTCAACATGGTGAAACCATGTCTCTACTAAAACTACAAAAATTAGCTGGGCAACATGGTGGGTGCCTGTATCCCAGCTACCTGGGAGGGTGAGGCAGAAGAATCACTTGAACCTGGCAGGCGGAGGTTGCAGTGAGCCAATATCTCATCACTGTACTCGAGCCTGGGTGACAGAGTGAGACTCTGTCTCAAAAAAATGTAAATAAAAATAAAAATAATTGTTATTATTTTGTTTCTATTTTGAATAATACACACACACACCCCTCCCCCTTCACACACACACAAATAAGGCAGAGAAAGAAAGAGAGAATCTTGTTCTGTCACCCAGGCTGCAGTGCAGTGGCCTGATCTCAGCTCACTGCAGCCTCTACCTCCCAGGCTTAAGTGACCCTCCCACCTCTGCCTCCCAAGTAGCTGGGACCACAGACACGTGTGACCATGCCTGGCTAATTTTTTCATTTTTTTGTAGAAAAGTTTTGATGTGGGGCCCTCACATTCTGTTGCCCAGGCTGGTCCCAAACGCCTGGATTCAAGAGCTTCTGTCCCCTCAGCCTACCAAAGTGCTGGTATTAAAGGTGAGATCCACTATGCCTGGCCACATATATACAACTTATAAATAAAAATAACCTTATATACAAGGTTAAATGCAAATATCCCACAGTGAAGGCCGGGCTTCAGCATAAGGAGGAAGTCCTGCCTGAAAAAGGCTGCGGCTTGGAACATTTTACCCTGTTGTCATCTGGCTACGAGTTGGCTCACATCTTCTCTCATTCAGAACCTGAAGGGGTGGGGCCTGGGGCCGTATTATCCAATCACTAGTGCTGGGGTAAAAACTGTCTTAAAACTATTCTTTTAATGCTTAGCAATACTAATTTTTAGTGAGAAACTTAAGATTACTTAATTTAACATAACCAGACTTTAAGATTTTAAATTACTAAAAAAAAAAAAAAGAAACTTAAAATGATGACAGAGTTACTTCCTCTAATGTTTTTTGGTGAGGGTTTCAAATACCTATGTCATATATTGAAACCTACAGTTCTATAAGCCCTACCCTTAAATCAAAACAACCCTGATGCTATTGTGAACAGGTACTTAGCACAAATCCTACCCTTAGGCAAATTTATATAGTGATTTCAATTGTCCTTCACATTCCCTTTCCTGTGATAAGTGTCTGGGTTTAGGGGGTCACAGTGTGAGGTTCCACCATCTTCAGCTATCTGAGACATAGCTTCTATTAATAAATGTTCCTCTTAAATGTTTCTTTCTGAGAAGCTTGATTTGTCAGCCTCATTCTTCAAACTCTCAGCTCCTTTGGCCTTTAAAGGTAGGTTTATATATATATATATATACTCACAAGAAAACACCCTCATATATATAGTCTGTCAATTTCTCAAACATTGTTATGTGGTTCATGACTGTAATGTGTGCCACATGTAGTTTTGTACATGAATAGTATATTTTTTATAGCTACTTTCTATTACACATCACTAAAATACATGTTCAGTAAGTGCTCACTTAACATCATTGATAGGTCCCTGGAAACTGACTTTAAGTGAAACAAAATACTATATGCCATGGAAAATTAACTCTTGTTTATATCAATTAGCCAATGGTAAAATTGGTTTTATTATATAGTACATTGTTTTACTTAAAGTCACAGTTTCTGAGAATCTATCAAAAAAGGGAGAACATACTGTCATTAGTATTACAGTATATGGTACATTATAGCATTACACTATTATAGTATGTTATTGTAGTCTTAGCAATTGGTAGTATAATGTGTTTCAGTTTCTCCCAAGGTCACAGAATTATCCAGACCAACCAATAACAACTTCCTGTGGGAACCAGGTGCATCTCACCCTCTTGATACTACAAAGCCTTCCCCAACACCCCCTGTTTGTTCTCTCTGCTCCCAAGTGCAATCCCTGTGTGGGTCTGTATACCTTATATAATTTCCTTCTTCCATGATTATATGTAACGAATAACTGCTGTCAATCTCATTTGTCCAATGATTGGTGCCATGGTTTTAACTGTTCCAGTAGTACAAGGGTGGTAATTTATCCCTCACCAATGGGGTAAAGGGGAGGCTAATCAAACAATTCACAATACAAACTGGATTAACCAACTATGACTAAGGACATCGGCTCAACTTTAACTGCTTTTGGCCTACTGATTTCATGATACATTAAAAGTCACCTCAGTCAGAGCCACCAGTTTCTGGTGGGCTTTTGCTTTGGTCTAAATAGCCATTTGTGGCCTTTATCATGAGTTGCCTTCCCTGACCACATTAAAGCACACTCATCACCTAGACATATATGGTCAGTTGACTCTGCTGCAGCCTGATGTGTCATCATATTTAGCCTTTGTTTGGCATGCAGCTTGCAAGACACTTGCCTTTCAAGGCAGTGAAAACACAGAACCTTAATCAGTGAGTACTTCAGTCCTGATTACCAAGAGTCAGGCTATATCCCTGTGGTCACTTCATCTGGTCTGCTTACCATTACTAAATGCCCGGGTAGTCATATGAACATTGCTTATTATTGCACACTCTCAGGAAAGGCCCAGGGACGGTTTTTTGTAAAATTGCAAAAAACAAAAAGGACTTTTACTTTGGAGAGAATTATGCACGTCACTCAGTTGCTCTAACAAGTGCTACCGTCATGGGAGCAAGAACAGTGACCTTGTGTTTCCTGAGCTGCCGCTTCCTTTGCTCCTGTCACATGCACTCTCACGATGAGGGGCTCATTCCTTGTGCCTTATGGTTCAGGCACTGATGAGAAATAAAAAAGAGAAAGATAACTTAATATTAGTCCCTCCCAAAACTTACTGGGTAATTCTCTCATCCTAAATCCCCTACTCATCGTGTAGGCTTTTAGCACTGCTGCTTACCAGTATGCTAAAGGTGCAGACTTAGGATCAGAAGTTTGATGAACTCAAACAAAAAGACCACAATGCATATGGGTGCTAATCCCAGTGAAATGGAGTGGCAGTAAACACCTTCAACCAAAGAGAAAACAGATCACAAATAAACAAATAATGACACAACTCAAGAAACTAGAGGAGGAAGAACTTATCCCAACGTTCCCAGATAATAAAATTAGTAAAAAAAATCGGAGCAGAAATGAATACACTGAAGATTAGAAAAACAATAGAAAATGTAGAAAAATTGTAAGAGCTTGTTTTATGAAAACATGAAGTTGGCATATCTTTAGCTAGACTAAGAAATAAATGCTTAAATAAATAAAATCAGAATTAAAGGGAATACATTACAACTGGTAAAACAGAAATAAAAAAAGGTCATAAGACTGCTATGTACACAGACTCCTATGTACAATGATATCCCACCAAATGGGATAAGGGAGAAGACATGAATACATTTCTAGACAAGTACCACCCACCAAGACTGAAGCATAAAGAAATAGAAAATATGAATAGATCAGTAATGGGTAAGGAGTTTAGATCTGATGACTTTGTTGCTGAATTTTACTAAACATTTAAAAAGAACCAAATCTTTGAAAAAATTGAAGGAGGAGGAATACTTCCAAACTCATTTTATGAAGCCAGCATTACACTGATACAAAAACCAGAGATGGACATTACAAGAAAAACAATTACAGGCCAATATCCCTGATGAACATAGATGAAAAATCATCCGCAACGTAGTTGCAAATGAAATTCAAAAGCACTTTAAAAGGATCATTTATTATGATCAAGTTGGATTTATTCCTGGGATGCAATAATATTTTAATATGTGGAAATCAATAAATGCCATACTCCTTATTTACACAACAAAAAGATTAAAAATCATGACTTTTTTATGCATGCCTAAAATTATTTTGACAAAATTTAAAATCCATTCCAAATAAAATCTATAACAAATTAGGTATAGAAAGAATATACCTCAAAATAAAGAGATATGTTCTTTATAAGCTATAGGACAATCCCATGGTTAACATTATTGTCAATGGTGAAATTTTGGAATTGTTTTTAAGATTTATTATAAGAAAAAGATGCCCACTCTCACTACTTCTTTCAACACCGTATTGGAAATCCTGCTCAGAATCTAAGACAAGAGAAAAAAGAGCATTTAAATAAGAAACAACAAGTTCTTCTATTCATGGAGATTAACGCTCAGGTTTTTGCAGATTAGATTTAACAGCATGAAATCTGTACCATCCAGGAATCAAAGGATATAGGACTTTAGGGCATCAATTATTAAGAGGCTATAGGAAAGCAGAAATGCTCCTGGATGTTTCCATTGTCCACACACAAAATTTCAACAGACCAGCCCCAGGAAGTAAAGGCACATTCCTGACTACTGTTAGTTGATGAGCTTTTCACCAAAAGCAGAGATGTGAGACCTGGCAGGTTTCAAAGACCCCTCAAGTGCTCCATACCTTGAAATTCACTTCCACAAAGCTAGAACACCATCTGTTCCTGAGGGATCAGGTTATCGTCTGTTTCTTTTAGGCACTGGCCAGTCAGGCTTTAGTGGACACGAAGCCACAGATTTTTAGTGTAAAATGCCTAATCTATCATAATCTTTAGGTAGATATTTGGAGGCCTGCACACTTAAATGGGTTGGTGAAATGTCATACCAGACACATGGCTGGGAATTGGGTTTTTCTCCTCCGCTCTTAGCAGCACCTTTGTAACCCAGTGATTACCCCCCTCATGGCTCCACGGCCACATCCGCAAAAAGGGTACTGGTGAACGTGACATTTTCACGAAGCCACAGCCCATGGTCACTCCCTGCAAAGCTCTGAACTTGCGCATTCCCAGGCCAGGCCGTGGTTGTCTTTCCAAGGCGGCTCAGCTTGTGCTTTGCTTGGAGAGAGCGGAGGGCAGCAGCACAGTGACAGCGTCTGGGACCTCAGACCAGTTTCCACAGCCACTTATGAAAGCAGACGGCTCCATGGGCTGGAGGAGGTGGGACGCTCTGGAAAGAACTCGGGTGCGAGTGGGAAAGAAAATCGAGCTGAGCAGCTGGAAGTCGAAGTCGCGTGAGTGAGGACCAGACACTCTCGATTTAGGCAAAGGCGGGGTGCACTTCCCAACAACACATCCTCCTCACTGGCGAGACCAGGCCTGCCCTTCAAGTTCCTCTCCTGATTTAATCCCCTTGGCGAGGGTTTGGCATGAAATCAATGGCCAGCAAGCTTGGTAAACGAAGCCGCCTACACCGCCCTCCCCCTCCCTGCACGGCCGCGCCCCGCCTCCGCTCCTGTCTCAATCTGGGATTGTCCTCCTGTAGCCCCACCATCCACCGTGGGGAACGGTGGAGAGACTACAACTCCCAGTATGCACCGCGATGCGCGCCTCACCCTGCATCTCCCAGCCCGCAGCCAGCTGGCATCCTAGACCCTCTGCCCTGCGACCAACAGCCGGGAGCGGACCAGACACCAGAACTCCCGGAACGGTTGAAGACGGTTCCGCTCCCTGTCCCGCCTTTCGCAGCCCAGCAGTTTCGCCCTGCGGAGAGGAGCCTTGCTGTTTCCAAATCTCTCCTGCTGAAGAGACATTGGAGCTAGGGCGGCTAGTTTCACCTGGTAATTGTGACACCCTGTCTCCTCGAGCTGCAGGCTTTTATGCTTGTCATGTTCGAAGTTTGATACCTTGCAGATCAACAAAGGGCCGGTGGCCTCTCACTGCCTCCGCGGCAGGGTTGTCAAGGTAACGCTCCTCAGACAAGGGTGGGGCGCGACCCGCCCCTTTTCTCACCCCGCCTCCTCCTCAGCCCCACCCTCCTTCGCTCCTCCTCTTGTCACTCCCTTTCAGACATGCGCAGTGCGGCCCGTCCCTAGGGCTGGGTTAAGGGCCGCGGATGTGGCAGTTCTCAGGCCTCTTGGGATCGCCTCAAGAAGCCCCCTCACGAGTGTCTCGATTTCCTGTCAGCCAACAAAGGGCCGTTCGCCTTTCATGGCCTCCACAGCAGCGTTGCCGTGGTAACGATCCTCCGCCGGACGTTGGCCGCACCGCGCCCCTATTCTTGCCCATCTCCCGCTCCGCCCCGTCCCTTCTCGCTCCTCCCTCTTGTCACACCCGTTCAGACATGGGTAGTGTAGCCCGTCCCTAGCGGCGGGATAAAAGTCCTGCCCTTTCACACATGCGCAGTGCACCCATTCCTAGGGGTGGGGCTAAGGGGCCTGCCCTTTCGGAAATGCGCAGTGCAGCCCGTCCCTAGGTGTAGGGTAATGGCGGCCGACCTGGAGGCTCCTTGGGATCCCCTCGAGAAGCCCGTTCATGAGTGTCTGAAACTGTCACTTGACTGCCAGAAGTGAAAACATCGTGTCCCTAGTCACCTGCCATTTGCCTTTTCAAAACCATTTCCTCTGTTCTCTAGGCTGTCACAAATCCTCTGCACCCCAGGAGCGCCGCTTGGACCCCCGGGCTCGCTGCGTGGTCCATATCTAGGTCGGGCCTCTCACGGAGACTTTCCCACCAGTGTAATAAAGAGGAGAAAACGTCACAGCGGAAGGGCCTGACCCTGCTGCATCCACTAAGGAAACAGCTACGGGGATGGGACCCTGGGAGCTGCTGTGGAGCCTCATCCACCGCTTCTCTGACCCCACCCAGGCTGCTTCCCAGGCCTCAGGGTCTTAGTGTGGACCTCCGGGCCGTGATTAATGCAGGTCAGCAGGACCAGAGCGCCCCTTGGTCCCTCCCAACACATGAGGGTAGTTTGTGTGGTGAGGTCAGGGATAGTGTCTGCGCTTCTACCCTGAATAGGGCTCCCTTGGAAAATACTTTAATATCTCTTTTTAAATACCCCCTTGGACCACTTTTAATAGTTTTCTGATAGAACTAAACAGTGATCATTCTCTTAATTCATGTTTCCATTAAGTTTTTCAGGTTAAGTACTGCACGACTACTCGCTTCTGAAACTGATAGACACTGCCTCAGCTCCGTGCAGGGCAGACGCACAAGAGCAGAATCTCCGTGGGACATCTCTCTGGAGCATCAATATTACTGCAGTATTTGGAAGAAACAAATTTAAATAAGTTCTAAGGTGAAGAATGGAACATTTAAGACAAGTCTGGAAAGTCATCTGCCTTTAATAACTGTCGTTTGTCCTTAACGTCAGACTTTCTCCAAGACCAAAACTCTAAGAACTTATTTCCATTCTTACAAATAGTAAAAATGATAAATCATATCAAGTCAATTGAAAGTCCTGCCTGCTGCTTTCCTAAATTGCAATATGGCCTTGGTATGGTTTTATTTGTACTTTTGTGGGGGATTCGTGGATCTTTAGATTAAAAAAAAAAAAATAGGTTTTTGAACAATTTTTGCAAGTTTGCAGCTGTTAGTTATTGATTTATTTTTCCAACCCATCTAATTCTTCTGTCTCTCTCCTCTCCTCAGGCTCAATAATTCCATGGGTCTCTAAGGCTGTGTTTATTTTCTTTAAATTTTGTTGATTTACTTTTATACTCCATTTGATTTTTTCTATCTCTCACCTTTTCTCAGACTCAGTCATCCCACAGGTCTGTAAGGCTCTGTTCATTTTCTTTAAACTTCTTTTTTTTTTCCTCTCCTCAGATTGGATAAATTATATTGCTATGTCTCTGTTTCTGAACTATAGAAAAGCTCAAAATTATTATTTTTATTTCTCATTTTTTATATGGCTATTTTTTCTCTGCTGATGTTTCACATCTATTCATTTATGAGAATATTTTCCTTTGCCCTCATGAGCGTGTTTATAATAGCTGCCTTCAAATTCTTGTCTGCCGTTTACATCTTGGACATCTTGGAGATGGCTACTGCCTGCTTTTTATCTTGTGTATTTATTACATTTTCACGTGTCTTCACGCATCCCTTGAATTGGAAATTGTGCCCTGGAGACTGTATACAAGACTGGATTAAAAAGACTGGATTCTGTTTTGTCCCTGTGAAGAGTGTTGTTTTTAAAAGATGGTGTTAAATGGGCTGGATTCTATCTTCAATACTTATCTCTCCTATGGAAGTCATAGCCAAAATATGCATTCAGTTTTTATATACACATATTTCATGTATGTATTGTATATAGAAATGTTTCTATAATGATATATAATAATTTACCCAGGATTCATCATTTTTCTGTGTGAGAGTGTTAGTTCAGTTAGCTACTTCATCATTAGTGGAAGCCAGAACCTCAGTTTTGATTTTTGAGTGTAATATAAAAAATTACACAGTATGGATACTTTTACATCAATTTTTTAATGCAATATTATATTTGTGATATTTATGCTGTTACAGATATCTACAGTTTGTTCATTTAAAAAAGTCCTTTTTTACATTGTGGTAAAATATACATAAAATTAACCATTTTAACAATTTTTAAAAGTGCAGGACAGAGGAATTAATCATACTCACATTGTTCTACAACCATCATCCACATTCATAGGGAAATTTGTTCATTTTGCAAAACTCAAACTCTGTTCCCGTTACCTTCCTTTTGGCCTCTAGGAACTACTCTTCTACTTTGAGTTTCTATGAATGGAACTACTGTAAGTACCTCATATGAGTGGAATCATACAATGTAGTAAAGAAGTCACGAGGAAGAATAATACACACTGTATAACATGCTTATTAATTTAAATAAACAGAGATCAGTAGTACATGGTGATTATAGAGAAAGACAGATAAAAAAGAAAAAGCAGTTAGAAGGGTGTGTAAAATTTATCACTATGGTGTCTCAAGTTTTAGAGCAGTGAGGCCCCGGCCCCAGACACATTACTGGTCATGGTGAAGCTGGGAGCCCAGTGCAGCTGTCTGACTCCCAAAGCCAACACTCAGGCCAAATGTCACTGAGCCCTGAGGCACTCTGCCCCTGCCAGCCCAGGCACTCAATGGCCCTGAGATTCACCATGGCCTGTTCTTGGTCTTGAGGGTGTTGCTGGCCTGCTGGAATAGGGGCCCGTCTGACAAAACAAGTAGGAGGAGCTTCAGAAAATAGTGGCAGCTGTGAGGCTACCAGGAGCCACACCTCAGGCTTCCCACTGCCTGCCCAGGGTCCCCATGCAGCAGGCCTAATGTTGACCAGGGAGCTATGGCCCCAGGTTCTCTGAAGCTGGCCACAAGATAGAGTCTTCTCCTAGTCTTTGCTAATCTGCTAGGCCCTCATCTTTTATTCTGACTGTGCAGCTTCATGCACTGGAACCAAACCCCAAATTCCTCCTCAGTCAGAAGATGACGATTATCTCTTGTCACTGAAGCAGCTGCATTTCCTGGAGGACTTTGATCTGGAGACAGAAGGAAGGGCAGGATTCTGACAGGTCCTGGGTGGAAGATGACAAAGGGAACTTGTGGGGGTGTGAAGGGGTAGGGACAATTTCTAGGGCCTTTCTTTTAAGGGGTCCTACCCTCCCCTCCAATCCCATGTAGCCCCAACCTGTTCTCAAGAGTTGGATATAAACAGTCCCTCCTCTAGGAGTTTATCATTGATTCTATTCCCCTAATCAAACCCTCCATTGGGATGGGGCTCCTGCTTCTCTGTGTATCAAACCTTCCCAATAAATCTAAGATGCAGAGGATGGAGCCAAGGAGTGTCTTCCTCAGGGTGGTGTCTGACTTTCACATCCCCACCCTCCCTCAAAGCGACAGCGCCAGCTGCTCACCTTCTTCCTTTATTAGTGTTGATTATATGTTCTTAGGAGGTAGACAGCCAAGATTCATGAGAAAGGCTTCCTGACACAGGACTAGACCTCATCCCTTATACTTCCTATGCTGCACCACCACCAGGGCCACCAGGGTCAGAGCATGTGCATAAAACAGGACTTAGACCTGCATCAGGTTCTGGGCTCCACAGAAGGGACACTGAGGCTCAGTGACCTTTCTCCCTGATTCTCTGTGATGATAGGGAGACAAAGGCCTTGGAAACAAAGAAGTTACTCAACAATTTAGGACCTGCCTGTCTTAGGAGGGGCCCAATTTCTCTCTTCTGCAATGGGTACCAGCTAAGGCAGAGGCTGAGACTTAGCTCTGCAGCTTTACTACTCAAGGAACAGGAAATGGTGTCTTTGCTGGAGGCTCCGTCACTCATAGATAAGACGGAACTGACACTGCCATTTACAGGGGCATCTGGTAGGCTCTCAGGAAAGGGGTTTGCTGAGTGCTGCAGTCTCAGGATTCAGTCCAGGACTCTGTCCTCGCAAGCTTCAGGATCCTGGTCCCCACCCTGCCTGCCTGCCCCAGTCTCACTCACATCTCTATAATCCTCTATGGCAATTTCCAGCATCTGCAGGTTGTTGAGAAGTGTGCCCGGGGTGGGGGGTGGGGGGGAGGGGAGTGGGGGCACAGCAGCCTGTGTTATCAAGGTGGTAGCAGTGATGAGCACCAATTCTCAGCTAACTGCACAAGACCTCTCCTTTGAACTCTCACCAACCTATTTCTCCTTGACCCCCGTACCCAAGTCTCTCACTCAGAGCATCCAAGGACCTTTCACCTCCTTGCCCAAAATCTTTCCCTCCTCTTTCCACAGCTGACCTCCA
The DNA here is from genome assembly GCF_000001405.40 of Homo sapiens. Lineage (NCBI taxonomy): Eukaryota > Metazoa > Chordata > Mammalia > Primates > Hominidae > Homo > Homo sapiens. The sequence continues at coordinate 33,464,838 of NC_000016.10, forward strand.
AAGACGCTAAGCACTTCTTAGTTACCTCTATGGTGTGATTTTAATAAATCACAAAGTCAGATCGTCCCCACCCTCACTCTTCGTCTAATCTACTCTGAGCCTAGCTCTCCCAGGCCCTTTCTCTAGTCTCTCTAATGAAGGCATTCCAAGCATTGTGGCCACAGGAGGGCAGGGCTGGAGGAGGAAGACACCCAGGTCTCTTGATGTGGAGAACTCCAGCTGGGAGGGAGGAGCCCTGTCCTTGACTCTCTGGAGCCCCTCCCTACCATAGGCCAATTCACCTGCTGCTGCAGCCCCATCTGGACTCTTTAAAAAGGTTCCTACCTAGTAGAGTCAGAAACAGGGTCAGTGAGACTGTGCCTGTCTCACAGTTACACTCCAGCCCCAGCGACCTCAGATCTTGGATAACTGCCTGAGTCAGCCGGTGTAATGCTCCCACCAGCTCCAGTGAGTCCTGATTCTAGATTTACTCCCAGCTTTAACACTCACTGTGTGTGTAACCTTGGGCATGCAGCCAGGCCTTCCTGAAACTGTTTTTTCATCTAGGAAGTGTGATGAGAACAACACCTTCCTCACAGTACCTCCTGAGGACTCAGTTGCATGTGGCTATCACCATTGTTCTCACCATCATCCCTCTCAGGAAGAGGTGGGCACAAGAATTCTGAAGTTTCCTTCATCCTTTGCCCCTTATCATGACCCTGTGAGGCCTGCACAACAGGCTTTCTGCATTTTCCAGTTGAGGAGACAGGCCCAAAGAGGGTGTTGACTTGCCCAGGAGCCCACAGGAGAGGCTGTCTTCTCCTCCCACCTGAAGAGTCTGCCCTACCTGGCTTCACACCACACACCAGCACCATCACTGACCAGGGTCCCATCCTCTGGACTCTGGGATAGATGTTCACATCCCAATCCAGGCCCAGCTGTGGTGGAAAGAAACCTGGTATCTTGGGAGGCCTGGTTGAGCAGTGCCAGCTTGTCCCAGCTTCACTGGAATTGCTATCCCACAAATTGGGTTTGAGGCTATGAAGAAGACTTCACCTCTTCGATGATCCACCGAGAGAGATTCCCACACAGAGCTCTCTCTTTATCCACTCCCTGCAGTTGGCCTGCCAGTGAAATCACACCTGTGCAGTAGTCAGGCCTCCTGGCCCACCCGCCAGCTGCCAGCCTCCAGTGTCTCTGATACCCATGGGTAATCATGCCTTCCTTGGCAAGGCTGCTGAGATTCAGAAGGACCTAAACAGATCTTTGGCTCAGATGGGTTGCTTCAGCCTTGTGTCCTTGGCCATCTTCCCTTGCCTTCCGAAGGTCCCTGCCAGCCTCACTGTACCAAGCCCTGACCCTAGCGGTCTCTCCGTGGGGACCACATCTCACCCACCCTCCATTGCCAGGGCTCCTGCTCAGCTCTTCTCACTTTCCCAGGACAAGCCTGGCTTCACAGACACATCTAGATCCAGCGCTTTTCTCTTTGTGGTGTTCAAAGAAAGAGTATTATTTTTTTCTCTAAATTGACCTATAACCTACTTATTTTGAAGATGTCCAGGCTGCAGGAGATCTCTACCCATCTACCCAGAAGGCATCAGCCCTTGCTTCAGTACCTTCTCATTCCACTCTGTCACTAAATGTTTATGACCTCAAGAAAATTTGAAGAAGCATAAGCAAGTGCAATTCCATTGGTACCAGGGCTGTAAGGGCGGGGCCAGATGGGTGAACCTCACTGGGGATAAATAGAAATTGTGTACAAGATGGACATTTCAAGGTTGGTTTCAAGAAACGCAGGGAAAACTAACTTTCATAGGTGACAGTATGCACAAGTTAAGCTTCCTAACAGCCACAAGTTCACAGGTTCTTCTATCTAAATGTGGCAATGTGTGACGATGTCTGAATGGCCATAATACACATACATAGAGTAATTTATAGCATTCATTTTTGTATTAGAAATTGTGCATTTCAGCCACAAGTTTTTTATACATGATGGATAGTCCCACATTGCTTGAAGATTGGAAGAGAGAGCACTTTATGAAATGTCCTTTTGGACACATTTTCATTGACGTTTCTATGTCCCAAGAGGCAATGAGACAAGTCATGATAAACTGGCCGTGTCTTCTGGGGTTACACCTGAACTTCTTGGTGTCAGGACCGAGGAAACCAAGGACACAGATATGCCAAAGGTGAGGTTAGAGCAAAAGTTTAATGGGTGAGAAAAAGAGAACAGCTCTCTGCTGCAGAGAGGGATCCAGAAAAAAAGAGTTGCCATTCTGCAGTGAAATACAAGTGTTTTTATAGATGAGCTAGTGGGAGGGGGTATGTTATCCACATAGGGCATGAAAAAGTGGTTAGGACCAGGTGTGTCATCTGCTTAGAGCATGAATCTCTGGCAGCTCACACCCCAACCTTTTATTATGCAGGCAGATTCTCAGCCTGAGCTACTCCAAGTTGCTTATCTCTTTTCTACTGTGCATATGCTACAAAGAGGGGTGGGGCCCCCCATGTTGGATATGTCTGGCCCAAGGTGGTCATTTCTACCCATGCAGCTGCAGGCATCCCTGCCCACACAAGCTTCCAGCTTCCTTTTGTATGATTGCAGCCCAATTTTCCAGGCTGCTCTTTGTTAAAGAGAAGTGAATTCCTGGGTTGCTTTCTGTTAGAAGGGACGTTCTGTTGAGAACTCTTTGCTCTATCTGCCTAGCTAGTTTCTTTCTACATCTGCTCTCAATGACAATTATTCAGTTTTAATGGGGTCCTGGGGGTGGGAACAGATAAATTTGAGACCACAAAGTACCTTAGAATAAGAATTCACCCTTTAGTCAGCTTTAGTGTGAGTTGCACATCTATTATAATATTGGCTTCATGCACTACTGAATATAACAAGAAGGGAAAATGTGTATCTTTTAAAAATCTAGATGACAAATGGACTTTCCACAGATTCTTTGTGTGTTCCTGATTTAGAACTTGTTCATTCCACTGTAGTTTGTTTTCATTGAAATCACCAACTGATGAGGAAGCCTAGGCTGGCAAGCAGGACACGGTGGATTATTTGCAGGAAAGGTGTTTTTGTGGGGACCCTAAAGGGTCAGGCACTGCAGCCCACAGGAAAGCCTCAGCCATGATTCTCTGTGGCGTTGCCCTGGTGGGGTAAGGCAGCCATGCAAAGCTCTGATTCCCTGTCCTGAAGGGTGACATTGGCCGGGCAAGCCCCAGCCTTCAGGAAAAAAGGACAGACAAGGGAGTGCTTCACGTTCCGGCCTTGTTCCGGCCTTGTCATGAGCTCCACCGGCAGCCTGCAGTGGGGCACAGCTTCTAGGTGCCTGGTCAGCTCTGGTCCTTCAGGAGGTGAAAATGACTTTTCTCCTGGATTCTCTGCCCTGTTGGCTGGGCCTGGGAAGGACTCAAGGTCTGCATGGCAGTTTCTGAGTCTCCAGCACCCAGCTGTCTCATTGTGATGATGACAGGGAGAATGGCCAGAAGTACCGGGGTGGGGAAAACGAAGAGCCAGCAGGAGAAGGCGAGCTTCCAGAAAGCCCCACCACAAATGCTTAGTGCCTGGGTAGGCACAGGGATTGCTGGGTTTTGCCTGGGAGCAAGTCCATAGGCCCTGCTGGAGATTGCCAAGATAACCACCCCCTGCCAGAGGTCACCAGGGATTGCCTGAAAACCTTCGGAAATGGTGCATGCCCCTATTGCTCAAAAACTGGAAGAAGCTGCAGCCTCAGCAGGTTATCCAGGCCACTGAGTGGGGCAGCGGGCCTACACTGAGTGCACTCCTACATTGGCAGTAGGCAGCTCTCCTGACCCATCCACCAGCTGTCTGCCTCCAGTGAGCAAGATCTTCAAGGCTGATCAGACCTCCAGTTGGCAGGGCTGATGAGATTCAGTGCGACCTGGTCAGATCTTTGGCCCAGATGAGTCACTTGAGTTTCAGTGTCCTGGACCAACTTTCCTGGACTTCAGAGGGCCCCTGCCAGCCTGAGTGAGCCAGGCTTGGCTGCATCTTCCTGGGAGCCCCATCTCACCTGCCCTCCATCCCCAGGGCTCCTGCTCAGCACTTCTTACTTTCCCAGGACAAGCCTGGCTCCAACAGACATCTCTAGATGCTGTGTTTCTCTTTGTGGTGAGCAAAGAAACAGAATGAGTTCCATTTTTTAATTTTTTTCTAATTTTACCTATAACTTATTTATTGTAAAAAGGTTTGGGCTGCAGGAGACCTGACCCACCCACGCAGGAGGCCTCAGTAGCCTCCCAATCCACCCTGTTACTAAATATTTCCACTCCTAACAATATAGGGGGAAGCAGGAGCAAGTGCAGTTTCACTGCACCAGTGCTGTGAGGATGGGGCCAGAAGGGTCCTGCCCAGTAGGATTCAATAGGAATTATATAGAAATAAACATCTCAATGTTTGTTTGGACGGATTGACATGGAGAAATTTAATTTTGATAGGTTCTAGTACACAGAAGTTAAGCTTCCTAACAGCCATGAGTTTACAGCTTCCTCTTTCTGAATTTGGCAGTGTTTTTTGATGTCCAAATTGCCACGATGTCCACACATATTTACAATAGTTTATATTATTCATTTTGTATTACTAATTGTGCACTTTGGCCAACAGTGTTTCATACATCATGGTTGGTTTCCAACCTTGCTTGAAAATTGGAAGTGACAGCCCTTTATGGAATGTTGCTTTTGACACTCTTCCATTTAAGGCTCTGTGTCCCCACAGTGCTACGAAGACAAATAGTCATCACTCTTCCATTTTGAGGGGGCCAGGGTAAGCAGGTGCAATTTGAGAATACAAAGTACCTTGGAAACAGAATCATCTTTCAATCAGTTTTAGTGTGAATTTCATTTACATTAGAATAGCCTGTTCATGCACTCACAAGATTTCAGGGAGGGACAATTGTCACCTTTGAAGAATCAAAGTGACCAACGGGCTTCCCTCAGTATTTTGTTTATTTGTTTCTGGAACTTAGTCATGCCATTGTAGATCGTTTCTTTTGGAATCACTGGGTGATGAGAAACCCCAGGCTGGAGAGCTGGACACCGTGGAGTCCCTGTGGGAGAACTGTTATTAGGGTGGCCTAACTTGGAAGGCACTACAGCCTGTGGGAAAGCAGCATCCAAGATTCTCTCTGGCGTGGCCGGGTGCTGGGTGAGGTAGCCAGCCCAACAGCTTATTCTGTTTCTGGAATGGTGACTCCCAGCCTGGGCATGGCTTCAGTTTCCAGGAAACAGGCATGGGCCAGGGAGCGCCTTACCTGTTTACTGCTGCGATGTGTGGGGCCTGTATCCGCCACTGGGCACTCCACCTCTTCAAGTGGGGTCCTGTGCATTCCTTTTGGAGGCTTCAAAAGACTTTCCTCTCTGACTCCCGGCGTCTTCACCTGGACACTGTAGGACCCCAGATCTGTGTGTTTCCCAAGTGTCTATAGCGCCAGGTGCCCCATTGTGACAGGGAAGATGACCAAATTAAGTGATTAGGGCCGTTTGAAAAAAAAGCAGGAGAGATGCTGTATGGAGGAGGCCTGACATGACTGCCTCTAGCCTGCGGCTGCTGGTGCCATGCACAGGCCGGACTGGTCTCTGCCAGGGTGATGTGATCCGTTGTGCTGAAGATTCTCACCATTTCCTTCCTTTCCCCATCGGGGACACCTGGGTAACCAGCTGAAGCAGTAGTTCCCCATCCGGAACAAAGACTGCAGACCCTCGCATGGGCTCCAGCCTGCAGGACACAAGCGTGAGCCTTGGAGGACCCCACATACCTAGGTGGTTGTGGGCTAGACCTGTGGCCTTCGCTGGGTTCTTGACTCATTTCTGGAGTGCGAGGGTTTTGTTCTTTTTCAACTGGAGGTGGCAGATGACTGTCCTTCTGGACTTCCTATATGCTCACCTGACCCCTGCGGGACCTGAGATCATTGGGGTTCCCAGGTCTTTATGGCATCACGCCCCCATTGTGACAACAAGGAGGATGACCAAAAGTATGCCGGTGGTTGAGGAAGAGAAAAAAGAGGAGTGGAGTTGCAGGGAGGAGGCTCGAAAGGATCACCTCCAGCCTGGGGCAGCTGGATTGGCGAGTCAGGGGCTGGCTCCTGCCTGGGCAAGACAATAAGCCATGATGAACAATGCCATTATCCTCCTTTTCAGTTGGGGGTACCTGGGCATATCTGAAAACCTTGAAAAAGTGTTTGCATTTTCACAGCTTAAGAAAAGGAAGCAGCAGCAGCTACAGTGGGTTTTTCATGCCTTCCAGTGGCATTGAAGAACCTGCACTGAATGCCACCTGGAAAACAGCCTGGACCTGCACCTTTGGGCCGGGGCACCCGTGGGAGCTCAGCCCTTGCCGCCTCAACCCTTTTTGGATTCTTTTCTCCCCAGACTGTCCCAGAGTTCAGGTCTTCTCATCTCTTGTCTGCCCAGTGAAGGCACAAGGGTGGAAAGGTGAGGGTGTGGAGTCAGGAGCTTTGTTCCAGTGCTGGGCATAGTGAGAAGTCAAAAGAGAGGTTATGATCTCATTGTGCTTGAAGGGGAGAGGCCAAAGCCTAAGACATTCTGCCTTTTTAGGGGAATTACCTTTCAAGGCTTATTTGGTCTTCACTAGCCTTTACATCTGAGGATGAAGGAGTTGAGGCTCTGTTACATGGATGTCTAAAGAGATCATAACTCTCACATTGAACGACACAGAGACTGATAGCTCTAGCACAGTACCTAGGTAATGTGACTCTCTCTTGCTACGTGTGCCCTTCCTACATAAGGAAATGTGACATACCACTGGGCCAAGCACCCAGGAAATGTGACTCTCCCGCCTGTGGCCTGCCTGTATTGGGCAATGTTGTGACACATCTCAGAGCTGAGCACCTAGGTGATGTAACTCCTTTTTTGGGAGCTGTCAATGGAAGGGATTGTGACATATGTTTGGCCAATCACCTAGATGATGTGACTCTCTTGCCTATAACTCAAATTGGGGAGAAATTATATCTTGACAATATTGAGATTTTATGATCATGCACATTAAATGTCTTTCTATTTATTAAGATCTTTTGTGATCTTTCATGGCTCTTTCATTAGAAATTTGTAGTTTCCATTGTATATAGATCTGTGTGTCACAAAGGTCTATATGACAAAACTGAGACAAAGACAAACTGACGGATTCTTCCAGTTTTTGTGGATGGCTCTGGGCTGGGGCGTTCCTTTAACACATGTGCAGACTGTTGAAAACTTTGCTTCAGTCTTCACTTTCTGCTGAGCTGAGCCTGAAGGTCAGCCAGTGCTGAAAATGAGGGTCTTCTTGGGTCTTTAAGAAAATGTGTTTTTCGTGGTTATGCACAGAGTGCTTTGTCAATTTGCCAGCATACCTGGGTGCTTTTTAATAGCCTAATTTGTAAAACAAAACAAAATCTCACGTTAGCTTTTTATTCTTGGCTTTATGTGACCTATTGTATGTGTCGTCTGTAATCTGTTCTCCAGGGGGCTGCTGGCTTTCAGTTTCCTTAAAATACTCCCAAGTAACTCGTGCCAATTTTTTAAACTGATTTTTTTTTCTGACTTAGAGAAAAAAGAGAGCCTTGTTTCAGACCTCTGGATAGCCCTAATACAGATTTTAATGTAACAACACAATACTTTGCAAGTAAGACCTCCTCTTTTCCCTCTGGAACCACTGAGCAGAGGCCCATACTGGCAACTCAGGATGTTGTTTTTAAGACTGCCATCAAGTAAGGGAAGGATTTGGGCAAGGACGTGTAAAAAGTCCACGAGGCTTTTCTCCTGTTCTTCATTGTTTTTCTTGATTTTGTAGTTACATGGTTGCTGTACAACTTGATGGTTTTCAACAGGTTTTACAACATCGTTTCTGACAGTTCTGCTTGGTTTTCCCTGTTTCTGTGGAGGAGCAGGTGTTTGGAGCTGTACATTCTTGACATTTTGCTGATTTTACTCTCTCTGGGTTCTCAGTTGTATTTCATTGATCTAAATGACTTTCCTTGTGTCGTTACTACACCATCTTGATTAAGGTTGCTTTGAGGCAAATTTTGAAGTTGTAATTTGTGAGTCCTTTTATTTGGCATCTTTTTAAAGATTTTTAAAGATATTCTTAGTCCCTTTTAATTTTATATGAATTTCAGCATCAATGCTTCAGTTTTTACATGGTAGTCACCTTGAATTCTAATTGTACTGAATCTAATTGTACTGGATGTAGACTGTTTGGGGAGTTATTGTCATCATAATGTATTAAACCTACTGATTCATAAACATGGAATGGTTTCTCATTTATTTAGATCTTCAACCTCTTTCGATAAGGTTTGTAGTTTTCAGATTATAAGTTCCTTTCACATTTTTAAAAATTTATTTCTATGATTTATTATTTAATTGCTATTGTAAATGGATTTGTTTTTGCCTCAACTGCATTATTAGATATTTCATTGCAAGTGTATAGAAGTAGAATTGATTTTTGTATAATAATTTTGTACCTCTGACCTTGGTGAATACATGATCTTGGTTGCTTCCAAGTTTTGTGAAAACTACAATTAATATTGCTGTAAACTTTTTTGTGCAGGTTTTTGTGTGGACTTACATTTTCAATTCATTTGAGTAAGCTAACCTTTAGGAATTTGTTTGGAGTTCAGAAGACACCACCCTGCCACATAAGATCGAGTTAAGAAAAACTCATTTTGTGCAAATCAAGTTTATATGGGCCTATGATGAGGTTCATGGAAAAGCACTGTGTATAGTTGTGTGAATTTGAGCCCAGTGATTTATTATGTATTAATCTTGCCCTGTGTAGCAGATGTTCTAGGAGGTGCTGCAATGACTAAAACAAAACAAATAATTCTGCCCACTTGAAGCTGATATTCTAGGAAAAAATAAATATATAATACAAGTAAAATAAACAATGTGTAAGATAGTGGTTACTGCTAATGTGGGAGGAGAGTGTGGTAAAGAGAGCAGAGGTCTAAACTGGGTGTCTCTCTGAGCATTTATTTATGTGTTTCAGCTGCTAACTCTGACAGTTAACAAGCTTGCGTGTCTTTGTCTGCGTGTATCCACCTTTATGTGCAGTGAAAAGTCTGCTTTTGTATTTATGCCTGGGTGCTATGTGTGTATTTGCTTTAAAATCACTAATACTTTTATGTTCTTGCCTAATTTCCTAGCTAACAGCTTTTTTTTTACCATGTTGAATAGATGTCGTGAGAACAGACATCTTTGTCTTATTTCTGATCTTAGGTAGAAAGCATTTTGTCTTTTAACATCAAGTATGATGTTAGCTGTGGGGTTTTTATAGATGTCTTACAATATCTTTTCTATTTCCAGTTTATTTAATGTTTTTATCATGAGGAGTGTTGAAGATTTTCAAACCTTTTTACTTTGTATTTTCCCTATATTAATACCTTGCCAGATGTATTATTAGAGTATTGTTATGGAGTATGTTCTATTATTCAGAGTTGTCCTGTTACTCTATTGATAGTGTCCTCTGAGAGACACTATTTTATTTCATTTGTTTGTAGTCTCTATCCCAGTACCACACTGTTTTGAGTAACATGACTGTGAGTAACTTTTGACGTTAGGAAATTTCTCATTATGAAATTAGAGCTCTGAACATTTTTATCTCTTTTTTTTGCGATCGTTTTGACTATTCTTGGTTCCTTGAGATTTCACTTGAATTTTAGAATGTTAGTTTCTGTTTCCATTTAAAAAAAGTTATTGGGCTTTTGATTGGGATTGCACTGCATTTATAGATAATTTTAGGAGAAATTGCCACATTAGTACTTTTAAGAGAGTTTCCAAGATGGCTTACTGGATGCAGCCAGCAAGTGTTGCTCCCAAAGAGAAAGACCACAATTTTGACTACATCAACATAGTTTGAATAGATATTTGGAGAGAAAATGGATAGTGTGGATGGAGAAAAGGTGCGTTTTCTAAGACTGAAGAGCAAGGAAGCTGGGGTGCCCTTATGGGGTGCCTGAACGCTATGACTGCTTTTTGGCCCTGAGTGGCATCTGGGGAAGAAGTGAGTAAAGGGACTGGGAGGCTGCTCACTCTCGCTGCAGACCACTGGGATCCTGGCTGCAGGAAACTCCACACCCCCATGGACATGTGAGTTGGCAAGGAGATCTCCCTGGAGAGTAGATGGAGATGGAGCTGTAGCAGGCACAGAGCCAGGACTTTTTAGCATGGGTCGGATCTGGTGGAGCTCAACCATAAAGTCCCACCTCTGCAGCTGCCTATCTCTCTCAGAGGCTTTGGCCCCAGCTAAACTGCAGGGAGAAAGCAAGGCCTGCTTACCCGCAGGACTGGGACATGTCTATCCTGTAGGCATGCCTGTCCACCAGCCTCTTACATGGCCCCTGCCTGGCTTCCTGGGAGAAGCATGTATACATTGTAGTTTCTGCTACCCAACCTGGATGCTTGGCTCCACCTGAATGCATTCTGGCAGCCCAGAAATCCCTCAGATCCCTCACCACACTTGGAACCTGGCCCTAAGCATCAGGAAGAGGGAGTCATAAGCAAGTCGTGGCACTCCAGTGCTGTGGCCTGTGGTTCAGGAGTGTCAAGCTGGGATCTGTGCTGGGCAGTTGAATGGGGGAGGAACCCACACTCTTCAGAAACTGAGAGGCCAGATTCACACAGGTTCACAGGCTGGCGTGGGCCCTAGGCACACCTCCTTCCACAGGGCTGTTATGGTAAAGATGCAGGGTATTTTTCTAGAAGACATCTCCCTGAGGAAGCCCCACAGCTTGAAACACCTAACAACAATGACAATAATGATAATGATAGTAATAGGCCGGGCGCGGTGGCTGACGCCTGTAATCCCAGCACTTTGGTAAGCGGAGGCGGGTGGATCACGAGGTCAGGAGATCGAGACCATCCTGGATAACACGGTGAAACCCTGTCTCTACTAAAAATACAAAAAAATAGTCAGGCGTGGTGGCGGGCGCCTGTAGTCCCAGCTAGCCGGGAGGCTGAGACAGGAGAATGGCATGAACCCAGGAGGCAGAGCTTGCAGTGAGCTGAGATCCTGCCACTGCACTCCAGTCTCTGGGCGACAGAGCAAGACTCTGTCTCAAAAAAAAAAAAAAAAAAAAAAAAAAAAAAGGAGATAATGATAGTAATAATAATGGGCATAGTGCCAGTGATTGGAAGTGAGTCTCTCAAGACTCATGAACAGACCTGTACCACAGAACATAGTTGCAAATAAAGAAGATACACAAAGGAACTGCATGGTAAAGAACCTATCTACATCCCACTGCTCTCAAGTGCTATCTACTGGATCGCAGTAGAGATTACACCACCAAAAATCACTTTACTAATTCTTCCCCTGTGAAACCAAGAGCAAGAATTCAACAACAAAGACACTGTACAGAGTCCTAGTCCTCTGAAAACCTTCAAAAAAAGAAAGCCAATAGACTATACTCAATTTATACCCCAATTAGAGGTATACCAGTTCTCTCAGATGAGAAAGAATTGGCTCAAAATCTCTGGCAATGCAAAAAGCCAGAGTGTCTCCTTCAAGAGAGCCCACTAGTGCCCCAGTGATGGTTTTTAACAGTCTGAATTGTCTAAAATGACAGACATGGAAAAAAGAGCAGGGAAACTCATTTAGATTGAGAAGAAAGTTGAAACTTAACCCAAGGAAGCCAAGCAATCCGGTTAAATGATTCAAAACCTGAAAGATAAAATAGCAATCTTAAGAAATATCTAAACTAAAAAAATTCTTGAGCTGAAAGATTTACTGTGAGGATTTTATAATAAAATCAGAAGTATTTCCAGCAGAATAGACTAAACTGAGAAAAGAATCTCAGAGCTCAAACACTGTTTTATTGAATCAACATAGTCAGACAAAAATAAAGATAAAAGAATTAAGAAAAATCAACATCCCCATTGAGAAATATGAGATTACTTAGAGAACAAATCTACAATTTATCAACATTTCTGAGAGAGAAGGAAAGAGAATAGGCAAGTTGGAAAATATGTATGAAGATATAGTTCATGAAAGTACCTCTAATCTCACTAGCGAGGTTGCCATTCAAATCCAAGAGAACCCCAGTCAGCCCCTAGTCAGATACAATAATATATGACAGTCTGTATTAGTCAGTTCTCACATTGCTATAAAGAAATACTTGATACTGGGTAATTTATAATGAAAAGAAGTTTGGTTGGCTCACAATTCTGCAGGCTGCAGCGGAAGCATGGCAGCATCAGCTTGGCTTATGGGGAGCCCTCAGGAAACTAACAACCATGGAAGAAGGAAGAGGGGGAGCAAGGCATCTTACATGGAAGAACAGGAGCAACACAGAGAGCGGGGAGGTGCTACCCATTCTTAAACAGCCAGATCTCATGAGAACGTTATCGCAAGACAGCACAAGGGGCTGGTGTTAAACCATTCACAAGGATCTATCCCCATTATCCAATCACCTCTCAGCAGGCCCCACCTCCAACATTGAAGATTACAGTTCCACATGTGATTGGGGCAGAATCACAGATCCAAACCATATTGCTATTTCCATGTCACATAGTCATCAGATTCACCAAAGTCAGTGCAAAAAAAAATTTAAGATCAGTTAGAGAGAAAGGGCAGGTTACTCACAGAGTGAATTCCATCAGACTAGCAGCAGACCTCTCAGCAGACTCCTTGCAACCAGAAGAGGTTAGGGGCCTATCTGCAGAGTTTTTAAAGGAAAAAAAATTAACCAATAATTTTATATCCCTCTAAACTAAGCTTCATAGGTGAAAGAGGAAAAAAAAAATTCCTTTGACAAGCAAATGCTGACGTGATACATTTAAACTAGACCAGCCTTACAAGAGGTCTTTAAGGTAGTGCTAAACATGGATTCAAGTGAATGATATCTGCTACCAAAAAAGCTCACTTAAGCACATAGCCCACAGGCACTATAAAGCAATAATGCAATCAACTCTACATAACAACCAGCTAACAACATGATGGTGAATTCAAAATCACACATATCAATACTCACCTAACATGTAAGTAAGCTAAACACCACAGTTAAAAGACACAAAGTGGCATCCTGGATAAAAAGACAGTACCCATCCATCTGTTGCTTTCAAGACACACCCTTTGCCTCAGAGTAAAAGGGTGGAGTGTATTCTACCATGCAAACGAAACAAAAACAAGCAGCAGTCACTATTCTTATATTAGATAAAACAAATTTAAACCAAAAAAAAAAAAAAAAAACACTAAGAGGGACAAGAAGAGCATTTTGATAAAGGGTGCAATCTAACAAGAAGCCTTAACTATCTTAAATATATATGTGATTACCACTGGAGCATCCAAATTCATAAAATGACTTCTTCTTTGCCTACCAATGAAAAGAAGAATAACAAGGGCATATTGATAAAGGATAAAATCCTGTGAGAAGCCTTAAATATCTTAAATATATATACACTTAATATTGGAGCACCCAGATTTACAAAATGACTTTTTCTTTCCCCACAAAAAGGCTTAGACAACATCACAATAGTAGTAAGAGACTTCAACACCCTACTTACAGCATTAGACATATCACTGAGGCCAAAAAAAAAAAAAACTAACAGGAAAACTCTGGAGTTAAACTCCACACTTGACCAATTGGACCTAATAGACATCTATTGAAAACTCCATCGAACAACCACAGAATGTACATTTTTCTCATCTGCACAAAAAAAAATTCTAAGTTCAACCACGTGCTCAGTGATAAATAAAGCCTGAATAGATTAAGGAAAAATGAAATCTCACCAAGCACACTGTTGGAGCACAGTACAATAAAAAATACAAATGCATACCAAGATCTCTCAAAACTACAGAAATACATGAAAATTAAACAACTTACTCCTGAATAAATCCTTTGTAAACATCAAAGTAAGGCAGAAATATAAAAATTACTTGAAATTGATAGAAATAGGAACACAACTTACCAAAATTTCTAAGATGCAGCCAAAGCAGTGTTAAGAGGAAACTTTATAGCCCTAAATGCCTTTATCAAGAAGTTAGAAATGTCTCAAATTAACGATGTAACTTTGCACCTAAAGGAACTTGAAAAAAAGAACCAACCAACCCCAAAGCTAGCATGAGAGAAGACATAACAGCAATTAGAGAAGAATTTAATGAAGTTGAGATGCAAAAATGTATACAACAGTCCAAGAAAACAAAAAATTGGTTCTTCAAAAAAAATTGATAAGCTCCTAGCCAAATTAACAAATATAAAAAAGAAAGAGAAGATCCAAATAAGCGCAATAAAAATGACAGGTTATATTAAAATGGATCAGATAGAGATACAAAAGATCCTCAGCGAGTACTATGAACAGCTCTGCACGCAAATTAGAAAATCTGGAGAAAATGAATAAATTCCAGGAAGCACACAGTCTCCCAAGATGGAATCAGAAAGAGATCAAAACTCTAAGTAGACTAATATCAACTTCTGACATTGAGTCAGTACTAAAGAACCTACCAACAACAACAACAACAACAAAAAGGCCTGAAACAGGTAGATTGGCTGCTGAGTTTTACCAGACATACTAAGAAGAAATGATATCAATCCTACTAAAATTATTTCAAAATATCGAGGCGGTGGGGCTCCTTCCTAACTCATTCTTTGAAACCAGCAGTAGCATGATATGAAAATCTGGCAGAGACACTGTGAAAAAACAAAACTTCAGACCAAGATCCCTCATGAACAGAAAATGTAAAAATCCTCAACAAAATACTAGCAAACCAAATTCAGCACCACATCAGAAAGGTAATACACCATGGTCAAGTAGGCTTTATTCCTGGGATGCAAGCTGGTTCAACATATGCAAACCAATAAATGTGATTCACCAGCTAAATAGAATCAAAAGTAAAAACCATATGATTTTCTAAACAGATACACAAAGGTCTTCTTAATAAAATCCAACACTACTTCATGGTAAAAATCCTCAATAGACTAGGCATCCAAGGAACATACCTTAAAATAATAAGAGTCATCTATGGGAAACCCACAGTCAACATCATACTCAATAGGTTAAAAACTTAAAACTATTTCTATGAGAACTGAAACAAGACAAGGATGCTCACTCACAGCACTCCTATTCAGCTTAGTACTGGAAGTCCTATGCAGAGCAATCAGGCAAGAGAAAGAAAAAGTAACGAAACAGGAAAAGAAGTCAAACTATCTCTCTTCGCTGAAAATATGATCCTATGCCTAGAAAATCCTAGAGATTCTGCCAGAAGGCTCCTAGAATTAATAACTTTAGTATAGTCTCAGGATACAAAATCAGTGTAAACAGTACTGATTATGGTGAAATAAGTAGCATTTCCATACACCAACAATGTCCAGGCCAAGAGTGAAATCAAGAACACAATTCCACTTAAAATAGCCACAAAAAAGAGAAATACCTAGGAATACAGATAACCAAGGAAATGAAAGATCTCTTCAAGGAGAACTACAAAACACTGCTGAAAGTCACACACCTACAACCATATGATATTTGACAAGGCTGGCAAGAACAAGCAATGGGGAAAGGACTCCCTAGTCAATACATTCTGGGATAACTGGCTTGCCATAGGCAGAAGATTGAACCTAGACCTTTACCTTGCAACATGCCCCAAAATTAAATTTAAATGGATTAAAAATTTAAGTGTAAGACCTCAAACTATAAAAATTCTGGAAGATAACCTAGGAAATATTTTTTTGACATCAGCCTTGGCAAGTCGTTTTTGGCTAAGTCCCCAAAAGCAATTGCAACCAAAACAAAAATAGACAAGTAGGACTTAATTTGACTAAATAGCTTCTGCACAGCAAAATAAACTATCAACAGGGGAAAGAGGCATCCTCCAGAATGGGAGGAGATATTCACAAACTATGAGTCTAACAAAAGCCTAATATCCAGACTCCATAGGGAACTCAAATCAACAAGCCAAAAAAAAAAAAACCATTAAAAAATAAAAAATGGGCAAATGAGATGAACAGATATGCCTGAACAGAAGATATACAAGTGGCCAACAAACATGAAAAATTGCTCAGCATCAGTAATTATCAGATAAATGCAAATCAGAACCACAATGAGGTACCATCTCATGTTAGTCAGAATGGCTATTACTAAAAAGTCAATAAATAACATGTTGGCAAGGCTGTGCAGAAAAGGAAACACTTTACGTCACTGGCAGGATTGTAAATTAGTTCAGCAATCGTGGAGAGCAGTCTCGAGATTTCTGAAAGAACTTAAAACAGAACTACCAATTTACCCAGCAATCCTACAACTGGGTATATACCCAAAAGAAAATAAATCATTCTACCAAAAAGACATATGCACTTGAATGCATCACTGTGCTATTCACAATAGCAAAGATGTGGGATCAATCCAGATGCCCATCAATGGTATATTGGATAAAGAAAACCTGGTATGTATACACCATGGAATACTACACAGCTGTGAAATATAATGAAATCATGTCCTTGGTATGAACATAGGTGGAACCAGAGGCCATAATTTCAAGCAAATTAATGCAGAAACAGAAAGCCAAATACTGCATGTTCTTACTTATAAGAGCTAAACATTGAGCATATATGGACATAAATATGGGAACAGTAAACACGGTGGACTACTAAAGTGTGCAGAGGGGAGGGCAAGTTAATATACTACATATTGGTTGCTGTGCTCACTACCTATGTGCTCCAAACCTGAGCATTATACAATATTCCTACATAACAAATCTGTGCCTGTAACCCCTGAATCTAAAATAAAAGTTGAAATTTTTTAAAAAGTCTTTTCACCTATGAACAGAAGATACTGTTCCATTTATTTGTACCTTTGATTTCTTACAGCAGCATTTTGAAAGTTTTTATTGTACAAATAGTTTGTCATCCTGGTTAAATTGATTCCAGAGCATTTTATTCTTTTTAATACTGTTGTTCATGGTATTGTTTTCTTAATTTCCTTTTCAGATTAATCATTATTGGTGTGCATCAATGCAACTGAGTTTTGTAAGTTAATTTTGTATCCTGCAACATTACTTAATTTGTTTAAACTGTTTTGAGGTGTTTTTCTGTTTGTACAATCTTCAGAATTGTGTGCATACATGATTACTGTGAACAGAGATATTTCTATTTTATTCTTTTTAACATATGCATTTTTGTCTTTATTTTATTTTTGTTATTGCTTAAGCTAAAGTTTTATATACTCTGTTGAGTGGAAGTGGTAAAAAAGAGGAACTATTTTTAGTTCCTGATATTAAGGGAAAACATTTTTTGTATTTCACTGTTGATTATGTTGTGTGTTTGTACCATGAATGAGTAATATCTTGTAGAATGCTTTTTCTGTGTAAATTGAGATATTGTGGTGTTTAACAGTACTAATGCGGTATATTATGATTATTTGTTTATTTATTTATTATTTATTTATTTTTAGAGACAGGATATTATGATGTTGTTTAGACTGCTCTTGAACTCCTGGACTGAAGTGAACCTATCACCTTAGCATCCTGGGTAACTGGGATTACAGGCACAAGCCACTGTGCCTGGCTACATTTATTGATATTTATATGTTAAAGCATCTTTGCACTTCAGTAATAACTCTCAATTAGTCTTGGTAGATAACCCTCTTATTATTCTGCTAAATATATTTTGCTAATATTTATTTTATAGATTTTATATTATTTATAAAGAACATTTTTCTTCAACTTTCTTTTCTTGTAGTGCTTTTGTTCATTTTTTATGTCACTGTAATTTTGGCCTACCTCATAGAATAAATTTGGAAGTGTTTCTGCATCTTCAGGTTTTTGCAAGAGTTTGAGGATAATTGGTAATTAATTCTTAAAATGTTTGATAGATTCAGCAGCATAACAGTTTTGTACTTTTTTTTCTGGAGGGGTGATTTTTGCATCAATCTGCAACTATAGGTCTGTTCAGATTTTCTATTTGTTCATGACTCAGTGTCAGTACATTGTGTATTTCTACATATACATGTGTCGACTTTATCAACATTATTCAATTTCCTTGTGGTCTCTTAGAGACTTATTTAACAAGATCTGAGGCATACAGTTCTTTCAGTTGTATTCTGCTACCATGTATTTATTCTGCTGTTGATGTAGTGGTTATGTGAGAGCTTAGGCAAAGCACTCTATTGACTTATGCATTAGCCTCATTAAAACAAATCAAAACAAAACAGTGTATCCCTAGGCTGTGAATTTCATGAGGACTTCTCACTCTTTACCTCTCTTAACTGGATCAAGAAGGTTAGAGGGGGATGGAATTGGGCATTTCTCTTACTCCAGGAAGTCTGGCTCTGGTAAAATCTCAGTTGGTTAGGCTTTTGATACATAGTTTATATTGAAGATAGGAATGTTAAAAAGAAAATTTTCTGGGAATAGTTAAAAATGGCTACATTTCCCTTCCTCCTACTGGAATCAAGAAGCATTTTTTCTATCATCTTCCCTGTAAAAGCCATGTCATGTTTCTGAAAGTAAAGTTCATAAATTTGTATACCCTGAAAATGTTAATTCTCAAACTTTTAGCCATTCATCAATAATGGTTTGTTTTCTTACAACTGTATTTGTTCCCATAGGGGTTTCTTGTGGTTTACTAACCAAGTAAGTTATAATTCTCTGGATGTGTGTGTCCTTCTGTCCAATTTGGGATGGTGATTTGCCCTGTGAACTTATTTTTCTGATAGATGTTAGGAGAATTGCTGGCCTATGTTTCCCTTTTTACTTTCGCTGATGCGAATGTCACCTTCTACGTCCTTACTTGCCAGGCTGACCAAAAGGAACTATCTTCATTTTTTGATGGTTGTCTCTATTTTTAATCCTAAACCGTGTGTGTGTGTGTGTGTGTGTGTGTGTGTGTGTGTGTGTGTGTGTGTGTATAAAATAATACAGTAAGAGGAAACCTGGGTGGTCCCTTTTCTGGTACCAGCAGCAGATTGAAACCATTCAAACCCCTGTCCATGGGAATAAATTCTCACCCTAGCATGCCACCTACCCTCAATAAAAATCCAGGCCTGGCTCCTTTTCTTGCACATTCAAGCCATGTCAGATCACCTTGAAAGGCCTTCCTACTTACCTCACAAATGTAATTTATGTGAGTAGTAATTTCTTACCCTCTTAAAGCCACATCTTTGCAAGTGACTAACAATTGGTGCCATGAGCAGACTGTTCAGACATTGCCCACCAACCTGAGGATCTGTCTTCTCTTGCTAAGTTGCTCTGCTGCTTAATGTCTGGCATGTACTTTGACCTGCTGCTTCCGGAGGAGTTAGTGCTTTGAGCTGTGCCGCTCTGTTTATTGTTCTGCCAAATTTGTGAACTAAAAACTCAGACTTCCACATTACAGGGGGAAATGACACAAATCGTGGGGTTTGATTCAAACATAATAAATCTTTAAATTTTTATCATGCAATATAGTCACAAACGAATGAATAAAACATTTATCATAAGTTTTAGTGATAATAATGAAAACATTCTTAGAATCAAGATTTATTACATATATTTATAATATATATATAATTAATATATATAATATATAAATATATTTTATATTATAAATATATATAATTATATATAAATATAATATATATTTATAATATTTTATATAGAAATATATATATTTATAATATAATTATATATATATTTTTTTTGCCCCCGCCGCCGCGGATTCTTGCCCCCGACGCCACGGCTTTTTGCCCCCTACGCCGAGGCTTTTTGCGGCTTTTTGCCCCCGCCGCCGCCCCTTTTTGCCGCCGCAGTTTTTTGCTCCCGCCACCGCGGCTTCTTGCCCCCGCCGCCGCGGCTTTTTGCGGCTTTTTGCCCCTGCGGCATTTTGCCCCCGCCGCCGCCGGTTTTTGCCGCCGTGGCTTTTTACCCCCGCCACCGAGGCTTTTTGTCCCCGCCGCCCCAGCTTTTTGCCCCCACCGCCGCCGCTTTTTGCCACCACCGACGCGGCTCTGAGGGCGGGAGCGGCACACTCGGCTGCCGGCTCTACCGGCGTCCTTGTTCGGGCGGAGCCGAGGGGCGCTCCTGGTCCAGCTCTCCCGGCTCGGGGGTTCCTTGCCTAGGCGCCCGCGCCCCGAGCTCCCCGCCTTGGCCGCTGCGGCCTGCATAGAGCGGCGCTGCGCGTAGCGGCCAGGGGAGAGAAGAAGGAGGGCGGTGGCGGGGGTGATGCGGCGGCCTCTTTGGGAGGCGCAGGGGCCGCAGCCAGCCAGACGCTGCAGCAGTGTGGGCAGCTCCAGAAGCTTGTGGGCAGCTCCAGAAGCTTATCCGCATCTCCATTGGCAGCCTGAGCCGGTTGCGCAACAAGTGCGCTGTGTCCAAGGACCTCACCCAGCAGGAGATACGGACCCTGGAGGTAAGGGGGTCGTGGACCCAGGCTGGGCTCGAGGAGCGGCCCAGACACCTCCCTCCGTGCCCGAGTTCACTCCTGGCCGAGTTGCATCCTTGAGCCCGAGTCGCCCCGTTGGAGGCTTCCCCTCCCTCCTGCACTCGCTGATGCGGCAGCCGGAGGACCCGGGACCAGCCCTCACCTTGGGCAGGATCTGTGGGGCGGGTGCGTCGTGGGAACTGGCAGGGAGGCTTGAGGGGCCCATGGGCGAGGTGGGCTGCGAGCGGACATCCCCTTACCCCCTGAATTTCCATCTGGTCCAGCCCTCTCATCTTGTGGGTGAGGAAACCGAAGGCCTGAGGGAGAACTGACTTGCCTGGAACCCCTGTTAAGGAGAATTAACAAAGTGTGGTTATTAAAGGAGCACTGAGTTGGGAGTGAGACCTGGAGGCCCACACCCTTGGTTAAGACATAATACCACCTTGAGTCTGGCCTGTTGACTGAGGGTGAGCCACTCCATCCTCATCTGATTGTGGGGTCTTGACCTCAAGGGGTTGCCTGAAGGAAGAAGCACATGGGTTTGCTTTCCTAGCTCTGTCCAGTACCTTAGGGACCCTGAGGACTGGAGAGATTCTTGGAGAGCCATCTGGTGTATATCATGGGTGGGCCTTTTTTGAAGGTCAGTCTGCCCAGTGGGCTGGCTCAGCCCCAATGAACTGTCTTGAATCTTTGGAGTTGTCTGGGTACTTTTAAGGGCTTCTCATCCTTGCACCAAAAGATCCCCTGGAAATTAGGTGGGAAAACTTTAACTTTTGTGGGGCCTTGTGTTTGTCTTAAAAGTTCATGCACATGGCCAGATGTGGTGGCTCACACCTGTTATCCTGTCCTGGATCCCTTGAGTCAAGGAGTTTGAGACTAACCTGGACAATATAGTGAGACCCTGTCTCTACAAAAAATAAAATATTAGCCAGTGGTGGTTGTGCACATCTGTAGTCCCAGCTACTACTGTGGCTGAGGTGGGAGGAGCACTTGAGCCTGCACTGAGCTGTGATCTCAGCAGTGTACTCCAGCCTGGGCCACAGAGCAAGACCCTGACTCAAAAAAAAAAAAAAAAAAACCAACAAGAAAAATACTTGAAGATTTTTGCATTCTGTCCCACTACCCATTGGTTGTCATGTGAAGATAATGTCAGAAATTCTTTACAATTGCTTCCAGAAGGAGTAGCCTTTTGATCTAGTGCACAGGTGTCTTTTGGCTTCTCAGGGTCACATTGGAAGAAGAATGCTCCTGGGCCACATATAAAATACACTAATGCTAACGATAGCTGATGAGCTTAAAAAAAAAAAAGGTTTGTGCATAATTTTCATGATACCCACCACCACAGATAGGTGGAAAAGTCCTTGTAGTCAAAGGGTTGGACGCGGCTGACCTAGTGTCTTGTCATCCGTTTTGGCTTTCTCCCTGATTCCAGAATGCAGGTATAGATGTAGAGACGTGCTCTCAGGACAGCTGTTGAGATAAAAAATTCTTTGTCATTTATTCCCAAGCACAGCTGTTTGTCATTTGCATTGAAAAAGTCTCCATTCAAACTGCTGTCACATATAAAATCTATTTATGTAAGTCTGTATTTTTCTGTTGTCTTGGCCTTTTGGGCAGTAGAGTGTTTTAACCGAGCAAACTGTCCTTCCAAATAATGAAGTCGAAGTCAGCCTACCTGCTTGCCATTTTTCTTCCCCTTCCATTTTTCTAACTTCAGGATAATTGTAAGAATGAATTAAACTTTATGTTGAAGGCCGGGCACAGTGTCTCAGGCCTGTAATCCCAGCACTTTGGGAGGCAGAGAGGGATGTATCACTTGAGCTCAGGAGTTGAAGACCAGCCTGGGCAACATACTGAGACTCCGTCTTGTAAAATTAAATTAAAATGTTTAAAAAGAAGAGAAAAAGACCTGTGTTTAAATTTTAAAAAAGGGGAAATTGTAATGCAAAATGTGGACTATGCCAGCTATGATTGGGAAAAATAATTTTTCCTACAGCATTATCTGTAGACTTGTATTAGCAGCATACTGGTCATAAGCGTTTTGCTTTCCTCAAACATGATGAGGTAAGCTACTTTAAAGTGTGGTAGGGCTGTCTTCCACGTGGCTCCTGGTGGTGTTGAGTCCCAATTTAGCCAATTAATTTGGGTTTAGTTTTGATGTGGATAAGGGAGACCAGCTTCATTCATGGTGCACACACAGTTTTGCCAATAAGGGAAAAAAAAAGCAACCTGAATGTTCCTACTCATTAGATGCTATCTGGAGAGCTCCTACCCCACCCCCACCAAGGCCCAGACCCTTAAAAAGACTCAGTGCAGCCTTTCTGTATCTCATACTGTATTCTGCAAGATGCTCCTGTGAAAGAAAGTTGTGCTGCATCAGCCGTCTCCCTCCTGAAGATCCCTGCGGATGAGGATTTGTGTTTTAAAGGTTCTGAGAAGTCCTGCAATGACAGTCCTCAAACTTATTTGTCCAGGGGATCTTTTCTTCCACTGAACGTAGTTGGGGAGACACGGCCTTAAGCCTTGAGCAGAGAAAGAGACAAGAAGCTGTTGGCTCACTTACAACCAAGTGTTGTGTTTATGTGTTAGGTTTTCATGAAACTGAGGTGCTGTTTGAGGTTCTAAATCAAATTGGGTGGTTGAGGAGAGCCTGGTATCCCTGTAGACTTAGCCAGCCATGAGAGGTTGCCTTTTGTTGAAGGAGGTATTTTACAAAGGGAAGTAGGATGTCTCCTGGGCATCACATTAGCACTTAAATATATGTATCACTGAAATGAAATGAAATGATGAAATGGTGAAATGAAATAATGAAATGAAAGGAAATGATGAAATGAAGGAATGAACTGATGAAATGAAATGATAAAATGATGAAATGATGAGATGAAGTGAAATGGTGAAATGATGAAATTAAATGATGAAATGATGAAATGAAATGATGAAATGATGAAATGATGAAATGAAATGATGAAATGATGAAATGGAATGATGAAATGATGAAATGGTGAAATGAGATGAGGAAATGAAATGAAATGACGAAGTGAAATGATGAAATGAAATGAAATGATAAAATGATGAAATGAAATGAAAAGATGAAATGATGAAGAAATATGAAATGATGAAATGAAATGAGGAAATGAAGTGAAATGATGAAATGATGAAATAATAAAATGAAATGAAATGATGAATTGATGAAATGAAATGATGAAATGAAATGAAATGATGAGATGAAAAGATGAAATGAAATGATTAAATGAAATGATGAGATGGAAAGATGAAACGAAATGATGAGATGAAATGATGAGATGAAATGATGAAGTGAGGAGATGAAGTGAAATGATGAAATGAAATGATGAAATGATGAAGTGAAATGATGACATGAAATGATGAAATGAAATAATGAAAGGATGAAATGATGAGATGAAATGATGAAAGGAAATGAAATGAAATGATGAAATGAGGAAATGAAATGAAATGATGAAGTGAAATGATGAAATAATGAAACTAAATGAAAAGATGAAATGATGAAATGAAATGATGAAATGATATGAAATGATGAAATAAAGTGAAATGATGAAATGATGAAATGAAATTAAAAGAAATGATAAAATGAAATGATGAAATTATATGAAATAATGAAATGATGAAGTGAAATGATGAAATGATGAAATGATGAAATAATGAAATGAAATGAAATGATAAATTGATGAATTGATAAAATGAAATGAAATGAAATGACGAGATGAAAAGATGAAATGAAATGATGAAATGAAATGACGAGATGAAAAGATGAAATGATGAGATGAAATGAAATGACTAGATGAAATCATGAGATGAAATGGTGTAATGATGAGATGAAGTGAAATGATGAGATGAAATGAAATCATGAGATGAAATGATGAAATGATGAAATGAATGAAATGAAATGAGATGAAATGATGAGATGAAATGATGAGATGAAATGATGAAATGAAAGGAAATGATGAAATGATGAAACAAAATGAAATGAAGAAATGAAATGATGAAAGGAAATGATAAAATGATGAAATGAGATGAAATGTAATGGTGAAATGAGGAAATGAAATGAAATGATGAGATGAAATGAAATGAAATGATGAAATGATGAAATGGAATGATGAAATGATGAAATGATGAAGTGATGAAATGGTGCAATGAAATGAGGAAATGAAATGAAGAAATGAAATGATGAAGTGAAATGATGAAATGAAATGAAATGATGAAATGATGAAATGAAATGAAAAGATGAAATGAAGAAATGATACGAAATGATGAAATGAAATGAAGTGAAATGAAATGATGAAATGATGAAATGAAATGATGAGATGAAAAGATAAA
Source organism: Homo sapiens (assembly GCF_000001405.40). Classification (NCBI taxonomy): domain Eukaryota; kingdom Metazoa; phylum Chordata; class Mammalia; order Primates; family Hominidae; genus Homo; species Homo sapiens. Next base: position 33,489,497 of record NC_000016.10, read on the forward strand.
ATGAAATAAAATGATTAAGTGAAATGACGAGATGAAAAGATGAAATGATATGAAATGAAATGATGAGATGAAATCATGAGATAAAATGATGAAATGATGAGATGAAGTGAAATGATGAAATGATGAGATGAAATGATGAGATGAAATAATGAAATGAAAGAATGAAATGAAAGGATGAAATGATGAGATGAAATGAAAGGATGAAATGAAATGATGAAATGAGGAAATGAAATGATGAAACGAAATGATGAAGTGGAATGATGAAATTATGAAATGAAATTAAAAGAGGAAATGATGAAATGATATGAAATGAAATGAAATGATGAAATGAAGTGAAATGATGAAATTAAATGATGAAATGAAATGATGAAATAAATGAACTGAAATGATGATGAAATGAAATGACGAGATGAAAAGACAAAATGAAATGAAATGATGAAATGACGAGATGAAAACATGAAATGATGGGATGTAATGAAATGATGAGATGAAATCATGAGATGAAATGATGAGATGAAGTGAAATGATGAGATGAAATGAAATCATGAGATGAAATGATGAAATGATGAAATGCAATGATGAAATGAATGAAATGAAATGATGAAATGATGAAATGACATGAAAAGATGAAATGATGAAATGAAATGATATGAAATGATGAAATAAAGTGAAATGATGAAATGAAATTAAAAGAAATGATAAAATGAAATGATGAAATTATATGAAATGATGAAATGAAGTGAAATGATGAAATGATGAAATAATGAAATGAAATGATGAAATGATGAATTGATGAAATGATGAAATGAAGTGAAATGACGAGATGAAAAGATGAAACGGTGAAATGAAATGAAGAGATGAAAAGATGAAATGAAATGATGAGATGAAATGAAATGACTAGATGAAATCATGAGATGAAATGGTGTAATGATGAGATGAAGTGAAATGATGAGATGAAATGAAATCATGAGATGAAATGATGAAATGAATGAAATGAAATGAGATGAAATGATGAGATGAAATGATGAGATGAAATGATGAGATGAAATGATGAGATGAAATGATGAAATGAAAGGAAATGATGAAATGATGAAACGAAATGAAGAAATGAATAAATGAAATGATGAAATGAAATGATAAAATAAAATGATGAGATGAAATGTAATGGTGAAATGAGGAAATGAAATGATGAAATGATGAGATGAAATGAAATGATGAAATGATGAAATGGAATGATGAAATGAAATGATGAAATGATGAAGTGATGAAATGGTGCAATGAAATGAGGAAATGAAATGAAGAAATGAAGTGAAATCATGAAATGAAATGAAATGATGAAAAGATGAAATGATGAAATGAAATGATATAAAATGAAATGATGAGATGAAGTGAAATGATGAAATGATGAAATAATGAAATGAAATGATGAAATGATGAATCGATGAAATGAAATGATGAAATGATGAGATGAAAAGATAAAATGAAATAAAATGATTAAATGAAATGATGAGATGAAAAGATGAAATGATGAGATGAAATGAAATCATGAGATGAAATGAAATCATGAGATAAAATGATGAAATGATGAGATGAAGTGAAATGATGAGATGAAATGATGAGATGAAATGATGAAATGAAAGGATGAAATGATGAGATGAAATGAAAGGATGAAATGAAATGAAATGATGAAATGAAATGAAATGAAATGATGAAGTGGAATGATGAAGTGGAATGATGAAATTATGGCCTGGCTGGCTGGCTGGCATGGCTGGCTGGCTGGCTTGGCTGGCTGGCCGGCTTTGGCTGGCTGGCTTGGCTGGCTTGGCTGGCTGGGTGGCTTGGCTGGCCTGGCTGGCTTGGCTGGCTTGGCTGGCTGGCTTTGGCTGGGTGGTTTGGCTGGCTTGGCGGGCTGGGTGGCTTGGCTGGCTTGGCCGGCTGGGTGTCTTGGCTGACTTGGCTAGCTTGTCCGGCTGGGTGGCTTGGCTGCCTTGGCCGGCTGGATTTCTTGGCTGGCTTGACTGGCTGGCTGGCTTGGCTGGCATGGCTGGCTGGCTGGCTAGGCTGGCTTGGATTGCTGGCTGGCTTTGGCTGGGAGGCTTGGCTGCCTTGGCTGGCTGGGTGGCTTGGCTGGCTTGGCTGGCCTGGCTGGCTGGGTGGCTTGGTTTGCCTGGCTGTCTGGCTGGCTTGGCTGGCTGGCTGGCTTTGGCTGGGTGGCTTGGCTGGCTTGGCTGGCTGGCAGGCTTGGCTGGCTAGCTGGCTTGGCTGGCTTGGCTGGCTGTGTGGCTTGGCTGGCTTGGCTGGCTGGCTGGCTTGGCTGGCTGCCTGGCTGGCTTGGCTGTCTTGGCTGACTGGCTGGCTTGACTGCCTGGCTGGCTTTGGCTGGGTGGCTTGGCTGGCTTGGCTGGCTGGGTGGCTTGTCTGGCTTGGATGGCTTGGCTGGCTTGGCCGGCTGTGCTGGCTTGGCTGGCTTGGCTCGCTGGGTGGCTTGGCTGGCTTGGGTGGCTCTGTGGCTTGGCTGGCTGGGCTGCCTGGGTGGCTTGGCTGGCTGGCCGGCTTCGCTGGCTGGTTGGCTGGCTGGCTTGTCTGGCTGGGTGGCTTGGCTGGCTTGGCTGGCTGCGTGGCTTGGGTGGCTTGGGTGGCTTGGATGGCTTGGATGGCTTGGCTGGCTATGTGGCTTGGCTGGCTTGGCGGCTTGGGTGGCTTGGCTCGCTTGGGTGGCTTTGCTGGCTGGCTTGGCTGGCTTGGCTGGCTTGCCTGGCTGGCTGGCTTGGCTGGCTTGGCCGGCTTGGCTGCCTGGCTGGTTTGGCTGGCTGGCTTGGCTGCCTGGCTGGCTGGCTTGGCTGACTGTGTGGCTTGGCTGTCTTGGCTGTCTTGGCTGGCTGGCTGGCTTGTCTGGCTGGCTGGCTGTCTTGGCTTGCTTGGCTGGGTGGCTTGGCTGGCTGGGTCGCTTGGCTGGCTTGGCTGGCTGGCTGGCTTATCTGGCTTGGCTGGCTGGCTGGCTTTGACTGGGTGGCTTGGCTGGCTTGCCTGGCTGGGTTGGTTGGCTGGCTTGGATGGCTTGGCCGGCTGGGTGGCTTGGCTGGCTTGGCTGGCTGGGCCGGCCTAGCTGGCTTGGCTGGCTGGCTGGCTTGTTTGGCTTGGCTTGGCTTGGCGTGTGCGGCAGCCGAGGCTGGGGCTGTGACTTCTACAGAGGTTGGTGCGACAGGGGGCATCCCTGCCCTCCCAGGGTCTGCCTGTGGGTCATGGGGAACATGGTTCGAGGCCCCTCCTGTAGCCACACAGCAGTGTGTTGCTGCGTGAGTGGTCTTGTCTGCAGGCTTTAAACTCAGCCGGGTCGTTTGTGCCACGTGGGGTCTGCGCCGCCCCAGGGGCCGCATCTCTTTCAGCCACAGGATGTGCATCTTAGGGTTGCAGCAGATGGGGCTCCTGTGCCATGTGGGGTCCAACCCCTTGGCCTGAGCAAGGCGGCCAGTGGGCATTGTGCTGGTGACGACCTCCAGCCTCTGTTCCTTCCCTGGCTCTGAGTCATAAAGGCCTCCCAGTCCCACCTGGGAGCCGTGTCTCCTCTAGGAACTGCTGGGCATGGCTGGGTCCGGTCTGCCTCATTCCTGCATCTGATGCCCACCAGTTCTTCCCCAACTCCCCCATTCTCTATCTCCCCCTTCTCCTCCATCTCCTCCATCTCCCCCGTCCCCTCCGTCTTGCCCGTCTCCATTTCCTCCAACTCCCCCTTCTCCATGTCATGGCTGTCTAGGCTCCATCCCTCCGCAGGCTCGGTCCCCCCTTGTTCTGGGCAGGGCTCTGGGTGCCGGTCTGGTGCCAGTGCTGGGAGCCTGTGGTGCCCGTCACCCCTGCTCCACCTTGAGGAGCTGTGTCCTGTCCCACGAGGAGGTGCCCCGGGACCTCAGGGCTGCAAGCCATGGCTGGGTCCGGCTCTGCCTCATTCCTGTATCTGATGCCCCCCAGTTCTCCCCCATTTCCCCCTTCTCCATCTCCTCTGTGTCTCCCGTCTCATGGCTGTCCAAGCCCCATCCCCCACCCAGGCTGGGTCCCCTCATTCTGGGAAGCCCGTCTTGCCATGCCCATCCCTGCCGCCCCTCAGGACAGCGCTCTGGATGCCGGTCTGGTGCCAGTGCTGGGAGCCTGTGGTGCCCGTCACCCCTGCTGCACCTTGAGGAGCTGTGTCCTGTCCCACAAGGAGGTGCCCGGGGACCTCAGGGCCATGGCTGGCATCGTTGCTGTGGAGTGGCTGTCACCTTTCATGGTCATCCTGCAACAGAGCTCCTGCTGCTTCTGGGTGAACCTGGGGCTGCCCCCGTGAACACTCTTGGGTCTGACATGAAGGGACCATGTGAGGGAGGGGTGGGGTGGGCTGGGTCCCTGCATGGGGATCGCCAAGGGGTGATGGCCACGAAATGCCAGGGACCCAAGATTGTCATTCACAGAGGGTGAGGTGGGGATGCCAGAGGCGCCTCTGCCTGGAACACCCTGGCTTCTGTCCTAGCAGGATGCTGGACGCTGGCCACGGTGAGGGTGATGCAGGTGCTTTTCTTGTGGGGTCCCTGGCCCACCTCACACGTGAGCTCTCAGGGAAATGGACCCCCAGAACTCGTGGAGGGCAGGACCGCTGGGCTCTGGGTCTCACCGCAGTGCTGCCGTCCACGAGGACCCCCCACTTCTCCAGCAAAGGTGTGGGTGTGCATGCCCGGCCCTGGCACAGCCCAGAGCATCTGGGGCCGTGGCTAGGGAAGGACGGGGTGCTTGGGGAATGCAGTGGGTATGGGGATGTCGGAGGACACTCAGGCTGTGCAGGAGCCTCACCAGGGATGTGGGTGGGGGACGCTGTCTTTCGTTTCACAGCCCCAGGGAGGCTTCTGATGTCTCAGCCTTGAACCCTAATTGGGGGGCTCCTAGTGTCAGTGTGGGAAGCTGAGGGTCCCAGTCAGAGGTGAACCCCTCACTTCTGGCCCCTCACTCCCATGACCATGGGCTCCAGCTCATAGGTGTGTGTGAGGGGTGTCCTGAGGTGGTGTGGGGCAGACATGCTCTCCCAGATGGGCTCCCCGGAGCTTGGGGCAGGGTGGGGCCTGCAGGCTGTGGCTCCCAGTGTCACTTCCCTGCAGCAGCCACAGTCAGACTCTCCGGCCCTGCACCTGTCCTGTTGTTGGGGACCCTGACCCTTCGCAGACCCAGGTGGGGGCATCCGGGAATTCAGGGGAGCACCTGGTGACAGAGGACACCTTGGGGGCAGCAGCCATTTCCCTGGGAGGTGCGGCCAGTCTACCCACTGCCTGGAGCCCGCACCGTCTCTCCTCAGGGGTCATGGGACCACCCTGTGCATCCACCTCCTTCACAGCCACAGCTGCCAGTAGATTAACGGGGCGTGTGTGCTGCTCTTGGGGTGGTCCCGGCCCGGCCCGGCCCTGCCCTCCCCACCAAGTGCCCAGGGCCGCCCTGCCCGCCTGTGCCCTGCCCTGTAGATGCTGCCACCTCCCTTTCCTGGGGGAGCATTTTGTCTTGTGTGAGGACGGGGTCATTCCCATGGTCACCACCTGTGACCCTCCCCTGCTTGCAGAGGGAACAGAGCTGGGCCTGGGCTTATCCATGTCGGGTGCCCCTGGGGGACCTGGGGGCTCGTGGCCTCCCCTGCACACAGGGCTCCTCCTGGCGGGGCCTCCGAACCCCCTCATTTAGGTGTCGCTGCACGTGGCTCCCAGGTGTGGACGTCCCCACTCTGGCGAGGGCTCCTTCCTTCTGGGGTCGTTTGTGGAATGTGGCCTGGGTCCATGGCTCTGGGAGGGAACAGCCCAAGGGTGGGGACCCCTGGCTGGGGAGGAGGCCCCGCAGAGAGGCCCAGACTGTATCCCGATGCATCTGGCGTGGCCGCGGTCCCCCTCCAGCGCCGACGTTTGTAAATTCTGAAAGGAGCCATGCTGTGGCTGAGGGAGCCAAGCCCGTGACTGAAAAATCCTCCAAACATTCATTCAAAAATACAAGTGTGATCGCCAGAAACGCTTTTGTACATTTACACAAAACATTCATACAGGCCATGGCGGAGGCTCCTGTCTAGGACTGGCAAGGCGCCCGGGAGCCGCCGGTCACCCTTGTGCCTACACAGACCCTTTCCAGAAAGATGCAGGCCCTGGAACTGAGGCCGAGTCAAGTCGGGAATGGCAAGTGCCGGAGGGTGTCAGTCAGAACAGTGTCAGAACCTGTCCTGTTCACGAGCGGCCCTACATGTCCCCCGGGCACAGAGCTCTAGGCAGGTCCAGCCACGAACCCACAGCGGCAATCAACACGCTTCTGTGAATAAATAAAAATTTATCATTCCATGCAAACACACTCATTTTCCACAAAAGACAACAGTTTTTACACAAGCGGCGGTGTCCCAGTGGTGGCCGTGGCACGTGTGGAGCGGCCCCGCAGCGGCGTTCTCATGGGTGGCGTCACAGTGGCTCCAGGTCCTCATCCCCGCATGCATACTCGTACAGGTCCACGGCGCCCAGGGGTGAGGGCACCTCGAAGAAGGGCCTCTGGGCCAGCGGGGACTGCAGCGCACTCAGCTTCTGCTCCACAGGTCTGAGCTCGGCCTCGAACCTGCAACGAGGGGATGGTGAAGACGTGGACAGCGGCGTGGAGCAGGCCCTGGGCCCTGTTTTCCGAGAAATGCAGGCTGCTCCGCAGCCAACCTCCAGCACGAGAAAGTCCCCTGAGCCGACCTTGAGCTCCAGCCGCTGACCCCGCAACAGGCTCCTGGCTGAGAAAGCCGGCTCCACCAACGCTCCCGGGGGAGGGGCCAGCGGTGCAGGTGAAAACCCACCCAGGACGGGACGGAGCCCCAGGCATGAGGTGCACAGAGAGGAACCGGGCGGGCTCATCTTTTCCCCAAAGCGACACGACGGTGACTCTCAGAGGGCAGCCTCTGAGCTGCAAGGGGCCTGTGTTTACACAACTGGGTCATGGTGTCTACACAGGATTGGAGAACAAACGGGACCACGGTTTGGACAAATTCTCCCAAAGCACAGAAGCTCCTAGTGGAGGCCACCACTTCCATTCTGACCAGAACACACAGCAGTGCGAGGACTGGACGCGCACCTTCCGTTAAGGTCTCGGCAGTGACATCGGGCGCTACTCCGGGGAAACCAGCGCGGCCACCGACAACACAGTCTCATAGAGATCCTGCAGGGACACCTCTGCTTTCCAAGATGCCCCCCACAGCCTGGCACTGAGCTCCCACTGCCGGAGCAGGCATGGACACGGTGAAGGCAGTCAACCCCAGTGTGGTGCTGGCCACTGGTCAGGTGTGGAGCAGAGGTGACAGACGGTGGTGGGGACAGGTGCATACCCATCCAGGCTATGTCTGGGGGACACAGCTGCCTCAGGGTGTCTGGCAGGAGAAGGCAGACTGGGAAGTTCTGGGGGAGTGGGGACCCAGAGGTGGGCTGCCAGGTCAGAGCCACTGTGCAAATAACTGATCACAAGGAGGACAGACACACAGGACAGATGGCCCAGGGTAAGAAATTTCCTCAGGAAAGGCTCTGGTAGAGGAATCACAGTTAGATGAACCAAAGCTTCAAATTCTACATTTTCATACATATATATATATATATATATATATATACACACACATATACACAACTTTAGCAATAAAAAACAAGTAGACTTTAATACTCGTATACTTTATAATTCATTTTGGAACTGCCTCATTCTCCCTTTAGCTGGTCACTGTGCACCTCGTGTTCTCAGTCTCTCCACCAAAAAAAAAATTTCCTCAGGAAAGGCTCTGAGAGAGGAATCGTAGTTAGATGAACTAAAGCTTCAAATTCTACATATATATATATATATTTAGCAGTAAAAACAAGTAGACTTTAATACTCTTATACTTTATAATTCATTTAGGAAAAGAAGGAACACCTTTGCAGCTACTCCTGCTAAGTTACCAAGAGTTTTTTCAATACTAATCTTCACAATTCATATTCAAATACTAAGAATCCCTAATCCCTTTAAAAATACATTTGTATTTCCAATAATTTGATATAGGCTCTCAAAAAGTCATTACATTTTGAGGGTAAAATCGAAACAACCTAAACATTAATGCCAAGTAATGAATATAATAGTTCACACATATTAAACAGTTAATTCATATGTGTAATACATTGTTACATATATACTTATACACAAAAACAAACATGTATGTGTATAAAATCTCAACAAATCCGATAAGAATTATTAGAACTAGTAATTAGACACTGTTGTTCTACTTCTGTAACCCATGATCTTAAACCATTATAGAATAAACCTTAAAAGCAATCATTATTTTCAAAGACAATTTTGAAACTTGCCTTGTGCGAGTTAGTAAATAACTGTGCTCCTTGGTTTCCTCATCTGTTACATGGGTAGAACCTACACTGTTACATAAAGATTAGAGCAGTTAATAGATAGAATATTTTAGTATTTATAGATCTAGAATATAAAAAGGAATTAATAAGTTTTAAGGAGAAAAAATAAGGGAAAAATAGTCTCATTTTCAAGCCTACTAAACATAAAATGTTTCTTACATTTAATTTATACATGCAGGGTAGGTCACTATACTAAAAATAAAGCACATTTAATTTGAAATTTTAGAAAGGGTAGATTGTTCTTATTTAGAGAATTGCAATACATTTTAATTTGTGAGCAGGAGGTCATGGTGTTATTTAGAAACAGTGACAAGAAACTTTTTTTGGCTATTATAAATGGAAATGGAAAAAAAGAAAGAAAAGCCAAGAGTAGTCATTTGACTCCAACAAGTAGTTTTTAAAAACTATTTCATTTGATTATCAGCTTCAGTTTCAAACGTTATATATCTGATAAACAAAACACAAAGGAAAAGCTTGATAATTAACAAAAAACTCTATAGTATCTCCTTTTTTTCATCTTTTTCCAGGTCAGATTCTTGCAAGCACTGGGAAATTAGTGTTTATTTAAGATTTAATGACAATGTTAATGCCACTGTCAATCTGTATTCTTTATCTAGAAAGGCAAATCTGATTTACATTAACCTGAACACCTTAATAACTAATTAAAATCTCAGCCTTCTGGCTAAGTTCTTAGACATTTATTCTGTTTAACTCAGCAACAAAATATTATTAGTCACTTTCTTTTGAGAAAGGTGAGTCTAATTTATTGGTACTATTTATTACCAATACATTTTATAATCTGCAACCTAATTAGCCTTAACAAAGTATTTTGTACTCAGCATGACTCAAATATTTTACTGAACTTACTGAAAAAGAATGCTGCCATTGCATTTCCACTCTAATATACTGCAGTGATTTTGTGTTTGCACATATTTGTCCATGTCATATGTTTGCTTGAAAGAATGTAAAACAAAGAATGCATATAGATTATTAAAGAAATCCTCCCAAATTTGTTCACATATATTAGATCCTAAAACTAAATAGGTGTTTTTTTCTGAATTGAAATAGATTAACAGAACATATTAACTGAAATAACTGTCCTATTATTTATAATTCTTACCAGACACATGCAATTGAGCCTATGACTGAGGATGAAGACTCTATAAAGGACATCGCTCAAGTATACAATATGATTTTCTTTAATTTTGATCTGAAAGACTTGTTAATAGAAAGACTGAAGTTCTGTCAAACAAATTGATTACATTTCTACTGGATTTCGGAAATACGTAGCATCTGTGATAAATTAAAGTACTTAATCATCACTTATTGTCTTTAGTGTACAATTTATTATATCTCTATTTTTATACCCCTCAAAGTATTTGCAAAATTAATAGAACTTTCTTAAGAATACAGTGACTGTCCTCAAAATCCACTTAAAATTGGTAGCCTCAAATTTATATTTCATCTACTCTTCCAAAATAATTATTGTATTGTTGGTTTTAAATCTAACATCTCACTATTTTCTATTTTATCATATGCTTTTCTGATGCATTTTTTTTTCTGCTTTATGTTGATTTTTATGATCTTTTTTTTCTTTATTAGGTTTTAGGTGTAACTCTTTTTATTTTTGTAGTTACTTCATAGTTCATAATATGCAGCTTTAACTTATCACAGTCTACCTTCAAATGATATTACATCACTCAGACTGATTTGTGAGTACAGAGAGACTGGGCAGGGACATATATGATTTATCAGAAGCACCTGACTCTTTTAAAAGGCTCACTAATCTTAGTAAAATAAACCCATACAGAAAATTCTTTTATTTTAAGGTGAGTAAACATGCACACACATGGCCCTTCAAGGTCATTCTGTCAGCCAGCCTTAATCCAACCCATGAGATACCAATTTGCTAGTTTATGATCATTGCCATAGAACAGTTTTTTTTATTTTAAATTCTAAGTTTAAACTGAAGATTCAATGGAGGTGGAACTAGTTTTCTTTTTGAGCAAGAAAATAACTCAATTAAATGTACTATGTCTCAAAATATGCAGTATACACACCATCATGAAAACGAGACAAGAGTAAATAAATTATGACATCTAGAAAATTAGGTAAGACACTGTTCAATAATGAGGCAAAATAGGATGTGGATGTCACCTACGCTATCAAATAGAAATGTGGGGTTTCATCGAATAAATCTGAGGTTGAATGTATAGAACATTATTTCAAATATGTCTTGATTTGTATTTAAACTTATATCCTATAAAATCATGCAGAATATGAGGAGTCATTATCTAATTTTAAGTAGGAAAAATATGAATCAGTACTAATAATAAAAACTAATAATTTACTCAATGCCAGGCAATGTTTCTAGTGTTTTACATTTTCAGAAAACAATTATAACTGTGAAGAAAACAATTCTTCACTTTTCAAGAAAGAAAACCAAAGTAATGAGAAACTAAGTAAGTGGCCCACCCAAGGTCGTATAGTTAAGAAATGACTAAGTTGTAGACCTTATAGACCTTAACATGTTTTATTTGTTTGCTTGTTTTGAGATGGCATCTCACTCTGTCGCCCAGGCTGGAGTGCAGTGGCACGATCTCGGCTCACTGCAAGCTCTGCCTCCTGGGTTCATGCCATTCTCCTGCCTCAGTCTCCCAAGTAGCTGGGACTACAGGCGTCCACCACCATTCTCGGCTAATTTTTTTGTGTTTTTAGTAGAGACAGGGTTTCACCATATTAGCCAGGATGGTCTCGATCTCCTGACCTCGTGATCCATCTGCCTCGGCCTCCCAAAGTGCTGGGATTACAGGCATGAGCCACCACACCCAAGAGACCTTAACATGTTTTTAAGTAAAATGTATTATTTTTCATGTATAATGTTTGCTCTGTCTCTCATATATACATAAAAATATAATCATGAAGAGAATTATAATAGCCAACTTTATATTTCAGAGATATTGGCTTGGCATTGCTTTCAGCAGGTATTTTGACATTAGCCTCTGGAGTGGAGTTGGGGACAGGTTGATTTCAATGTTTCAAAAATATATGAGAACTGTGAACCTATGTTAGTGGATTGCCTATTCGTGACTTCTAGTTGAACACTATCAAAATTGACAACTAAAAAAAAAATGAAATGAGAGAAAATGTTTATAGCACTTAAGAGGATAAATTAGTTTCTTTATGTCTAGATTTTATATTAAATAAAGAGCTTTCAGGAAAAGTAAATGACAGTTAATGATTTTGATTATAATCAGTCAGATTTTTTCCATATTTGAGCAAAAATTGTAATTGACTTATCCACTGCTTTCAGTGTAGATTAGCTGAATCATCTAACTTATGTCATCTCTTATAAAAATATTGATTGAGATGAAAAATGAATAAATGATTTATCTTAAAACAGTTCTATGTTGATAATATAAAAAATACTGACAGTTTCATCTAAAATATGTTTGGATAAGCTACATTATATATGATTCAGATTCATATCTTATGTATAATTTTTATATGATATTTGATTTGGTTCATACACAAAGGAACAAATGTTTCTATGTAAGAAAGTTATTTTGCTTATTACAGAATTTAAAACTAAAATGATTCTTCCACGATGGCCATTTAACAATTTAAATTTAGGAAACATCTGGCATGTTCAACTGAGTATTTACTTTGCATAATTGTGTTCCATATCTTAATGCATTCCCTTTAGCAGTTTCTTTCAGCAAGCAACACATGTAAACTTGTTTCTCGCTAAATATTTTTTATTTAGCAAAGTTTTAGACCTAGAGATTTAAAGAAAAATTGAAAAGATGTTACAAAGATGAACTCTTGAACCGAATCTTTTATTTTTAAGCATGCAAAACGGTGTGGTTTTTTAAAACCCTGAAGACATAAATGTACAACTGAGAACCCAAAGAAAATTGGACTGTTTTGTTTTGTGATTTGATGTCTGAAAAATAAAATCCTTTAGTTTCCTTTCATTTTTCCTGAGAGAATATAAACTGTGTTGTGATGTCAAACTCATTCTGAGTTTAGATGCCCCATGGGCAAATCGTTTCATCTAATTAAAACAAAATGAAGACAAATCTCTTACACATAAATCTTTGATGGTGGGAAATGTAGCTTCATGTTTTTAAAGCCTTCACAGAAGACAAAGTACCTCTCAATCTTGTAACTCTACTTTTTATAGCTACCTAATTATTAAGGCATATTTGATATACTGTAATCAATTTATATTTGTGTTTTGTTTAATAATTGGGATCCTTTGGACCGTTTGCTGCAAATATCCTATATTTAAAAAAAAAAACTTTGTCTAAATATATCATGTAGAAAAATATTTATACCTAAAAATATAAACTCCATTAACAAAAATTGTTCAGCAAAACTCTATTAATTCAATACACTGTATGGTTAATTTTTGTAGCCAATTTTTCCTTTTCTTCTCTCTAATGATGTGATGTTCTTCAATGTCTTCTGAAAACTTGAGCATAGGAAGTTGGAAGTGTATAAAGCAAAACAAATAGTAAGGAGATAATTTAGAATGCTAATTTTTGAAGGGGAAATATAAATTTTACAACTCTTAGATTGCATTTTAAATTTATATTATCTGTATTTAAGTATTTAAGTTGATTTTCACCAGTGTGTTAGTGTGTTTGTGTTGTTGTAAAACAAATAACTAAGACTGGGTCATTTATAAAGAAAATAGATTTATTTGGCCCTTGGTTCTGCAGATTGTACACAATGCATAGTGTCAGCATCTGCTTGTGGTGAGGGCCTCAGGAAGATTACAATCATGGCAGAATTTGAAGGGGAGCCAGCATGTCATAGGGCAAGAGAGGGAGCAAGAGAGAGAGAGGGAAGGTGCCACACTCTTAAACAACTAGATCTCCTGTAAACTCTTTACCACTTATTACCCAAGGGAGGGAACCAAACCATTCATGAGGGATTTGCCCCCATGACCTAATACCTCCCACTAGGCCTCACATCCAACAATACAGGTCACATTTTAATATGAGATTTGGAGGGGATAAAACATCCAAACCATATCAACTGTTCACTGCTAACTACTAAGTCAAAGAATTAATTTTTTACAGGCAATGTATTTTTTTTCTTCATTCAAAAGAAAAATACTTGACTGGACCTTATGAGGAGAAAATGTTAATCTCTTGCAGTTTTTAATTAAATAAAATAATTTGAGGCTATTTTTGCAAATTAAGGCCATTGAGAAGGACTCTAGACTGTAAAAAGATTCCAGACATTTTCTATAAACATATTTCATTATATATATATATATATATATATATATATATATATATATATATATAGTTGTTATCATAGTAGATTTACACCATTGCCATCTGGAAGTAATTCCCTTATTCAACACAGAAGGATTTCTCATCCTTCTCCTAAATATTTTCTTCTAGCTCAGAGTGCCTGTGGCCAAAAACAAGAGATTTTAAAACAACAACAAAAACAAAAAAGTCTGCTATCCCCATATGGGTTATCTTTCTTTTGTAGTCTTCTTTTTACTTGAGTTAAAATATTTCCTTTGAATTCAGACTGACAAAGATATTGAAGGACATCGAATGTCGTTTAGAGCACTGTTCCTGCGCCTGTTTTCACTAGATCAATAGTGGAGGTGACTGGAGATATTGGAAGAAAGAAATAAACTAGGGTAGCTCATATCACCCATTCCATGTTTTTTGTCTTTAGGATGTCCCAGCCTGCAGTGAAAATGAATTCTGTTCTGCCTCTGCTATGCGGTAAATTTAGCAATAAAGTTTCTGCTCTGTGCCCTGTACTGGAGTGTAGTGTAGGAAAATCCCTGTTGCTAAGCACCACGCCAACAACACCATGAGCTACAGAGCTCACATGTTTATTTCATTATGCTTTACTTCTGTTTTTTTTTTTTGTTGTTGTTGTTGTTTTGAGATGGAGTCTGGCTCTGTAGCCCAGGCTGGAGTGCCATGGTGCAATCTCGGCTCACTGCGAGCTCCGCCTACCTGGTTCACGCCATTCTCCTGCCTCAGCCTCCGAAGTAGCTGGGACTACAGGCGCCCACCACCACGCCCAGCTAATTTTGTATATTTTTATTAGAGACGGGGTTTCACCGTGTTAGCCAGAATGGTCTCGATCTCCTGAGCTCATGATCCACCTGCCTCGGCCTCCCAAAGTTCATTATGCTTTATTTCTATGTCTATCTTGAATTGTTTCATATTCAGAGAAAACAGGAAGGTAAGTTGTTAACATTCTTCATTGCAACAAATTTTTAGAACTAATTCTATATTGAGGAATGTCTTACATTTTAACCAAAACCTTTTGATAAATTACAAAGTTGCTGAATATATCTAGATCTAAATCTTAAACTATATCTATAGCTATTATATAGATGTATATGATTTATCAAGAGCTATTATCTGGAATATATACTTGATTCCTTTTACAATTTTCATAATGTAACCAGAAAATGACCCTTGAGATCCTTGAGAGTGATTATATAAACATACCCTTGATTTGCTATCTCCAGCCTAATTATCACAGTTAAAATTTTGGTATCAAAAATGGAGCAAAGATAATAAGACTTGTAAAGCAGCAGACCTTACAAAATGTTAAAAACAATTTTATTTACATAGTGCATCCACACAGACCTAATTATATGTATTAAACCTAATGTTTAACATTATTAGCAAGTCAGAGAATTTAGAAAAATCAGACATAATTTTAGATAAAATAAATATTAATACTAGTCATTAATATAATCCGTTTGATAAAATGACTATATGAAAATAACTGCCCTCAAATTATTTTCAGCTCACATATTTTTAATGAAAGGAGATGGTGGCTGGAGGCAGTGGCTCACGCCTATAATGACAACACTTTGGGAGGCCAAGGCCGCGGATCACTTGAGATCAGGAGTTCAAGACCAACCTGGCCAACCTGGTGAAACTTTATCTGTACTAAAAATACAAAAGTTAGCTGGTTGTGGTGGTGGGCGTAATCCTAGCTACTCAGGAGGCTAAGGCAGGAGAATCACTTGAACACAGGAGGTGGAGGTTGTAGTGAGCCAAGATGGTGCTACTGCACTCCAACCTTTGTGAGAGATCAAAACTCTGTCTCAATGAATAAATAAACAAGGAGATGGTATGGAATCATTATTAATTTTGGGCCCCTCATGTTAGCTAATATGTTTAAACCTAGGTCAAGATAGAAACTGACCCAGATTATTACCATGTTTCAGTGCATAATATTTTAAAATAATTCAACACTGACACATAATACTATGCTATTCCACTTAGATATAAAAAAATGGTAAGAGAAGTCTCATGTTCTTGTCCCGGCATGGTCACTTACACCTGTAATCCTAGCACTTTGGGAAGCCAAGTGGGGAGGATCCCTTGAGGCCAGGAGTTTGAAACCAGACTAGGCAACACAGTGAGACCTATATCTACAGAAAATTTAAAAACTAGCTGGGCATTGTGGCAAGCACCTGTAGTCCCAGCTACTGGGGAGGCTGAGGAGGGAGAATTGCTTTGCTCAGGAGTTCCAGGCTACAGTGAGCTATGATCACATCACTGCACCCCAGCCTGCGTAATACAGTGAGACCCTGTCTCTTAAACAAACAAAAAATAATCCCAGAACTCTAATGTTCTTATATGATATAGGACTTTTAAAAATTAGCCAGGCATGGTGGTGCATGCCTGTAGTCCCAGCTACTTGGAAGGCTGAGGCACGAGAATCACTTGAGCCTTGGAGGCGGAGGTTGCAGTGAGCCGAGATCATGCCACTATACTCCAGCCTGGATGATAGAGCGAAACTGTCTCAAAATAAATAAATAAATGAATGAAAGTACACCGAAAGTTTTAACTTAACAAATTTTATTTATGCCTCACATTGATGGAGTGATAAAAACAAATAAGTAATACTAATGAACGTATAGGATATTTTACAATTTTTTAAAAAATTAGAACTTTATGTATACAAAGTAATTTAATTTTTTTTTTGTTTTTTTGAGATGGAGTCTCGGTCTATCACCAGGCTGGAGTGCAGTGGTGCGATCTCAGCTTGCTGCAACCTTTGCCTCCTGGGTTCAAGCAATTCTCCTGCCTCAGCCTCTCCAGTAGCTGGGACTACAGGCACGCAGCACCACACCCGGCTAATTTTTTGTATTTTTAGTAGAGATGGGGTTTCACCATGTTGGCCAGGATTGTCTCGATCTCTTGACCTCATGATCCACCCGCCTCGGCCTCCCAATGTGCTGAGATTACAGGTGTGAACCACCATGCTCGGCTGCAAAGTGATTTAAATTTATCAACAATTTTATCTTAACGCAAAATTTTTGTCATTTGTGATATTTTCCAATAGCTTATCCGAATTCCTTAGGATCAGATTTCAAAATAAGATTTCCAAGTCAGATTCTTTGAAATTACAATCCAAAAATATTTAGATTTTAGAAAGGTAATGTGGTAAATATTCTGCCTATTATGGAATAACTCTAGTGGCAAATCATATGAATAATCACATGAACTGGGATCAATAAGACTATAAATACCCCTGGTCAGGTGCAGTGGCTCACACCTGTAATCCTAGCACTTGGTGAGGTTAAGGTGGGTGGATCACAAGGTCAGAAGATCGAGACCATCCTGGCTAACACAGTGAAACTCTGTCTCTACTAAAAATACAAAAAATTAGCTGGGCATGGTGGCAGGCACATGTAGTCCCAGCTACTCGGGAGGCTGAGGCAGGAGAATGAATGGCGTGAACCCAGGAGGTGTAGCTTGCAGTGAGCCAAGATTGAGCCACTGCACTCCAGCCTGGGTGACAGAGCAAGACTCCGTATCAAAAAAAAAAAAAAATTAGCTCGGTGTGGGCAGGTGCCTGTCATCCCAGCTACACGGGAGGCTGAGGCAAGAGAATTACTTGAAACCAAGAATTGGATGTTGCAGTGAGCCAAGATCATGCCATTGCACTCCAGCCTGGGCAAGAGCAAAAACTCTGTTTAAAAAAAAAAAAAAAAAAAAAAAAAAACTATAAATACCCCTACATCAGCATAGATCAGATTTTCCAAAACTTAGGTTTAGGTATTCATAACTGTTGAATTTTGTAATTCCACATGAAGAATTGTAGATCTGCATATATTTTCAAATACTAATATTTATAATTACATAGTTTATAATTTATAAGTCCAATTTTTGGTTATTTTCATTATTAATACTTTTCCAGTCATCTACCCTTTCTAAAAGAGAATACAAAATGTTTCTTTTCCTTTTTTTTTTGTTTTCAAGGCTAGAACCAAGATGGGGCAAAGGCCGGGGCAGATCTAGGGCACAAGCAGGGCAGGCTAGGGCAGGGCAATGGCAGGGCCAGCCATGGCAGGGCACAGGTGGGGCAGGGTCAGTGCCACGGCTGGGGCAGGACAAGGACGAGGACCGGGGTCCAGGCCAGGGCAAGGGTATGGCCAGGGCAGAGGTAGGGCCAGAGCCAGGGTCTGGGCAGTACCAAGGCAGGTCCATTGCAGGGCCAGGGTTCAGACCAGGGCCAGAGCAGGGCTGGGACAGGGCCAGGGCCAGGACCTGGAAAGGGCAATGTCAGGACAAGGGCCATGGCAGGACCAGCAACGGGGCTAGGGCCAGGACAGGGACAGGGAGAGGGTCAGGGCTAGGGCCAGAATAGCATACCAGGGTAGAGCCAGGCCAAATTAGGGCTAGGACAGGGTCAGGACCAGGGCTGGGTCAGTGTATGGCCTTAAGTATTGAAGGGCCAGGGCCAGGGTCCATGCCAGTGCCAGTGCCGGTCTAGGGCAGAGGCAGGGCTATGGCCAGGTCTAGGACAAGGCTGGGGCAGGGCCAAGTTCTGGGTCAGGGTCAGCACAAGACCAGGACAGAGCCAGGAGAGGGACAAGGCTGTGGTCGGGCCAGGTTAACTCAGGGACAAGACACCTGAAAATCCACTTCAGGGCCAGGGTCAGGGCAGCACCAGTTCAGGGCCAGGGCCAAGACAGGGCCAGGGCCAGAGCTGTCAGGGTTATTGGCAGGGCAAGGGCCATGGCAGGACCAGGGTCAGGAGCAGGGGTCAATGCCAGGCCAAGGCCACAGATAGGACCAGGTCTGTGCTAGGGCCAGTGTGAGAGCCAAGGCAGGGTCAGGGCAGGGCCAAAGGGAGGGCAGGGCCAGGGCAGGGTGGAGCAGGCCCAGGGTAGCACAGGGTTAAGGTAGGGCACGACCAACCAGGGCAGGTCTATGGCTGGGGCTGTGGCAGGGCCACGTCCAGGGCAGGGCCAGAGCCAGGGCAGGGCCAAGACAGTGGCAGCTCCAGGGCAGGGCCAGGGTTAGGACCACGGACATTTCCAAGGCCAGTGCCAGGGCAAGGGCAAGGGCAGGGCAGGGCCAGGTTCATCTAAGAACCAGGGACAAAGCCAGGCCCACAGCAGGGCCAGGACAAGCACCTGGCAGGGCTAGCATCTGGGACAGGGCCATGGCAGGGCCAGGGCCACAAGCAGGTCTGTGCTATGGCCAGGTCCAACACAGTGCCCAGGTAAGGCTAGGGTGAAGGTCAAGGTAGGGCCAGGGCAGGGTCAAAGCCAGGCTAGGGCCAAGGCAGGGGCAGGGCCGGAAGGCAGGGCCAGGAAAGCATAGGGCCAAGGCAGGGCAGGGCCAGGCCAGTGCCAAGACCTGGGCAGGGCCAGGGAACAGCCAGGGCAGGGCCAGGGCCAGGGCCATGGCCATGGCCTGGGCAGGTCCAGGTTTGGGGCAGGAGCAAAACAAGGGCAAGGACAGTGCAGGATCTTGGCACAGCCAGGGTCCAGGATAGTGTCAGGGCAGGGCCAAGGCAGGGTCTGGGCCATGGTAAGACCAGCAACAGGGCTGGGGCTAGGCCAGTGACAGGACCAGAGTCAGAGCAAGGGCCAGAGCAGTGCAAGGCCAGGGTAGGGCCAGGCATTTCAGGGTCAGGGCCAGGGGAGAACCAGGACAAGGTCTCAAGCAGGGAAGGGCCAGGGCCAGGGCCAGGACAGGTCCAGGGCAGGGCCATGACAGGGTCAGGGGCTGCGTTAGGGCAAGGGCAGGGCCAGAGCAAGGTAAGGGTCAGGGCCAAGGCTGGGGTAGGGACAGGGCAAGAAATATGTCAAGACCAGGGGCAATGCCAAGGCCAAGGCTGGGCCAGGGCTGAGCCAGGCCAGAGTCAGGGCAGGGCAGGGCAGGGCATGGTATGACCAGTGCAGGACAGGACAAGAGCCGGTCCACAGAGAGAGCAGGGCTGATGCCAAGAAAAAGCCACGCTAGTGTCAAGGCTGAGGAAGTGTCAGAGCATATCCAGGGCAGGGCTGGGTCCAGGGCCAGAATCGAGCCAGGGCACAGCCAAGGCAGGGTAGGGCAGGGAAATAGCAGCAGGGCCTAGCGAAGACTAGGGTGAGGGCCAAGGTAAGGCCAGGGCAGGGTCAAAGGCAGAGTAGGGCCAGGGCAGCATGATGACACATCCAGAGCACAGCAGGGCAGGGTGATGGCAAGACCAGGGGCAGACCACTGCCAGCTCAGGGCCAGGGAAAGGCCAGTGCAGGGCCAGGAAAGGGTCTGGGTCTGGGTCAGGGCCAGGAACAAGGCAGAGCAGGGCCAGGGCCATGGCAGAGTCAGGGCAGGTCCTTGACAGGACCAGGTTCCAGGCCAGGGCCAGGGCAGCAGCAGGGGCAGGGCCTGGATAAGGGTAGGGCCAGGGATATGCCAGGACCAGGGCTAGGGCCAGGGACAGGCCATAGTGAGGGCAGGGCAAAAGCCAAGGCAGGGTCAGGGCAGGTCCAGGGAGCGGCCAGCACCAAGCGGGGCCAAGGCACAACCATTGGGTAAGGCAGGGCAATGGCACCACTGGGCCATGACAGGGCAAGGTCAGTGCCAGGAGAGGGCAGAACAGGCAGGCCCATGGTGGGGCCAGGGCAGGGATGGGCCAAAGCAGGGCCAGGACATGTCCAAGGCCAGGTCAGGGCCAGAACAGGAGCAGGACCATGACCATTGGCAGGGCCAGTGCCACGACAGGACAAGGGTCAGGACAAGGGGCAGGGCCAGAGCCAGGGCCAGAGCCAAGGTCAGGCCAGTACAGGTTCAGGGCAGGGCCAGTGTCAGGGCAAGACCAGGGCAGGGACAGGGTATCACAGGGCCAAGACAGGGTCAGGATGGGACCAGAGCAGGACTTGGCCGAGACAGTCCAGGTAATAGTAGGGCAGGTACAGGGCAAGGCAGGGCAGTACAGGGCCAGATCCATGGCAGGGGCAGGACAAAGCCAGGCCCATTGCCAATGCACCAGTCCTCCCTACAAGGCTCCTACCACCTGGCCACTGCTGCAGCCCGTCCATCACTGCAAGCCTGACCCCCAACCCTGGCTGCAGCCGCCTGCCCTCCTAGCGCGGCCGCTCTCCTACCGCTCCGGCGCACTGCAGTCTCCGTTGCTGCCACCCACCTGCAGCGAGGCGAGCCATGGTGTCGCAGGCTCTAGGTGTCTCCTCCTCCTCCTGGCATGGAGCAGCTGGGCGGGCAAAGCCAGAAAAGCCTAGAGGAAGATGTGAGGGGCGGAAGGGTTAGAGCCTCAACTTGTCATGCTGGCCACTGGGTGGCAGGGGCCAGTTTCAGCAAAGGCACTCACACCCACCCTCCAAAGTCCAGCCTCTCCTTTTGGTCCAAGCTGGCCCGGAACTGGAGTCTGGGGTGGGTGCTGGAGATACCACAGCACCCAGCTCCCCACTCCACAGGAATCATTGGGCCCACTGGGGCTGCACTCCTCGGGGAGCAGGAGAAGCAGAAAAATTCAGACCCAGCCAACCCTCCGCACCTAGGTGCCAATTCCTGTTCCAGACGCCTCCACGCACAGGGCCCTGTCCCCCGTGGTGTCCCCAGGGGTGCCTGGCAGCCTCTGAGGCACAGACCCAGAGTGCACAGGCCCAGGAACCACGGTGGGTGTGGGGGCTCTGCCATGCTCAGGATTCCCACGCAAACGCTGCATGCCTGCTGCACTCCAGTATGACCAAGAGTGGGTCGCCCTCTGGAACGTGGAGTCAGGGAGAGGAGAACCACTCCTTCCTTGGATGCCAACTCTCCTGACCGCCGTCAGCAGTGCAGCCACTGATAGCACTGAACTCGTCCCCCCTCCACGGCTAGTCCTGCCCTCAATAGCGCCCCCCACCTCCGTCCCCCAATGCCACCAGTAGCGTATACCCTATAGTGCCCTAACGTGTCCTCCTCCATGGGCATTGCAGCCCCAGAAAGTGCCCATAACCCACCCTCCCTGCCGTGGGAAGTGCAGCCCTGTACAGTGCTACCAACCAGTACCCCTAATGCAGGCAATGACACCCTGCATAGCGCCCCCAACCCACCCCACACTGCAAAAGGTGCAGCCCTGGATAGCCCCTGTCCTACCACTCTGGTCGTGCTGCACACTCTGTCACCGCCACCACCAACCACAGTGAGGCAAGCCAGTGGTCCACAAGCTCTAGAACCCAGCAGCCAGGCATGGAGCAGCTCTCACCGATGGCCAGCTCCTACCACTCTGACCACGCTGCTGTCTCCCTGGCCATCTTCTTTGACTACAAAGGAATAAAACTAGGTATCAGTAAGAAGAGTAATTTTGGAAACAATACAATCACATGGAAGTTAAACACTACCCTCCTGAATAAATGACTAGCGGGTCAATGAAGATACTAAGACAGAAATTCAAAAATTTCATGAAACAAAGGGTAATGAAAACACAGTATACCAAAACTTGTTACGCAGAAAACAGTACAAAGGCAGAGATTTACACTATAAGTGCCTACCATCCAAACAAAAGAAAAACTTCAAATAAACAATACATCTTAAAGAACTAGTAAAGTAAGAACAAACTAAACCGAAATTAAGAAAATAACTAAGATCGTAGCAGAAATAAAATTGAAATAAGAAACACACAAGATTAAATGAAAAGTTGGTTTTCTGGAAAGCTAAACAAAATTGACAAACTTTTAACCAGGCTAACTAAGAAAAAAGAGACAAGATTCAAATAAAATCAACAGATTAAAAAAAAGGAGACACTACAACTAATAACTTCAGAAATTCAAAGGATCATAACTGGCTATTACATGCCAATAAATTGGAAAGCCTAGTAGAAATTGGCAAATTCCTAGATGCATAAAACCTACTTAGGTTGAATAATGAAAATATCCAAGACCAGAACAGATTGGTAACAAGTAATGAGATTGAAGCCATCAGAAAAAGTCTCCCAGTAAAGAAAAGCCCAGGAACTGATGTCTTCACTGCTGATGGCTTCACACCAAACAATTTAAAGACCTCGTACGAATCCTACTCAAACTATTTTGAAAAACAGGAGGGAATACTTCCAAACTTATTCTATGAGACCATTATTACTGTGATACCAAAATCAGACAAAGGCATCAAAGAAGGAAACTACAGGCCAGTATCTCTAATATTGATGCAAAAATCCTCAACGGAATACCAGTGAATCAAATTCAGTAATACATTAAAAAGATAATTCATCATGATCAAGTGGAATGTATCCCTGGGATGCAAGGGTCACTCAACATACAATGTGATGCATCATATCAACTAAATAAATGACAAAAACAGTATGATCATGTCAACTGAAACTGAAAAAGCATTCGATGAAATTCAACATCCCTTCATGCTATTAATCCTCAAATAAATGGGTACAGAAGAAACATACCACAACATAATAAAAACTACAGGAAAGACACCCACAGCTAGAATCATATGGAGGGAGGTCCAGGCTGCAGTGATCTGTGATCCCACCAATGCACTCCAGCCTGGGCAACAGAGTGAAAGCCTGTCTTAAAAAAATATGTAAAAAGAGGTATGAGCCTCTTTTATAGGTGCAGTGACTCACATCTGTAATGCTAACACTTTCTGGGAGTCTGAGGTGAGAGGATCTCTTGAGGCCAGGAGTTCAATATCAGCCTGGGCAACATAGCGAGACCCTTTATCTACAAAAAAATTTAAATATTTGCCAGGTGTGGTTGCATGTGCCTGTATTCTTAAACAATTATCAGATGACCCAGATAGTCTATTCCTTAGGGATATACCCAAGGGAAATGAAAATATACATCCACACTAAAATTTGTACACAAATGTTCATAGCAGCATTGTTCATAATAGCCAAAAATTGGAAAAAAAACTCAAGTGCCTATCAACAGAGGAACTGATAAAATATGGTATATCCATTCAAAAGATTACTCAGCATTAGAAAAGAGTGAAGTGCTGATATACGCTACAGCATGGATAAACCTTGAAAACACTGTGCCAAGTGAAATAAGTCAATCACAAAAGACCATATGTAGTAAGATTTCATTCTGTGAAATCTCCAGAAGAGCTAAACTCAGAGACAGAAAGTAAGCTAGTTATTGCCAGGGACGAGAGGAAAAGGGAATAAGGATGACTGCTAATGGGTGTGGGATTTCTTGTGGACTGATGAAAATGGTCTGAAAGTATCTAGACACCTGTCTTGTTTGTGTGATTCTGTGAACATATTATAAACCATAAAATTCTGCACTCAAGGGGTTGATTTCATGGTAGGTGAATTTATCTCATTTATCTTTATCTCAATAAAGCTTTCTAAAGAAACTTTAAAAAGACATCTGTATAACCTACAAAAATAACACACTGAGAGACTAAAATGCCTAATTTTTCCATTTTTCTTCTTCAGCGCAATCTGAAGTCAAAAAGTCTTTCCTTCCTATGTATGCATATTTTGTCCAGTGAAACAAGAAACTCTATTAATTTTTTTATTAGAAATAAAAAAAAGCCATGTGTTCTGGCTCACAGCTGTGCTTCCAGCTACTCAGAAGGCTGAGGCAGAAGGATCACTTGAGGCCAAGACTGGGAGTTCAAGACCAGCTGAGGCAACATAGCTAGATCCTGTCTTTAAAAATATTTTTTAGGCCAGGCACGGGGGCTCACGCCTGTAATCCCAGCACTTTGGGAGGCCAAGGAGGGCAGATCATTTGAGATCAGGAGTTCAAAACCAGCCTGGACAACATGGTGAAACCCCATCTCTACTAAAAATATAAAAATTAGCCAGATGTGGTGGTGGGCACCTGTAGTCCCAGCTACTTGGGAGGCTAAGGCAGGAGAATTGCTTGAGCCAGGAGGGTGGAGGCTGCAGTGAGGCCAAGATCATGCCAATGCACTCCAGCCTGGGTGACAGAGCAAGACTCTGTCTCAGGAAAAAAAAAAAAAAAAAATATATATATATATATATATATATATATATATATATATATGCATATACACACACCCACACATATACATATATATGTATATATATATTTTTAAGTTAAAACCCTCCTGAAATGAAATAAAATAAAATTCGACTTAATTAAAAAATAGTTCCTGAAATATTAATTTTCAAACAATTCTATTTTAGCTTTGACTCTGAACAAAATATAAACGTCAATTTCAAAATATCACAAAGATTGGCTGGGGGCAGTGGCTCATGCCTGTAATTCCAGCACTTTGGGAGGACGAATCAGGTGGATAACTAGAGGCCAGGAGTTCCAGAGCAGCCTGGCCAACATAGGGAAACCCAGTCTCTACTAAAAAAATACAACAAAAATTACCCGGGTCTAGTAACCCCAGCTACTCAGGAGGCCGAGGCATTAGAATCGCTGGAATCTGGGAGGTGGAGGTTGTAGTGAGTGGAGATCATGCCACAGCACTCCAACCTGGGCGACAGACTGAGTCTGTCTCAAAAAAATAAAAATAAGGCCAGGTGCCGTGGTTCACGCCTGTAATCCCAGCACTTTGGGAGGCCAAGGTGGGCAGATCACTTGAGGTCAAGGAGTTTGGGACCAGCCTGGGCAACATAGTGAAACCTCCTCTCTACTGAAAATACATAAATTAGCTGGGCATCGTGGCACACACTTGTAATGCCAGCTACACCAGAGGCTGAGGCAGGGGAATCGTTTGAATTCGGGAGGTGGAGGTTGCAGTGACCTGAGATTGTGCTACTGCACTCCAGCCTGGACGACAGAGTGAGACTCCATCTCAAAAAAAAAGAAAAAAAAAGAAAAATTTAAATTTAAAATTTAAAAAAATCACAAAGACTACAAATACTCAGGTTTAAGCAAATTCCCACCTTTCTCGAATTAACAGTAATTCATATTTGCTTTGTCAAAAATGTTGATATTTACCTGCCTCAACAGAATGAAATCCTAAAAGCCTAGTGTTCTCAAATGATGAAGAGAAAGACACATGCATATTTTAATTTAGAATTTTGATTCAGAATTAATTTTAATCTAGCTGGAGTATACATAATCGTTTATGTATTTATTTACTTATTTAAGAGACTGGGTTTCACTGTGTTATCCAGGATGGAATGCAGTGGCACAAGTTGGCTCACTGCAACTTGTACGTCCTGAGCTCAAGCGATCCTCCCACCTCAGCCTCCAGAGTAGCTGGGACTTCAAGTGCACACTACCACACCCAGCTAATTTTTGCGGAGACGAACCTCGGTATGTTTCCCACACTGGTCTCTAAGTCCTTGGCTCACTACAGCCTCAAGCCCCTGGGCTCAAGCAATCTGCCTCCCAAAGTGATGAGATTACAGGAGTGAGCCACCGCAATCGGCCTAGTGGATAGTGTATACTAAGCAACATATACCCTGCTTTTGCCTAGAACATACTGAAAACACGGCATTAAAACAATCACAAAAGTTGGGAGCTGAGAAAAATCATATACTGTAAAACAAATCTGACAGATATTAATCTCAGGAAGCTCCTGAAAATGTCTCAAGAACTACTATGCTGCACTCTCCCTAATAATTTAGACTTTCTACAGATATTTTCTGATCATCTACCGTGTGTCAGGCACCATGCCAGGTACCAAGATGCCATGGTGAGGTATACACAAAACCGGCTCCTGCTTGCGGGAAGCCTACTCTCTCAAACAGTGCTTGCCAAGCTCGACTGATCACAACTTGGGAGCTTGTTTAAGTTCCAAATCGGCTTCCCTGCTTAGGTGAGCCACAATCCGTGGCATTTTTATCAGGTGCTCCCAATGATTCCTACGCTCTAACGGGTTTGGGAGGAAAGGGTGGGGGTTAGCTCGAGAGCCCAGACCCATCCCGTCCAGCGGGGGCCCCACCTCTAAAGTCCATGTCGCTCAGCATCCTTCCCCCTGACTAGTGGCCCAAACACAGCAGGAAGCTGAGGTGGGTGGAACGCTTTCCAAAACAGCACTCTGTGATGAGCCACCGACAGACTTGCTCACCTCCGGGGACGAAGAGCTCCCTCCTCACAAACCCCACCCAGGAAAGGTAGCACCTGAGCCTCCCGGGCTGCACTGACACCTGTCTCCCCGCGGGTGCCGCCTACTGCTCCAGTGGACTCCAGTCCCCAGGTTCCGACCCACGGGGACTGGGGAGAGTGGGGGAGGCGCCGCGAGCATTAGGCGCCGACTGTATACCGACACCCCCTCTCCGGTGTGCGCAGGCCAACACCCATACACACCCTCACACACCCACACCCACTCTAGCGGAAACTGAGGCAGGCAGGCTTTGGACCAGGTCCCGCCGCCTGAAGGCTCGCAGCTGGGATGGAACCCGGACTGCGAGACGCCTTCCGCCT
Source organism: Homo sapiens (assembly GCF_000001405.40). Classification (NCBI taxonomy): domain Eukaryota; kingdom Metazoa; phylum Chordata; class Mammalia; order Primates; family Hominidae; genus Homo; species Homo sapiens. The sequence goes on from NC_000016.10 coordinate 33,516,500, forward strand.
CACAGGCGCTCCTCAGCCTCAGGCCCGGCCTGGCTCCCACCGCCGGAGTTTCACAAAGAAAGTCTCCGGGCCCCAGCCCCTCACGCACTCACCGGCACCGACGCCGGCGGCGACTCGGGCTCCCGCCGCCTTCAGCTCCTTGCGGTGGTTGGCCCTTGGGTGGGCTCCGGCGCCAGCGGCGGCGACTGCTCCATATCCACGGGGTCCGGGCCGCATCCGCCTCGATCTAACGGTCCCGCCAGCTAGGCGCGCGCGCCGGTTCCGCGCGCCATGTTCCCGCCGTGCTGCGCACCGCCCAGGCGACCCTCGCTGCCCGCTAACCACGCGCGCGCCCCCGCGGGCCCACACATGAACCGCGCACGCGCGCGTTAGCCGCACCCCCTCCCCGTGCGCCCCGCCTCACGCCCTCTAGAGCTGGCGGCTGTTCCCAGTGCCTTGCCCACCCCTGCCGGGCCCGTCGGACTCGGCGGGTGAGTGCGTGGTTCCCGGCTCCGCACCGCCGCCTGCCTCTCTGCAGACCACCCCGGACCCAACCCCTCAGCCACTTCCCCACACTGCCCCTTTCGCTTCCCCCACCACGCGGGGCCTAGGAAGAGGGTCTGGGCCAAGAGGAACTTCCCCGCAAGAAGTACCTAGCTAAGGACGCTACTAAGGGGGCGGGATCGCCACCTTGGAGGTGTGCGAGCACATGCCTGCGTCAGGGAGACAGCCAGAGTCAACGGAGAAGCTGAGTTCAAGTCCCACATCTCCACTAACCCTTGCGTGTTAGGGTCAGGGCTTCGGGACTTGTTTCTCCTAAATCTTTTTTTTTTTTTTTTTTTTTTGAGACAGTCTCGCTCTGTCACCCAGGCTGGAGTGCTGTGGCGCGATCTCGGCTCACTGCAAGCTCCGCCTCCTGGGTTCACGCCATTCTCCTGCCTCAGTCTCCCGAGCAGCTGAGAATACAGGCGCCTGCCACCACGCCTGCTAATTTTTGTATTTTTAGTAGAGACAGGGTTTCACGGTGTTAGCCAGGATAGTCTCCATCTCCTGACCTCGTGATCCTCCCATCTCAGCCTCCCAAAGTGCTGAGATTACAGGCGTGAGCCAGCACGCTCAGCCTGTTTCTCCTAAATCTAAAGACTCAATATAATAATCAAGAGAACGCCTCAGCACCGCGCCTAGCACTTAGTAGGTAGTGATCAAGAGAGAAGACCTCTTAAGTGGTTTTAATGGTTAAGGACCACAGGTTCTCAAGAAAGGGAAATCTCAATTCAAGTCCCACCTCCATCTCTTGGAAACTGAGAAACCTTGAACAAGTCACTCAGAGGAGCCAAAGATCCTTGATTTCTACATGTGCAAAAGGGGAGTGTGGCAGTAGCACTGCAGAGGGTAGACTGAGCTTTCAGGGTGATGATGACTATATGATCATGCCTCTCTTAATCATGGGATGGTTCTGAGAAATGCCTCCTTAGGTGACTGCAGCATTGTGCAAACAGCAAAGTGCATTTACCCAAACCTTGTATAGCCTACTACACACCTAGGCTGTATGGCGTAGCCTATTGCTCCTAGGCTACACACCCTTACAGCCTGATACTTTACTGAATATACCATAAGCAGTTGTAACACAATGTAAGTACTTGTGTACCTGAACATAGAGAAAATACAGTAAGAATAGAGTATAAGAGATTTTAAAATGGTACTCCTGTATAGGGCACTTACCATGAAATGAGCTTGCAGGACTGGAAGATGCTGTGGATGAGTCAGTGAGTGTGAAGGCATAGGACCTTACTGTACACTACTGTAGACTTTATAAACACCATATGCTTAGGCTACACCAAAAATTTTTAAAGCTTTTCTTCAATAAATTCACCTTAGCTTACTGAAATGTATCTTAAAAAATTTTGCCGGTCATGGTGTCTCACACCTGCAATCCCAGCACTTTGGGAGGCCAAGGCAGGAAGATCATTTGAGGTCGGGAGTTCAAGACCATCCTGGCCAACGTGGTGAAACCCTCATCTCTACTAAAAATACAAAACTTAGCCAGGCATGGTGGTGTGCACCTGTAATCCCAGCTACTCAGGAGACTGACACAGGAGAATCACTTGAACCCAGGAGGTGGAGGTTGCAGTGAGCCGAGATCGTGCCACTGCACTCCCGCCTGGGCAATTACACGCATGGAGATGTCATCTCCTGTGATAAGAATGCCTTCTTCTTCCAGAATACTTCCTGAAGGACCTACCTGAGGCTGTTTTATAGTTAACTATTTTTTAATGTAAGTAGAAGACATACATTCTAAAATTATGAAAAACACTAAATACACCAGGGCTGGGCACAGTGTCTCATGTGGGTAATCCCAGCACTTCAGGAGGCTGAGGCGGGCAGATGATTTGAGGTCAGGAGTTTGAGACCAGCCTGGGCAGTGTGGTGAAACCCCATCTCTGCTAAAAATACAAAGATTAGCTGGCCGTGGTGGTGGGTGCCTGTATTCCCTGCTACTCAGGAGGCTGAGGCAGAAGAATCGCTTCAACCTGTGAGGCAGAAGTTGCAGTGAGCCAAGATCGCGCCACTGCACTCCAGCCTGTGCAACAGAGCAAGACTCTGTCTCAAAAAAATAAAATAAACCAGTAACATAGTTGTTCATTATCAAGTATTATATATTGTATGTAATTGTACATGCTATGCTTTTATAGAACTGGCAGCACAGATTTGTTTACACCAGCATCACCAGAAACACAGAAATGCATTACCCTAACATTACAATGGCTATGTCACTGAGCAATAGGAATTTTTCAGCTCCATAATCGTCTTATGGTACCAGTGACTTACATGTGGTTTGTCATTGACTAAAATGTCATTATACAACACATGACTGCATATCCCAGGGCCCAATGCCTGGCACACACAAAGCTGAGTTTCACTGGTGTAATTCCCACCCTATCCATCCAAGAATCCTAAAAGTTTAATGAAAGGGGCTCTGCTCCCAAAACCCTGTGGTATAAGTAGCTGGGAGGAGTTCGCCCGACTTGGGGCTGCAAGGACTCTTTCTTCCCACCTGTTTGCTTTCCTTTCTCTCCCCCAAACTTCTCTGAAAACCCTAAAGTTGGCAGAAAAATGGAGAATGTTTTCCCTACTAACAAAAAGAATCTTCAAGAGTCTCTTGGGATTTGTAAATGGTTGCATTTACTAGTCTGTTTTTTTTGTTTTGTTTCTTTTTGTTTTTGTTTTTTTTTTTGAGATGGAGTCTTGCTCTGTCACCTAGGCTGGAGTGCAGTGGCACGATCTCAGCTCACTGCAACCTCCGCCACCCAGATGCAAGCAATTCTCCTGCCTCAGCCTCCTTAGTAGCTGGGATTAAAGGCACGCACCACCACGCCTGGCTAATTTTTTTGTATTTTTATTAGAGACAGGATTTCACCATGTTGGTCAGGCTGATCTCAAACTCCTGACCTCATGATCCACCTGCCTTGGCCTCCCAAAGTACTGGGATTACAGGCATGAGCCACTGCACCCAGCCTTCTAGTTTGGTATTTTTCTTATTCAAGTAACAAGGAAAAAAAAAATAACTACACCAAGAGTAAAACAGAAAAAAGGAACAAAACTGATAGCATGACTGAAAAGGCCTGGGGTGGTACCTCACTTCAGGCATAGCTGGATACAGGCACTTATACAAGATAAGTCTCTCTAATCTCTCAGTGCTTGCTTCCCTTTGATTACTTCATTCTCACGCAATTCTTTCCACATAGTGGCCTGAGCAGCTCCTAACTCACATCTGCGCAAGAAAGCAGAGGCTGTTCCCCAATAGTTCCAGCCAAAGTCCCAGGACTGACTTTCACTGGACCCGTTTGGGCCACATGCCCCTGCCTGAGCCAACCACCACATCCAGCCTGGCCAGACCTGGCTTTCATGAAGCTCCTTCAGGAAGCGGTTGGGGTCATCCCCTCCAGAAGGACATGGGGAAAACCAGAAAGTGGGAGGAGGGATGCTTCCTTCTGGAAAATAGGGATGCAATTACCACAAGAGGTATCAGGTACAGGGCTGGCACAAACAAGAGCTATCCACGGCACCATCATGTAGGCATGCAGCAGGTCCACCATGAAGCAACCTGGCTGCTCCGCAAAACGGAGTCACAGTTAATTCAGCCAATGAGAAATATCCCTCTACTTGGGTTCCCACCATTCACCCCAGGCCTGGCACGTCCCAAATTTCCTTGGTCAAAGGCAAGCAAATTACCCGCCTTTTATGCTGCACAAAAAGCTGAAAAGATTGTCTTACTTCTCTGGCTCAAGAACTTTCTATGACTCCCTCTGGCTACTTATGTGGCTCCCCCACCCTTAATGATAGAAGCCAACATTCATGAATCCCTTACCACATGCCAGGTACCTAATGGACCTGCCTCCTCCAAACAGCGTAGAAGAGGTTGGTACTCTTACTGCACCTATTTTATAAATATGGAAACAAAGGCTCAGCAATTTGAGGTAATTTACCCAGAGCCAAAGTTAGGAAGTGCAGAGTTCAGATTAGCACAATATTGTTCCCGCCATTACCATCCCAGCTCCATTTGTTCATGTTTCAAAGTCTTACACCCACCTCTAGCTAGGGGCCAGTGGGAACCGCTCCACGGCAGAAGAAGCCTCTAGGAACCCCTTCAGCTTCTGCAGTGGTGGGGCTGGGGAGTAGGTGCAAAAGATACTTAGCTTTACCATCCTCTCCCATGACTTTTTTTTTTTTTTTGAGATAGATTCTCACTCTGTCACCCAGGCTAGAGTGCAGTGGTGCGATCTCAGCTCACTGCAACCTCTGCTTCCTGGGTTCAAGCAATTCTCATGCCACAGCCTCTGGAGTAGCTGGGATTACAGGTGCCCACCACCACACCTGGCTAATTTTTGTATTTTTAGTAGAGATGTGGTTTCACTATGTTGGCCAGGCTAGTCTCAAACTCTGGACCTCAAGTGATCCACCCACCTCAGCCTCCCAAAGTGCTGGGATTGCTAAGCCACCATGCCTGGCCCCATCTCCCATAACTTAATGGGATAGGGAAAAGAATTCCTCCAAGATAAAATTAAAGTGAGGTTAGGAAAGGAAGTAGGTGTTTGTTAGCCTTAAATCAGCAGCTGATTTCTCCCATTGGTGAGTCAATTAGTTTTCTATGGCTGCTGTAACAAATTACCACGATCTGATTGGCTTACAACAACACAGACTTAATATCTTATTGTTCTATAGGTCAGAAGCCTCAAATCAGTTTCACTTGGCTAAAGTCAAGTTGTAAAGTACTGATTTCTTCAGGAGGCTCTGAAGGGAAAACCCATTTTCTTGCCTTTTTCTGCTTTTAGTGGTTACCTATATTCCCTGGATTGTGGCCCTTTCCTCCATTTTTAATGCACACCACTCCAATCTCTGCACAGTGCTATGGTTTGAATGTGTTCCCCAAAGTTCATGTGTTGGAAATTTAATCCCCAATGCAACAGTGTTGAGAGGTGGGACTTTTAAGAGGAGATTAGGTCATGAAAGATCTGCCCTCATTAATAGAGTAATGATGTTATCTCAGCAGAGGGTTAATTATCATGGGGTTGGGTTCCTAATAAAAGGATTGAGTTCAGCCCCCTTTCTCTCTTGATGTGATACCTTCCATCATGGGATGACACAGCAAGAAGACCCTCACCAGATGCAGGCCCTTTGATCTTGACCTTCCCAGCCTCCAGAACTGTAAGAAATAAACTTGTTCTTTATAAATTACCCAGTCTCAGTTATTGCATAGCAATACAAAAAAGACTAAGACACTCAGTCACCATCGCATTGGAATCTCCCCTGACTGCTGAGTCCCTCTTAAAAGAGCACTGTAGGCTGGATGTGGTGGCTCATGCCTGTAATCCCAGCACTTTGGGAGGTCAAGGTGGGCAGATCACGAGGTCAGGAGTTTGAGACTAGCCTGGCCAACATGGTGAAACCCCATCTCTACTGGAAAAACAAAAATTAGCTGGACATGTTGGCGAGCACCTGTAATCCAGCTACTCGGGAGGCTGAGGCAAGAGAATCGCTTGAATCTTCGGAGGTGGAGTTGCAGTGAGGCAAGATTGTGCCACTGAACTCCCGCCTGGGCACCAAGAGCAAGAAACTCCGTCTCAAAAAAAAAAAAAAAAAAAAAAAAGCACTGTGATGGGATACTGGGCCCACAGGCAACATAGGATAAGTTCCCATCTCAAGATGCTTAATCACATCTGCAAAGTCCCTTTTGTCATGGAAAGGAACATAGTCACAGATTCTGGGGATTAAGTTGAGGACACTTTGGAGGGGCCATTATTCAGCCTATCATGGAAGATATCATGAGAGGGAGTTAATACAAAATGCTCTGGAAACAGAGAAGGGCGGCCGGGCATGGTAGCTCATGCCTCTAATCCCAGTACTTTGGGAGGGAGGCGGGCAGATTGCCTGAGGTCAGGGGTTCAAGAACAGCCTGACCAACATGGTGAAATCCCATCTGTACTAAAAATACAAAAATTAGCTGGGCATGGTGGCAGGTGCCTGTAATCCCAGCTACTCGAGAGGCTGAGTCAGGAGAATCGCTTGAACCCAGGAGGCGGAGGTTGCAGTGAGCTGAGATTGCACCATTGCAGTCCAGCCTGGGTGACAAGCATGAGACTTCATCTCAATCAAAAAAGAAAAAAAAGAAAAGAAACGGGTTCCGTTGGCCAAAAGGGGGTCTGCTAAGTCGGGTGGGGGGCTTAGGATTTTATTTTTAGTTCTCAAGGGAGATAAAATAATTTAATCCATTGGCCCCTGTGACTGTGGGACTAACATGGCTATGATCTGTCGGACAGACTTCAGGCTGGCACCCAGGCAAAATTGTATGCTGTAGTAAATGCATCATGCACATTTGTAACAACACGTACATAACAATGTCACAAAATACTTTCATGGTGACACCTAGATTAGTGTTTTATTGAATAGCTGATGATATAAACTGGCTCATTTGGTGCCAAGACTGACCATCACCACCATACCAAGGTCATCACCGATCAGAGGCCTAACCCAAGGAGGGGGTCATGTGCAGGCCCAGCGGTGGGGAGGAAAGATGCCGCAGAGGAGACGGATGCCCACAGAGGCCCCTGAGCGGATACCATGCTCACTAAGTGGTAAGTATAGACTCAACATAGGCTGTAAGCTCTCCCCCTGTGCAAATGGGACCCCATCCACTTGAGAGTCAAGGGTCTGTTTGGGTGGCAGGGTTAGCCACTTCTGAAGGTAGAAAGGAAAATAAGCCACCAAATTGGTACCTTTCTGTGAAATGGACATCGTGCTCAGAATCTCCATTTTCCCCACAACCTGGAGGAATAAGTACTGTCATCTGCATTTTATAGCTGAGGAATCTGACTGAACAAAATTGAATTACTCGCCTAAGCAATTAGCAATTAACCAAGTCTTTCTGACTCAGAAACCCAGCTGTTGCCTGTTCATATCCAGCCCCTGTATTGGTGTCAAGATCTGTCCTGTTCTCAATGCAGCAAGATCCAGGCAGATCACACTGGACTCCCAGCACTGAATCTGGCTCAAGGGGACATCAAATTTGACTGGGTCATGGGGCTCAGGAGCATCACTCTCAAAAATAGCAGTACAGGAAGAGGCGATGGCCCTAAACAGCATTTGCAGGCAGATCCCATGTTAATCGTAAGGGTCAGGACTCTCTCACTTTTCTGTCTCTCTCTCTGTCTCTCCTCTAGGGCTGACCCCACATTGGACACCACTGCTTCCATGTCCATCACACACCACAGCTGCCTTTTCTTCTGCCTGCTTATGGGAAAGTCCCCTCCTCTCCTCCGTTTTCTTCTCTTCCTGCCCTGTCACACCGTGCACTTCTCCCTTTCCTTAAAGAACCACCATCAACTTTAGGAGGAGGGAAAGGGGTGGCTCTGGCAGGAAAAGCCAGAATCCCCTCTAGCCAACAGAGAGAGAGAGAGGAATGGCTGCATGTTTTCTCCCCCAATCCAAGGCACTGGGTCTTGGCTGAGTTGCAGGTTCCAAGCTGCTCTCCTGCTGTGTCGGTGAGTTCTGGTCAACCTGCAACCTCCTGACGTGGCCACTGCAGTTCATCGAGTCTTCAGGGACTCCCCATGGCCTAGAGTACTTTGCCTTGCTTACACGGGAGAGGAGAATGGATTTATAGAGAACATCATCTAAATCCAACTTGACCATTGTGTGGCCACACTTGCTAGATTGCTATAGTCTAAATCTAGCATTGTAGAAAGACGGGGGAGCTTGGAGCTGCACAAACCCAGGTCTGGAAATGGCTCCTTACCTTAGAAGGTGAATGATCCTGGCAGGACTTAGCCTCCCTGGGCCTCAGTTTCTTTATCTGTTTCATGGGAATGAGGATCTCTGCTGGTTGGTTGGGTGATGCGGGGGCTGTGTGAAAACAGCTTGTCAATACAAGCCGAAATAGAAATATTTCTCCACAGAGTATGAAGGTCAAATGAGAGAATACATTTAAATTAAATGGAAAATTAAAATGGCAAAAAAGGCAAAGCTGTATTCAAAGTTCCGAGCTTCTCTATAAGGAGCTTTTTGACTATGTAAGAATCCTGTACTCGTTCCCCCTAAATACAAAAAAAAAAAAAAAAAAAGTTGAAGGAGGCAGAAGGGAGAGTGATGCACGATGGGCGAGGACTTCACCTGCTGTTGCTGGCTTTGAGGATAGAGAAAGAAGGCCACAAACCTAGAAGCTGGAGCCCCCAGAAGCTAGAAAAGGCAGGGAGCCGATTCATCCCTTAAGCCTCCAGAAGGGACATAGCCCCGCTAGCACCTTGATTTTAGCCCAGTGAGATCCTCTTAGGAATTTTGGCAACCAGAACTATAAGACAGAAATGGAAGCCACTGAGTCTGTAGCTGTTTGTTGCAGCAGCAATAGAAAACTAATGCAGAGCCCAAGAAATCACTGGTGATGAGATGGGGAAAGTGGGCTCAGGAGGTCTGGATCTGTGATGAGATGGGGAAAGTGGGCTCAGGAGGTCTGGATCTGTGATGAGATGGGGGAAGTGGGCTCAGGAGGTCTGGATCTGAGGTGCGGATCTGGAGTGGAAGGGGAATTCATTTGTTCATTGTCTATCCTTTTGCATTGATTGGGTTTTTTTCTATATATATGTGTGAATTTTCACAATAACAGTTTTTTCCAAAATAAAATAAAAGAACAAAAGGGGCTTTTTGCAACCCAAATCCTATCTATGTCTGAGTCCACTTGTATTGAATGAGTCTTTCTGTTAACGTCCTTATATTTGGGTGACAATCTGAATGGCAGTGACCAATCAGAGCAGAGGCAAACCTTGGAGTGGGCAGGGCATCCTGAGGGCCCTGATTCCTGCCATGAGTCATAACCCTTTAGGTGCCAGACCATGGGGAGGTCCAGGGGTTGCAGGGGAGGGCTGTGCATCTGCAATGACTCTCAGGGGGCTCCTGGTGGTGGCAATTGGTGAATCTGCACAGTGGTGTTTCAATATTGTCACAACCCTGCTGTCTCTCATGCTCTCAAAAAGCATTTCTCTTACCTGTGACAGACTTCCTATACCTAACAGCTTGCAAAAGTGTTCCAGGTTAATGAGAATAATCTCTCGGAGCCATACCTCCCTGCTTGGCGTCTCAGTTTCCCCAACTGTCTCCAGACAAGTTAGGCTAGAAGGCCCCTGAGCCTCAGCCCCTCTATACCCCTCCTGTCACCGAGACCTGATCTGGGTCTTGCACCCTGGGTGCAGCATGACAGGGGTGGGCAGGGGCTGGCTCTGGGCCAGAGGACCCTTTCTGATGGACTTCAGCTGTTGGCCTTGCAGGGGAGACAGATCAACCTCCCAAGAGTCATACGGTGAGTAGCGGTGGGCAAATCCATCCCCCTCGTCTTAGATTTATGGGGAGACAGACAAAGAGGAGACACTCCAGGAAGACCTGCAGGTGGGAGTACCAGGTTGAAACCAAGGACACCTTCCTGGAGGAGCTGCTGCTTGAGCCAGCTCTGAGAACAGGTGGGGACAGGACTGGAGAGGAGGAGGGAGTCCCCTATGAGCAAAGACTGGCCACCACCCCACCTAACACCCCCACAGGGCCCCTGTGGCATCCCTGTCCAGTCCCTGTCACCACCCAGTTTTTCCCTCTGGACCCAGGAATTCAAAGTAAGCAAGGAGGTCCGCTGCTCCAGTTGGCTGCAAATAATTACAACCTTAAGCCCAAGCAGCACTTTGGGTCCTGGTTTGGGACCATGAAGCGGCTCGGTGAGACTGAGAGGTAAGGCCAGGGCAGGAATTGGGACAGTAGGATTGAACTCTCCCTGGGGGCCAGCCTCAGAAAGCCTGTGGCCATAGCCTCTTGGCCAACATCAGATCCTGTGGTCTGGCAATGCCTGGGGTACCCAGACCTCACTCTGGACAGGCCCTGGGAGGGGGCCCTGGTGAGATTCCTGGCAGCCTCACAGCCACTCTTCTGTCCGTAGCTACAACCTGTCATGCCAGCTGGAGGCTCCATCCCAGTTGGCTGGGAGCACAAAGGCCAGGAAGATAGACATCACCCACCACAGGGGCCAGTCGGGGCCTGAGCCAGGGCGGGCAGAGGTTGGCTGCCTTGGGATATGGGTGGGCTCAGGGAGTCAGACAGCAAGGGACTAGCCTCCCATCCTACTCCTGACCAGACCTGTGACTGGGGAGAGTCACCTTACTTCTCTGGGCCTCAGTTTCCCCCTCTGTGGAGTGACGCTAAATGATCTCTCTGGAGACGGGGATCAATAGGGCACTGGTGATTGACCAGGCACTCAGCACATGCCTGGAACACACAGTGCAGGACTGTGGTGGGGAGGTGGCCTGAGATCCTGGGGAGTCACCCATGTGTGCCTGCCCTTCCGACCAGCCACCAGGCCCTCAGGGCAGAGCCCACTACCAGCAGCAGCTCACACCCCGAGACCAGCTCAGAGGCAGCCCCTACCTCAGCAGCAGGGACATCACGGACACTTTAAGCTGGTACTAGGGTGGCTTCTCCAGCTCCCACGTGGAGAGGGGTCCCAGCTGAGTCCCACTCACGTGGAGTCTCATGCCCATGAAAGTGTCATTCACCACTGGCCAGGCTCATGAGGCCGCATGAGAGGGGGGTCACTGGGGAGGAGATATTGGGGGAACAGAGAGGATGGTTGAATTTTTGTATAATAGGCAGTGCAAGTGTTTACCGTTTGGGAGGGGAAAGGTTTGTTATTATTAGCAATGCTACACTTGAATATTATACTAAAATCCAGTCTCTCTATAACCTGGGAGTTGCTCTTTTGTTCTTTCTTTTCCTGTCTTAATTAAAATGAGATGCAGACTCTCACGGTCCACAGTCAATTAAGAAATCTTGCACGGCCATCAGGTTATGTCTTGGAGAGCAGAGTTTCAGTACCATCAGCCTGGCAAGGAGCTGGGCCTGCTCCTCAGAGCTCCCGGGACTGCGAGATTTGGCATGTTCACAGGGCACCGTCACAGCCTCTGAAACATGCTGTCTTTAAAGACTTTTGCTGTGGCTCACTCACTCACAGTGGGACACGGTGGCTCACTCCTGTAATCCCAGCACTTTGGGAGGCAGAAGCGGGTGGCTCACTTGAGGTCAGGAGTTAAGAGACCAACATGGCCAACATGGCAAAACCCCATCTCTACTAAAAATACAAAAAATTAGCCAGGTGTGGTGTCAGGTGCCTGTAATTCCAGCTACTCAGGAGGCTGAGGTAGGAGAATTGCTTGAACCCAGGAGGCGGAGGTTGCAATGAGCAGAGGTCACACCACTGCACTCCAGTCTGGGCAACAAGAGCAAAACTTCATCTCAAAATAAAAAAACAAAACAAAACACAAAGACATTTGCAAGGACCATGTCCTCACCCAGAATGGTGCCTGCCTTTCTACAGTTTTTCAGGAAGAGGAAACATTTTCTGCTTCTCTCGCTGAGGTTTTTTTTAACCACCCATTAGGAACCTATAGATTTCAGGATCGAACACTGGGATTCCCTCAGCACTAAAGGAGGAAAATTGCAAACAGAGCTGGAAGCGCAATGTGGAAAGGTCAGGCTGAGGAAGGTTCTTAGCCAGTAGACCAAGGGCAGGAAGGACACTGCCTCCTCAGTCTCCCACTAGGGAACTTGTGATTCTTGTCCCCTGATGTCAGAATTCCTTGTCATGTTTGTTTTGTCTCCAAGGGAAGGGTTTGAATTTCAGAATTTAAGGCTAGAGTGGGCCTCGTGCAGTTAACATTAACCCTCTCTCTCCTTCGCTGGCCGAGGTGAGGTCCAGGACCATGTAGTTCTGACGTCCACTCTCTCGGGGGATCACCAGTTCACCCATCTCACCCGGCAAGCTGGGCCCTAGTTTGGCGACAGGCATCTTCCACCCACCTGGGAGGCAGGGTTCAACACTCTGCCTCTGACCTTGTTTCCTTCTTCTGCCACCTGCTTAGGCAACCAGAAGGGGTTGTCCAGCCAGCACCTGGGCTTTAGCGCTCCTCAAGCAGGTGGAGGAAGTTTCAGGCACCTGGCTCCTCAGGTGTCTGCCATCCAGGTGCTCTTCAGGCTTGCCCAGCAGAGCTCTCTTGATCCAGCTAGAACTGGCCAGAACTGACTCACTCAGGAATGTGTAGACTTTGGCATCAGGGGCTGCTTTAATTTGCACAATTTCCAAATACCTCTTTTTTCTTCTTTTTCTGATGAGTCATCTCCCTAGACTTGCATTTTAAAGAGATAGATAGTTATCAGGTTCCAGAGAAGACGTGGTAGAACATTTATATCTCAAAGACACAGAGCTGAGACTTCAGGTTTAGATATGATAATTTGCCTAAACCAAAAAGGAAGGTGTAGGTAAAGTTCTAGTCAAGACAGGATGGCCAGGAAAAACACCTTAAACCAAGGGATGGCTTGCTTTGCTGATTTAAGCCAATGGCTTCTTTATCATAAGACTTCCCAGTGATTTAGTCCTCCCTCTCTTCCAGTGCACAGAGACATACCCCTCCTTACAAATTAAAAATGTTCTTTATAGATGGAAATTTATTTTACAAAAATGTTTCAAAATAACCAGATGAAAATCATCCTTATGCCAGAAAGACTTTATTTTTTTATTACTAGAAATGAAACAGTAAGTATTTGTTGTATTGACATACTTGGGCTTAGACCTATGTTTAACAAGAAAGCCTAATAATAACACTGTGGTTAGACTCTAGCCTATTTTTCCAAACCATCATTTTATTATTAAGGAAACAAAGGATCAAATACCTTTCATTCATCTGATAGGATCCTTTAAAACACATTCCACCAATAAGTCCTATTTGGAACAGCTGAAAATCTTTTAATAAAACTTTTTAAAGATGAGCTCATGGCTTAGTGTAAATTTCACAAGCTTAATTAGGTCAAGTGGAAGGAACTCAGATGAGCAGTTGCCCAATCAGAGCCCATTATTTGTAAGTCATCAGCCCCCTCCATGACCTTAAAACTCCACTCTGACCTAATTATTGCAAACCTATACACAACAAAGTGAAAGGATTAATTTTCATTCATCAACCTCTCAATCCCAGATTTTCAAAGAAAAACCTGTGTAAGGAATACTTACCAAAACCAGACAGAAAAATTAGAGCCTGCATACTTAAGAGTCAAATTTGTTCCACTACAGCCAGGTCGCATACAGTTACATCATTTGGTTCTCCATACACTCTAGAACTGACCAGGACAGAGTTTAGCGTAGAAAAACTGTAAGAAATAGGTTCTGAAACATAGAAATTGCAAAGTTCAAAAGGCTATGAAAAAAACGAATGTAAATGAGACTTCCCTCCCTTTGTTTTAAATAAATAGACCCATCAGAGAAATGCAAATCAAAACCACAATGAGATACCATCTCACACCAGTTAGAATGGCGATCATTAAAAAGTCAGGAAACAACAGGTGCTGCCGAGGATGTGGAGAAATAGGAACACTTTCACACTGTTGGTGGGACTGTAAACTAGTTCAACCATTGTGGAAGACAGTGTGGCCATTCCTCAGGGATCTAGAACTAGAAATACCATTTGACCCAGCCATCCCACTGCTGGGTATATACCCAAAGGATTATAAATCATGCTGCTATAAAGACACATGCACACGTATGTTTATTGTGGCACTACTCACAATAGCAAAGACTTGGAACAAACCCAAATGTCCAAAAACGATAGACTGGATTAAGAAAATGTGGCACATATACACCATGGAATACTATGCAGCCATAAAAAATGATGAGTTCATATCCTTTGCAGGGACATGGATGAAGCTGGAAACCATCATTCTTAGCAAACTATCACAAGGACAAAAAACCAAACACCGCATGTTCTCACTCATAGATGGGAATTGAACAATGAGAACACTTGGACACAGGAAGGGGAACATCACACACCAGGGCCTGTTGTGGGGTGGGGGGAGGGGGGAGGGATAGCATTAGGAGATATGCCTAATATAAATGATGAGTTAATGGGTGCAGCACACCAACATGGCACATGTATTCATATGCAACAAACCTGCACATTGTGCATGTGTACCCTAGAATTTAAAGTATAATAAAAAAATAAAAAAAGAAAGAAATAGATGTTCTGTAAAAATATACACAATTTTTACAGACAAATACATTTATAAGTTGTTTTTATCTTAAAAATTGGGGATATTTCATATTTATAACTAATTATTGAGCCTTAAGTTTTCTTGGCCATTTCTAGGCTAATAAACTAAGAATCATGTAAACTAAGCCAAAGTAGAATAGACATAAAAGTCCTGAACACTTCAACTTCCTATTCTTCAAGAAGTATACTTGGCAAATCTCATTTGAGAGAGGAAAAGCTTTCCTCCACCCTCTGTTTTACAGCGCTGAGGCTTCTCATCACATTTCTATGACTTGTAGCTTAATCCATGTTACATGGTCACTGGCATTATTAGTGCTTCTCTTTTAACACTGTAGGAATTAATCAATTTGGTGGTGTATTTAATTAATTCTATCACTAGAGGATTGTAAAATTACATATATGAATACCTCACTTTAGAGGCCACTTAATTTTTTTCCAAGGGGATATTTGACTATATTTCACTTGTGTCTTAATGATTTTATAATTTAAACCCTAAATTATAAATCTAGAATTTAGAAAGTATATTTCCTCACTGGATTACATTTTTGGAAATATTATATGTGCACAAATATTACAAAATCACTGTAGACACCTGAAAACTATATTATCTTTTAAAGGCAATATTCTACATTAAACTGCCATAACAAAATTGTTTGGTGCATTTTTTCTAGTACATTTTGTATATATTACATGTTTAACCTTTTTTTATCCAGCAAATAATTTTTGAGTATCCACTAAGTGCTAGGTTCTGCATGACTAACTGAATTTAAAGAGTGAAATAACAGACATGGTCTCAGACAATACAAATTAACATTAGGTCACCTATTTATATATTTTTAAATGGTAATTATGAAAACTTTTTGAGATTTTTAACTAGATAACATTATAATAACACACTTGATGTTGTTAATATTTGCCAGTGAGCAAAAAAGAAAATAAAAAGATGGTTTTATTCAATATACACTTTAAAATTGCAGGAAATAGTCGAGTTTCTCTGCTTTGCAGTTGAATGTCTATGTGTTTTTCTCTGCAACTTGGCTTTTGTGGAGTGAGAGAAACAATTATTCTTCCAGCCCAATGAAGGCAGAAGAGTAACAATAAATCTAATATTTTAAATGCTTATCAAAAGATAGTAAACATATTATTTCAGAATACTGAGATCAATAAGTTGACCTAGAAAAAAAGCCAAACTGACAGTATTACTGAATAAGGAAAGGCCCAAAGAGACAAAATACTTATTATTTTGTAACCTCGGTATGACACAACCTACCCTAACTATAAAGACCCTAAATTACCAAGATGGGTGCTTATAATATGGAGAGTAAAAAAAGTCATTTCACTTTTAGCTTTTTTATTTCTCTCAGAATAAAAAGTGTATAAGGAGTTGATAAAGAAGTTGATACTATAAGTTAGTACTACAATGACAGCACTTTTCAAGAAAAGACTTTTTTCTCTCTTACAAATATCATGTTAGCAGTATTTGTTTTCTCCAGAAATAATGAGGAAATAAAAACATAAGTATGTGGGTAATTAGTGTAGTTTCTTAAAGAAATGAGTTAGGCAACAGGCTAATAATGTATACTTCGCTGGCTTTTGAATGCCAACAATCATATTCTTTATAAGGCACAGGGAAGATTTTTCTAAAGAACAAGTATGTGAACCTGAAAAGTAATCACCACTTGGTAGTGACAATATGGATAGGGTGAAGGGCGTCACCAAGAAGCAATGA
Organism: Homo sapiens; assembly: GCF_000001405.40. Lineage (NCBI taxonomy): Eukaryota > Metazoa > Chordata > Mammalia > Primates > Hominidae > Homo > Homo sapiens. Next base: position 33,532,826 of record NC_000016.10, read on the forward strand.
AAAGATACATTTGCAGTTAAATTTGAAAACCATGATGTTTAATACATATAGTAATAAAGAATACTTTCTCCTGTTTCAAAATTATTTTAGAATTTAAGATAGAAGCTAAAATACCTAGGGATAATGATATGACTATTGAAAATTAAAAATTAAAGGACATTTTGAGTATTAGAAGTTAAGAATGAGAACTTATTACCCAATGAACAGGGGATAATTCATTATGCTCCATATCCATTGAATTAAAAGACAGGCCCATTACCTGGATAATTTGAAAGTTTAATTTTATTTAAAAGTCTTGTTTCATTCATCAAGCTAAAGGATTAGCTCCCAGAAATATTCTAGGATTGCATATCCCCAACTCTGTAGGAAGTATAGAAAGAATGTTATAAGGGCCACCACCTAAACATTATTATGTAAATAATTTAGTACCATTCCATTTGCCTTTGTAGATTTAAAAATGTAAATGGCTTTCTCATATTAGGAAACATCATTTTTCAAAACCCAGATAAACATAGTATATTGCAAGAGAATAATTATTTTCTTTATTAAAAAAGAAATACTGGATGCTAAGTCCAAAAGACATAAATTATTTTATACTAATAACTACCAACATTTTATTCATTAAAATATAAAGGTCAAAGATTTTAAAATGATCTTTAAATGATTAATAACATGTTGATCTTTTTCTTCTTTCTGTAAACCTTTTTGAGTCTTAAAAATACTAAACTATACAAGCAATATTAAATAGTATATAAACTTGGATTAAAATATTCAAATTTACTAGAATGTGGACATTGGAAAGAATGAAAATAAACAGAAGCATAAAGCAGCAGATATAAAATTACGAAAGCAACTAAGAGTGTTTAAAGTACATATTCATCTGTAGTCTAATGTCTACCATAAACAATGACTCTTCTCAGTAAAACACAAATCGTTCATGAAGGGAAAAAGCATGTTGTATTAGAGAATATTCAACATAACTTTTTTAGTACTAACTTGTGCCTGGAGTATTATTGGTTTTTCTATTATGAACTTATGCACTTGATATTTTTTTTCATAAAGATTGTATGTACAACTCCATTCAAAAGCAGTTTTTGGTGGTTTTTTTTTTTTTTTTTTTTTGAGACAGAGTTTTGCTCTTTTCACCCAGGCTGGAGTGCAATGGTGCGAACTTGGCTCACAGCAACCTAGCAACCTTTGCCTCCCAGGTTCAGGTGATTCTCTTGCCTCAGCCTCCTGAGTGGTTAGGACTACAAGCATGTACCACCATGCCTGGCTAATTTTGTGTTTTCAGTAGAGACATGGTTTTGCCATGTTGACCAGGCTGGTCTTGAACTCCTGACCTGAGGTAATCCGCCCACCTTGGCCTCCCAAAGTGCTGGGTATGGGCAAGAGCCACCATACCCGGCCTCAAAAGCAGTTTTTAAAAGCAAACACAATATAACACCAAAGTTGAAAAATCCATGCTCACCCAAGGATGCCAGGTTTAATAAATTATTTATAGAACACTGCATCAAAAATAAGACAATAACCCAAAATATACCATTAAAGATGTATCCACTCCTACAACTAGAGATAATTAATCTATCTGGTAGCAAATGATACTTCAATCAGTTTCAGCATGTCTGAAATCTTTAAGGACAAAAGTGATAAAACATGACTTCATTCTTCATTAGACTCTTAGAACACTTGAAGGAAAATAATTTCTGAAGCACAAAGAGGTAAAGAGGTGTAATCTCTCAAAAAGATATTCAGTGTTCAAAATCCAAGAGTGCAATATCAGGCTGGGTGCGGCGGCTTATGCCTGTAATCCCAGCACTTTGGGAGACCATGGTGGGTGGATCACCTGAGGTCAGGAGTTTGAGACCAGCCTGGACAACAGGGTGAAACTCTGACTGTACTAAAAATACAAAAATTAGCCAGGCATGGTGGTGTGCACCTGTAGTCCTAGCTACTTGGGGGGCTGAGACAGGAGAATCGCTTGAACCTGGGAGGTGGAGGTTGCAGTGAATCGAGATCATGCCACCTCACTCCAGCATCAGTAACAGAATGAGATTCCATCTCAAAAAAAAAAAAGAGTGTAATATCATATCGGTATACACAGATAATATACTGAATGAAATAAATAGAATAATTTGAAGAGGTATCTTGATGAACAAGGAGTCATTAGAAAGGTTGTATTCATGTCTTTGAAGGAACTTTGCAATGTGAGAAATTAATACTTTGACTACTATACTAAAAGTTTATTGCTAACATGTATTGAGTTATTAACGTGTGTTAGGCAGAGTACCATATAATTTGCAAGTGTTATCTCATTTATTGTAGGTAAAATGTAATTTCGAACTCTGGGAGTATAAACGAATTAGATAGAATAAAATTCTATTTAAATTGCTATCAGTAAATCGGTATCTAGGAACAGGGTGATACAGTGCCCAAGTTTTCTATTCTTACTAAATGTTGTGTTTCATTTTCAATGTTTTCTTGGATATTGCTCTTTTTTGGCGACTTTGATTTTTTTTATTTTAGAAAACTAATAAATTGACTCTTCTTGGTACTGACTCTTGGGTTTTATAGAAGAAAAAGTAATTAAATTCTGTACATTTACCTTTACCTCATTTTTTCTCTTTTAAATTTACTTTGACATATAATAAATGTACATGTTATGGGGTACAGAGTGATATTTTGATATATTTATGCAATGCATAAAGATCAAGTCACAGTCATTATCATATCCATTACCTAAATCATGTATTATTTCTTTGCAGTGAGAATATTCAAAATCTTTTATTTTAGTTATTTGAAAACACACAATAAATTCCCGCTAACTACAGTCACCCAACAGTGCTGTAGAGAACTAGAACTTCTTCCTTCTCTCCACCTGTAATTTTGTATGTATTAACCACATTTTTCTTATACTCTTCTTTCTCCTACTCTTTCCAGGATATGGTAACCAAAACTCTACTATCTACTTCTACGAGATTAAAAATTTTAGCTTCCATACATAAGTGAGAACACGTAGTTATGTGGTGTTTATGTTTCTATGCCAGGCTTATTTCACCTAACATAATGCCCTCCACTTGCATTCTTGTTGCCACAAATAACAGGATTTTGTTCTTTATTACGACTAAATAATATTCCATTATATATGTATGTCACATTTCTTTATCCATTCATCTGTTGATGGACACTTTTGTTGATTCCATATCTTGGCTATTGTGAATAGTGTTGTAATAAACATGCAGGTGCAGGTAACTCTTTGATATACTGATTTTCTTTCCTTTGGATATATACTGAAAACCATATGATCAAATTAATAAACACAATAAAAGCATTTGGCAAAATTAAATATTCTTACATGACAAAAAACCTCTTAACAATTTAGTGTAGAAAATATATGCCTTAACACAGAAGGACATAAAGGACAAATCTACAGCTAAGATCATACTGAGTGTGGAAAAGGTGAAAGATTTTACTGTGAACAAGAAAAAGATTTTACTGTAACAAGAAAAGGATGCCTATTTTCACCAATCATATTTCACATAGTGAAAGTCTTAGCCAGGACAATTAGGTGAGAGAAAGAAATACAGGATATCTGAATTGGAAAGGAGACAGTCAAATTGTCCTTGTTTAAAGACAATGTGATCTTATACACGGAAAAAAATAAGATGCTACCAAAAGCTTCTTAGGGTGATACATGAAATTAATAAAGTTGCAGGATATAAATCAACATACAAAAATCAGTAGCATTTCTATATATTGATAGTAAACTAGCTGAAACAAGAAATTAAGAAAGCAATTCCTTTTACAATAGCTGCAAAAATGTACTTAGAAATAAATTTAACCAAGGAAGTAAAAGATTTCTACAACAAAAATGACAAATATTAATGAAAGAAATTAAAGAAAACACAAAAAAGGAAAGACATCCACGTTTATAGATTGAAATAACTAATATTCTTAAAATGACCCACTATCCTATGTGATTTACAAATTTAGTACAATCACTAGCTTGTATTTTTAAAAGCACCTTTGCTGCATATTCCTAAGATATTCAATGACAATGCCTGGATTTAAGTTTGAGGTATTATTATATCTATTTTATATTGGGCACAATATAATGTTATCAGAGATAACGGTTTTGATTGGTCCTAGGTCATACAGTAATATATACATTGTGATTTATAGACGTTATCTTTTAATACTCAGGCATTTAGAAAGTTCATTTAGACAAAGTTATAAAAACTTGCCCTCCTTTCTGCCTATATCACCTAAAAATCCTAAGAGGTAATAACATTTTTTATTTGATATACAATTTATCAACACAATAAAAATCTAACAATTATCATGTGCAGAGTGTGAAAATCTCATCAGATTAAGAAACGCAAAGACATCTTTTTCATATTTTGAATGTAAAACTCTTTTGGAAACTTATTTTTAGAAACAGTTAAAAACATTTTTTCATTAGTTTTTCATGTAAAATTGTGACAACCAGCATGAAATAACTGTCATCACAGAAGCATGGTATATTTGATTCCAAAACGTATTCTTTGTAAGTTTTAATATATTTATGTATTATTTATACTTAGATTGTAACCCATAATGTAGATATTATTTTTCCTTCAACTCTTAAGAATATTCTTAAATAATAAAATTAAAATGAATTATAATTTTTGTTGGTTGGGAAAAAGAATAGACACACACGTGACAGTGCATCACTTCACCTCATCATTTCATCTCATTTCATCATTTCATCTCATCATTTCATCTCATTTTATCTCATCTCATATCATCTCATCATTTCATCAAATCTCAACTCATTTCCATTTCATTTTCATTATTTCATTTCACTATTTCATTTAATTTCATCTAATTTCATTTATTTCATTATGTCACTTCATATCATCTCATTTCATCTCATCATTTTTCATATCATTTTTCATCTCATCATTTCATCTCAATTCATTTCATCTCATCATTTCATCTCATCTCATCATTTCCTCCTTTCAACATTTCATCTCATCATTTCTTCTCATCTCATTTCAATTTCATTTCATTATTTCATTTCATCTCATTTCATTATTTCACCTAGTCTCATTATTTCATCTCATCTCATCTCAATTCATCTCATCTCATTTCATCTCATCATTTCATCTCATCATTTTTCATCTCATTTAATCTCATTTCATTTCATTTTGTCTCATCATTTCAGCTCATCATTTCATCTCACCGCATCTCTTCATTTCATCATTTCATTTCAACATTTCATCATTTCATCTCATCTCATCTTTCAATTTCATTTCAATATCATTTCATCATTTCATCTCATTTCAATTCATCTCATCATTTCATCTCATCATTTTTATCTCATCATTTCATCTCATCATATCTCATTTCATCATTTCATCTCATTTCTTCTCATCATTTCATCTCATCAGTTTAACTCATTTCGTCTCATCTCAATTTCATTATTTCATTTCATTTCACTTTATTTCATTTCATCTCATCTCATCATTTCATCTCATCTTACCTCATTTCATCTCATTTCTTCTCATCTCATCATTTCATCATTTCATCTCATTTCATCTCATCTCACCTCATCTCATTTCATCATTTCATCTCATCCTTTCATTTCATCTCATCATTTCATCTCCTTTCATCTCATCTCACCTCAGCATTTCATCATTTCATCTCATCATTTCTTATTTCATCTCATTTTATCTCATCATTTCATCTCATCTCATCTCAATTCAATTTCCTTCATTATTTCATTTCATCTCATTCATTTCATCTCATTTCATTACATCTCATCATTACATCTCATCTCATCTCATCATTTCATCATTTCATCTCATCATTGCATCTCATCATTCATCTCATCATTTCATCTCATCTCATCATTTCCATTTCATTTCCATTTCATTATTTCATTTCATCATTTAATTTCATCATCTCATTTAATTTCACCTCATTTCATTATTTCATTTCATTATGTCATTTCATTTCATCTCATTACATTTCATCTAATTTCATTTCATCTAATTTCATCTCATCATCTCATTTCATCTCATCTTTTCATCTCATCATTTCATCTCATCATCTCATCAACTCATTTCATCTTATCATTTCATCATTTCATCTCATCATTTCATCTGATCTCGTATCTTCTCATCTCATTTCAATTTCATTTCATTATTTCATTTCATTATTTCATGTCATGTCATCTCATCATTTCATCTCATCACATCTCATCATTTCATCATTTTATTTCATTTCATCTTATTTCATCTCATCTCAATTTTATTTCAATTTCATTTTATTTCATTATTTCATATCATTTCATCTCATTATTTCATTATTTCATTTCATTTCATCTCATCAGTTCATCTCATCATTTCATCTCATCATCTCCTCTTATCTATTTCATCTCATCATTCATCTCATCATTTCATATCATCATTTTATCTCACCATTTCATTTCATCTCATCTCATCATTTCATCTCATTTCATCATTACATCTTATTTCATCTCATTTTATGTCATTTCATGTCATCATTTCATCACATCTCGTCTCATCTCATCTTTTCATCTCATCATTTCATCTCATCATTTCAACTCATTGCATCTCATCTCATCATTTCCATTTCATCATTTCATTTATTTCATTTCATTATGTCATTTCATCTCATCACATTTCATCTCACCTCATTTCATCTCATCTCATCATTTCATCTCATCATTTCATCTCATTTCATCTCATTATTTCATCTGATTTCATGTCATCATATCATGTCATCATTTCATCTCATTTCATCACATCTCATCTCATCATTTCATCTCATCATTTAATCTCATTTCATCTCATCATTTCATCTCATCTCATCATTTCATCATTTCATCTCATCATTTCTTATTTCATCTCATTTTATCTCATCATTTCATCTCATCTCATCTCAATTCAATTTCATTATTTCATTTCATCTCATTCATTTCATCTCATTTCATTACATCTCATCATTACATCTCATCTCATCTCATCATTTCATCTCATCATTGCATCTCATCATTCATCTCATCATTTCATCTCATCTCATCATTTCCATTTCATTTCCATTTCATCATTTAATTTCATCATCTCATTTAATTTCACCTCATTTCATTATTTCATTTCATTTTTTCATTTCATTATGTCATTTCATTTCATCTCATTACATTTCATCTAATTTCATCTCATCATTTCATTTCATCTCATCATTTCATCTCATCTTTTCATCTCATCATTTCATCTCATCATCTCATCAACTCATTTCATCTCATCATTTCATCTCATCTCGTATCTTCTCATCTCAATTTCATTTCATTATTTCATTTCATTATTTCATGTCATGTCATCTCATCATTTCATCTCATCACATCTCATCATTTCATCATTTTATTTCATCATTTCATCTTATCATTTCATCTCATCTCATTCCAATTTTATTTCAATTTCATTTTATTTCATTATTTCATATCATTCATCTCATTATTTCATTATTTCATTTCATCTCATCAGTTCATCTCATCATTTCATCTCATCATTTCATCTCATCATCTCCTCTTATCATTTCATCTCATCATTCATCTCATCATTTCATATCATTTCATATCATCACTTTATCTCACCATTTCATTTCATCTCATCTCATCATTTCATCTCATTTCATTCATTACATCTTATTTCACCTCATTTTATGTCATTTCATGTCATCATTTCATCACATCTCGTCTCATCTCATCTTTTCATCTCACCATTTCATCTCATCATTTCAACTCATTGCATCTCATCTCATCATTTCCATTTCATTATTCCATTTCATCATTTCATTTATTTCATTTCATTATGTCATTTCATCTCATCACATTTCATCTCATCTCATTTCATCTCATCATTTCATCTCATCATTTCATCTCATTATTTCATCTGATTTCATGTCATCATTTCATCTCATTTCATCACATCTCATCTCATCATTTAATCTCATTTCATCTCATCATTTCATCTCATCTCATCATTTCATCATTTCATCTCATCATTTCTTCTCATCTCATCATTGCCATTTCATTATTTCATCATTACATTTCATAATTTCCTTTCATTATTTGATTTCATCTCATTTCATTATTTCATCTCATTTTTCATCTCATTTCATCATTTCGTCTTATCATCTCATCTTATTTCATTGTTTCATCTTATCGTTCATCTCATTTCATCTCATCATTTTATCTCATATCATCTCATCTCATCTCAATTTCATTATTTCATATCATTTCATTTCATTATTTCATTTCATCTCATCATTTCTTCTCATCATTTCATCTCGTTTCATCTCATCATTTCATCCATCATCTCATTTCATCTCATCTCATCTCCTTTCAATTTCTTTTCAATTTTGTCATTTTATCTCATCATTTCATCTCATCATTTCTACTCACCATTTCATCTCAAAATTTCATCATTTCATCTCATCTCAAGTAATCTTATCATTTCATCTAAGTGAAATGATGTAATGGAATCATGAAATGAAATGGATAGGATGCCCTCAGTGATGTTAAATTTAAAAATTGTTTGTTTTCATGTATTCATTTTTATATTTATATGTATTTATATTTATATTTACTTATATTTCTTTTTACTTATTTTTATTTATATTTTTACTTATTTATTGGTAGACAAGGTCCTGTTCTGTGGCCTAGGCTGGAATGCAGTGGTGCATTCACAGTTCACTGCAGCCTCAAGCAAACCTCCCACCTTAGCCTCCCAGGTAGCTGGGACCCCAGGTGCGCACCACCACACCTGGTTAATATTTTATTATTTGTAGAGATGGAGTCTTGCTATGCTGCCCAGGCTGGTCTCAAACTCCTGGGCTCAAGCAATCCTCCTGCCTTCGCAACCCAAAATGCTGGGATTACAGATATGAGCCACAGTGCCCATCCTATTTATTTACTTATTTATTTATTTAATAAAGAAAAGGTCTCAATATGTTGCCCAGGCTGGTCAACTCCTGGACTCAAATGATTCTCCAAACTTGGCCTCTCAAAATGTTGGGATTACAGGTATGAGCCACCATGCCTGGCCTAAAAATAGTATTATATTTTTGCATTATATAATTTTCAATTAAGTAATATGAATATTCTGTACAGGAAATATGCCCTTAATTACATAGGAATAAACATTTGTTACACTGAGAAAAATCTAATAGAGCTAAAAATAAAAATTAATTTGGAGAGGTCATTAGATACTCATACATTCTTACGTTTATATATTCTTTCATATATTCATATAGTCTTTTAACAGTATCAATGGTTTGGAGTTATGTGTACAAAACCATGACCTACATGTAATACAACTAATAACAAGCACTTACAATTCAAGGCATATTATATACAAAGCTTTAACTTCTCATCTTCAGATTTTGTTTTTTTTCTTTCTGTTTTGGCAGATACTATGAACACAACATTCAACTCACAGACACTATGGAGCCCTTACTAAGCATAAAGTACTGTGAAAGGCCAGGGCTAGGACAGAACTGAGACAGGGCCAGGGATAGGACAGAACCAGGGCAGGGTCATGGCCAGAGAAAAACCAGGGGCAGGGTCACAGCCAGGGACATAAGAGGACCAAGGCCAGGGCCAGAAGTAGGGCAGAACCAGGGCCAGGGCAGGGACATGGCAGGGCCAGGGCCATGGCAGGATCAGGGCCAGCAGAAGGCCAGGGCAGGGCTAGGGTAGCACAGGGCCAAGGCAGGGCAGGGTCAGTGTAGAGCAAGGAACGGGCCAGGGTATGGCAGGGCAGGGACAGGGAGGTCCAGGGCCAGAGTCAGGTCCAGGACATGGACAGGGCAGGGCCAGAAACATGGCAGGACCAGAAAGGGGAAAGGGCAAGGGCAAGGCCAGAGAAGGACCACAGTAAAAACATGGCCAGGGAGGGTCCAGGGCAAGGGCAAGGCCAGGGCAGAACCAGAGCCAGGGCAGGCCAAAGGCAGGGCCAGGTCAGGGCAAGGCCAGGGTAGGGCAGGGCCAGTGTAGGGTGAGGGTAGGGCCAGGGCAAGTTCAGGGCCAGGGCAGGACTAAGATAGCACAGGGCCAAGGCCAAGGCCCTGTACTAAGATAGCACAGGGCCAGGGCAGGGCCAAAGGAGGGGCCAGGGCCAAGCATGGCCAGTGTGGGGCCTGGGGATTGTCAGGGCCAGGGCCAGGGTCAAGGCTGAGCCAGGAACAGGGCCAGAGCAAGGGCAGGGCCAGGGAGAAGGCAGAACCAGAGAGCATCCAGAGAAAGGGCAGGGCCAGGGCAGAACCAGGACCAGGATAAGGCAAAGCCAAGGCCAGGGCAGGGCAAGGCCAGGGCAGGGCAAGACCAGGGAAGGGCAAGGCCAGGGTAGAAATGGCCAGTGTACGGCCAGGCCAGGGTAGGAAAAGGCCACGGTAGGGCCAAGGCCAAGGCGGGGCACGGCTAGGGTAGCACAGGTCATGGCCAAAAACAGGGCAGGGCCATAGCAGTGGCAGGACTAGCAACAGGGCCAGGGTAAGCGCTGGACCAGAGCATGGTGGGGACAATACAGGGCCAGGACAGATGATGGCAAGGCAGGTCCAGGGTCATTTCATGGACTCGGTAGGCCTGGGGTCAGGCCAGGGCAGGGAAAGAGCAAGGCCAGGGAGAAGGCAGAGGCAGGGCCAGGGCCAAGGCACTGCCAGGGCAGGGCAGGACCAGTGCAGGGTGAGGGAAAGGCCAGGGCATGGAAGGGCAGGGCAGGACCAAGGAAGGGCCAGGAGAATGCCACGGCAGGGTCAAGGCCAGAACAAGGGTACGGGTGGGGTCAGAAATATGGTAGGGCAAGGGCTGGGCCCAGGCTGGGACATGCAGGGCAGAGCATGGCCTGTGCAAGGCAGGGCCAGAGCCAGGCCATAGAGATGGGAGGGCAACACCAAGGCAGAGTCAGGGTAGATCCAGGGCTGAGCAGAGTCAGGGCAGGTCCAGAGTCGAGGCAGAGCTAGGGCCCAAGCAGGGCCATGGCAGCACCAGGGCAGAAAAGGGCAGGGCAATGCAGGACTGGGCCATGGCAGTGCCTGGTCAACTCTGGGGCAGGGCCAGAAGCAGGACAGGGCCAGGGCCAATGCTCAGACCAGGGACAGGGCATGACAGGAAGTGCCAGAGCAGGGCTGGGCCAACGTTGGGACAGGGCAAATCAGACCAGGACACCTCCAAGTCCAGCTCTGGCCCTGCCTTGGCCCTGGCCCCTTCCTGACCTGACCTTGTCCCTGGCCCTGCCCTATCCACGCCCGGTGTGTTTGACCAGTGTTTTATAACCAGAATCCTACAAGAAACTTAAATCAGCTCTTTTTGTGCATTTTTAGTAGAGATGGGGTTTCACAATGTTGCCCAGGCTGGTTCCAAACTCCTGAGCTCAAGCCATTTGCCTGCCTTGGCCTCCCAAAGTGCTGGGATTACAGGAGTAATCTGGCCAAGTATTTAACTTCTTTATGCCTGTTTCCTACATTTGGAAAATGGGGATGCTTTAAGTACCTAGCACATAGAATTATTGTGAGAATCAATGCCTCACATATTTACATATTGATAAAATTGTACTCATAGAACACTACTGGAAGCAAAGATAGTATTAGTTAAAATTTAGTGATTATTTACTGCAAATATTATTACTATTACAAACAACATAGTATGGACATTATTACCACTACCATAGTTATCTTAAAAATCTAAAATAAAAATTTTATGTAATAGCCTAATATAATCTCTCCTGCTCTGCTCCGGCTCAGCCCTAGTGCCGGCTCTGCCCCTAGTCCTACCACATCACTGGCCCTGACCCTTCCCTGGTCCTGCCGCTGCCCCAGCCCTTCCCATCTTCAGGCCTTACCATGGCCCTACCCTGGTCCTGACCCTGGCCCTACCCCAGAGAAGGGGTATGGCAGAGCCAGGGAAGGGCCGGGGCAAATAAGGGACAGGACACATCCAAATCCAGGAAAGGGCCGGGGCCATGACAGAGCCAGGGCGAGTCCTTGGCAGGGCCAAGTTCCAGGCCAGGGCCAGGAAAGGGTCATGGCAGGGTCACTGTACGGCCAAGGTCCAGGCCAAAGCCAAGGCAGGGGCACGGTCAGGCCTGCATAAGGGCAGGACCAGAGCCAGTGATACGGCAGGGCCAGGGCTGTGCCAGGACAGAACAAGAGCAGAGCAGGGCAGGACCAGAGCCAGGCCATAGAGAGAGTAGGGCAAATGCCAAGCCAAGGCCAGGGTAGTGCCAGGGCTGAGGCAAGGTCAGGGAAGGTCCAGGGCTGAGTCAAGGCTGGAACCAAGACAGGGGCAAAGGCCGGGGCAGATCTAGGGCACAAGCAGGGCAGGCTAGGGCAGGCCAATGGCAAGACCAGGCCATGGCAGGGCCAGCCCAGGATAGAACAGGGCACAGGCAGGGCGGGGCCGGGGCCACGGCTGGGGCAGGACAAGGACCAGTACCGGGGTCCAGGCCAGGGCAAAGGTATGGCCAGGGCAGAGGTAGGACCAGAACCAGGGTCTGGGTAGGACCAAGGAGGGTCCATTGCAGGGCCAGGGTTCAGACCAGGGCCAGAACAGGGCTGGGACAGGGCCGGGGCCAGGACCAGGAAAGGGCAATGTCAGGATAAGAGCCATGGCAGGACCAGCAATGGGGCTAGGGCCAGGAGAGGGACAGGGACAGGGTCAAGGCTAGGGCCAGAATAGCATGCCAGGGTAGAGCCGGCCAAATTAGGGCCAGGACAGGGTCAGGACCAGGGCTGGGACAGGTTATGGCCTTAAGTAGCAAAGGGCCAGGGCCAGGGTCCATGCCAGTGACAGCGCTGGTCCAGGGCAGAGGCAGGGCCATGGCCAGGTCAAGGACAAGGCTGGGGCAGGGCCAAGGTCTGGGTCAGGGTCAGCACAAGACCAGGACAGAGCCAGGAGAGGGACAGGGCCATGGTAGGGCCAGGTTAAATCAGGGACAAGACACCTGCAAATCCAATTCAGGGCCAGGGTCAGGGCAGGGCCAGTTCAGGGCCAGGGCCAAGACAGGGCCAGGGCCAGGGCTGTCAGGGTCATTGGCAGGGCAAGGGCCATGGCAGGATCAGGGTCAGGAGCAGGGGTCAATGCCAGGCCAATGCCACAGATAGGACCAGGTATGTGCTAGGGCCAAGGCGGGGTCAGGGCAGGGCCAAAGGGAGGGCAGGGCCAGGGCAGGGTGGAGTAGGTCCAGGGTAGCACAGGGTTAAGGTAGGGCACGACCAACCAGGGCAGGTCTATGGCTGGGGCCGGGGCAGGGCCAGGGCCGGGGCAGGGCCAGAGCCAGGGCAGGGCCAAGACAGTGGCAGCTCCAGGGCAGGGCCAGGGTTAGGACCACGGACATGTCCAAGGCCAGTGCCAGGGCAAAGACAAGGGCAGGGGCAGGGCCAGGGTCACCTAAGAACCAGGGACAAAGCCAGGCCCAGAGCAGGGCCAGGACAGGTACCTGGCAGGGCTAGGGTCTGGGGCAGGGCCATGGCAGGGCCAGGGCCACAGCCAGGTCTGTGCTATGGCCAGGTACAACACAGTGCCCAGGTAAGGCTAGGATGAAGGCCAAGGTAGGGCCAGGGCAGGGTCAAAGCCAGGCTAGGGCCAAGGCAGGACCAGGGCCGTCAAGGAAGGGCCAGGAAAGCATAGGGCCAAGGCAGGGCAGGGCCAGGCCAGTGCCAAGACCTGGGCAGGGCCAGGGAACAGCCAGGGGAGGGCCAGGGCCAGGGCCTGGGCAAGACCAGGTTTGGGGCAGGAGCAAAACAAGGGCAAGGACAGTGCAGGATCTTGGCACAGCCAGGGTCCAGGATAGTGTCAGGGCAGGGCCAAGGCAGGGTCTGGGCCATGGTAAGACCAGCAACAGGGATGGGGCTAGGCCAGTGACAGGACCAGAGTCAGGGCAAGGGCCAGAGCAGTGCAAGGCCAGGGTAGGGCCAGGCATTTCAGGGTCAGGGCCAGAGGAGAACCAGGGCAAGGTCTCAAGCAGGGAAAGGCCAGGGCCAGGACAGGTCCAGGGCAGGGCCATGACAGGGCCAGGGGCTGTGTTAGGGCAAGGGCAGGGCCAGAGCAAGGTAAGGGTCAGGGCCAAGGCCAGGGTAGGGACAGGGCAAGAAATATGGCAGGACCAGGGGCAATGCCAAGGCCAAGGCTGGGCCAGGGCTGAGTCAGGGCAGGGCAGGGCAGGGCATGGTATGGCCAGTAGAGGACAGGACAAGAGCCGGTCCACAGAGAGAGCAGGACTGATGCCAAGAGAGAGCCAGGCTAGTGCCAAGGCTGAGGCAGTGTCAGAACATGTCCAGGGCAGGGCCGGGGCCAGGGCCAGAACTGAGCCAGGGCACAGCCAAGGCAGGGTAGGGCAGGGAAATAGCATGGCCGGGTCAGTACTGGGACAGGGCAGAGCAGGGCAAGGCAATGGTAGGGGCAGGGCAGGGACAGGCCAATGCAGAGCCATGTTACGCCGGGGCCAGGACACCTCCAAGTCCACTTCAGGGCCAGGGCTATGGCAGGACAAAGACCAGGGCCAGGGTCAGGGCCAGGTCTGTGCTAGGGCCAGCTCCAGAGCAGGGCCTAGCGAAGACTAGGGTGAGGGCCAAGGTAAGGCCAGGGCAGGGTCAAAGGCAGAGTAGGGCCAGGGCAGGGTGAGGACACATCCAGAGCACAGCAGGGCAGGGTGATGGCCAGAGCAGGGGTAGACCACTGCCAGCTCAGGGCCAGGGAAAGGCCAGTGCAGAGCCAGGAAAGGGTCAGGGCCAGGACAAGGCAGAGCAGGGCCAGGGCCATGACAGAGTCAGGGCAGGTCCTTGACAGGACCAGGTTCCAGGCCAGGGCCAGGGCAGCAGCAGGGGCAGGGCCTGGATAAGGGCAGGGCCAGGGATATGGCAGGACCAGGGCTAGGGCCAGGGCCAGGCCGTAGTGAGGGCAGGGCAAAAGTCAAGGCAGGGTCTGGGCAGGTCCAGGGAGTGGCCAGCACCAAGCGGGGCCGAGGTACAACCAGTGCAGTGTAAAGCAGGGCAATGGCACCACTGGGCCATGACAGGGCAAGGTCAGTGCCAGGAGAGGGCAGAAAAGGCAGGCCCATGGTAGGGCCAGGGCAGGGATGGGCCAAAGCAAGACCAGGACATGTCCAAGGCCAGGTCAGGGCCAGAACAGGAGTAGGACCATGACCACTGGCAGGGCCAGTGCCATGACATGACCAGGGTCAGGACAAGGGGTAGGGCCAGAGCCAGGGCCAGAGCCAAGGTCAGGCCAGTGCAGGTTCAGGGCAGGGCCAGTGCCAGTTCAGGGCAGGGCCAGTGCCAGGGCAAGACCAGGACAGGGACAGAGTAGCACAGGGCCAAGACAGGGTCAGGATGGGACCAGAGCAGGACAGGGCCGAGACAGTCCAGGTAACAGTAGGGCGGGTACAGGGCAATGCAGGGCAAAGCCAGGCCCATTGCCAATGCACCAGCCTTCCCTACAAGGCTCCTACCACCTGGCCACTGCTGCAGCCCGTCCATCGCTGTAAGCCTGACCCCCAACCCTGGCTGCAGCCGCCTGCCCTCCTAGCGCGGCCGCTCTCCTACCGCTCTGGCGCACTGCAGTCTCTGTCGCTGCCACCCACCCGCAGTGAGGCAAGTCGTGGTGTCGCAGGCTCTAGGTGTCTCCTCCTCCTCCTGGCATGGAGCAGCTGGGTGGGCAAAGCCAGAAAAGCCTAGAGGAAGATGTGAGGGGTGGAAGGGTTAGAGCCTCAACTTGTCATGCTGGCCACTGGGTGGCAGGGGCCAGTTTCAGCAAAGGCACTCACACCCACCCTCCAAAGTCCAGCCTCTCCTTTTGGCCCAAGCTGGCCGGGAACTGGGGTCTGGGGTGGGTGCTGGAGACACCACAGCACCCAGCTCCCCACTCCACAGGAACCATTGGGCCCACCGGGGCTGCACTCCTCGGGGAGCAGGAGAAGCAGAAAAATTCAGACCCAGCCAGCCCTCCGCACCCAGGTGCCAATTCCTGTTCCAGACGCCTCCGCACCCAGGGCCCTGTCCCCCGTGGTGTCCCCAGGGGTGCCTGGCAGCCTCTGAGGCACAGACCCAGAGTGCACAGGCCCAGGAACCATGGTGGGTGTGGGGGTTCTGCCGTGCTCAGGATTCCCACGCAAACGCTGCGTGCCTGCCGCATTCCAGTATGACCAAGAGTGGGTCGCCCTCTGGAATGTGGAGTCAGGGAGAGGAGAACCACTCCTTCCTTGGATGCCAACTCTGCTGACCACTGCCAGCAGTGCAGCCCCTGATAGCACCGAACTCGCCCCCGCTCCATGGATAGTCCTGCCCTCAATAGCGCCCCCCACCTCCATCCCCCAATGCCGCCAGTAGCATATACCTGATAGTGCCCTAACCTGTCCTCCTCCATGGGCACTGCAGCCCCAGAAAGTGCCCATAACCCACCCTCCCTGCCACGGGAAGTGCAGCCCTGTACAGTGCTACCAACCAGTGCCCCTAATGCAGGCAATGACACCCTGGATAGCACCCCCAACCCACCCCACACTGTGAAAGGTGCAGCCCTGGATAGCCCCTGTCCTACCACTCTGGTCGTGCTGCAGTCTCTGTCACCGCCACCATCAACCACAGTGAGGCAAGCCAGTGGGCCACAGGCTCTAGCACTCAGCAGACAGACATGGAGCAGCTCTCGCCGATGACCAGCTCCACCACTCTGACCACACTGCTGTCTCCGTGGCCATCTTCTTTGACTACAAAGGAATAAAACTAGATATCAATAAGAAGAGTAATTTTGGAAACAATACAATCACATGGAAGTTAAACACTACCCACCTGAATAAATGACTAGCGGGTCAATGAAGATAATAAGACAGAAATTCAAAAATTTCATGAAACAAAGGGTAACGAAAACACAGTATACCAAAACTTGTTATGCAGAAAGCAGTACAAAGGCAGAGATTTACAGCTATAAGTGCCTACCATCCAAACAAAAGAAAAACTTCAAATAAACAATACATCTTAAATAACTAGTAAAGTAAGAACAAACTAAACCAAAAATAAGAAAAATAAATAAGATCGTAGCAGAAATAAAATTGAAAGAAAAAAACACACAAGATGAAATGAAAAGTTGGTTTTCTGGAAAGCAAAACAAAATTGACAAACTTTTAACCAGGCTAACTAAGAAAAAAGAGACAAGATTCAAATAAATAAAATCAACAGATTAAAAAAGGGAGACATTACAACTAATACTTCAGAAATTCAAAGGATCATAACTGGCTATTATATGCCAATAAATTGGAAAGCCTAGTAGAAATTGGCAAATTCCTAGATGCATACAACCTACTTAGGTTGAACAATGAAAACATCCAAGACCAGAACAGATTGGTAACAAGTAATGAGATTGAAGCCATCAGAAAAAGTCTCCCAGTAAAGAAAAGCCCAGGAACTGATGTCTTCACTGCTGATGGCTTCACACCAAACAATTTAATGACCTAGTACAAATCCTACTCAAACTATTTTGAAAAACAGGAGGGAATACTTCCAAACTTATTCTATGAGACCATTATTACTGTGATACCAAAATCAGACGAAGGCATCAAAGAAGGAAACTACAGGCCAGTATCTCTAATATTGATGCAAAAATCCTCAACGAAATACCAGTGAATCAAATTCAGTAAAACATTAAAAAGATAATTCATCATGATCAAGTGGGATGTATCCCTGGGATGCAAGAGTCACTCAACATACAATGTGATACATCATATCAACCAAATAAACGACAAAAACAGTATGATCATGTCAACTGAAACTGAAAAAGCATTTGATGAAATTCAACATCCCTTCATGCTATTAATCCTCAAATAAACGGGTACAGAAGAAACATACCACAACATAATAAAAACTACAGGAAAGACACCCACAGCTAGAATCATATGGAGAGAGGTCCAGGCTGCAGTGAGCTGTGATCCCACCACTGCACTCCAGCCTGGGCAACAGAGTGAAAGCCTGTCTCAAAAAAAAAATACATAAAAAGAGGTATGAACCTCTTTTATAGGTGCAGTGACTCACATCTGTAATGCTAACACTTTCTGGGAGGCTGAGGTGAGAGGATCTCTTGAGGCCAGGAGTTCAAGATCAGCCTGGGCAAAATAGCGAGACCCTTTATCTACAAAAAATTTTTAAATATTTGCCAGGTGTGGTGGCACGTGCCTGTAGTCTTAAACAATTATCATATGACCCGGATAGTGTATTCCTTAGGGATATACCCAAGGGAAATGAAAATATACATCCACACTAAAATTTGTACACAAATGTTCACAGCAGCATTGTGCATAATAGCCAAAAATTGGAAAAAAAACTCAAGTGCCTATCAACAGAGGAACTGAAAAAATATGGTATATCCATTCAAAAGATTACTCAGCATTAAAAAAGAATGAAGTGTTGATATACGCTACAGCATGGATAAACCTTGAAAACACTGTGTCAAGTGAAATAAGTCAATCACAAAAGACCATATGTAGTAAGATTTCATTCTGTGAAACCTCCAGAACAGCTAAACTCAGAGACAGAAAGTAAGCTAGTTATTGCCAGGGACTAGGGGAAAAGGGAATAAGGATGACTGCTAATGGGTATGGGATTTCTTGTGGACTGATGAAAATGGTCTGAAAGTATCTAGATACCTGTCTTGTTTGTGCGATTCTGTGAACATATTATAAACCACAAAATTCTGCACTCAAGGGGTTGATTTCATGGTAGGTGAATTTATCTCATTTATCTTTATCTCAATAAAGCTTTTTAAAGACACTTTAAAAAGACATATCTGTATAAGCTACAAAAATAACACACTGAGAGACTAAAATGCTTAATTTTTCCATTTTTCTTCTTCAGCGCAATCTCAAGTCCAAAAGTCTTTCCTTCCTATATATGCATATTTTGTCCAGTGAAACAAGAAACTCTATTAACTTTATTAGAAATAAAAAAAAGCCATGTGTTCTGGCTCACAGCTGTGCTTCCAGCTATTCAGAAGGCTGAGGAAGAAGGATCACTTGAGGCCAAGACTGGGAGTTCAAGACCAGCTGAGGCAACATAGCTAGATCCTGCCTTTAAAAATATTTTTTAGGCCAGGCACGGGGGCTCACGCCTGTAATCCCAGCACTTTGGGAGGCCAAGGAGGGCAGATCATTTGAGATCAGGAGTTCAAAACCAGCCTGGACAACATGGTGAAACCCCATCTCTTCTAAAAATATAAAAATTAGCCAGGTGTAGTGGTGGGCACCTGTAATTCCAGCTACTTGGGAGGCTGAGGCAGGAGAATTGCTTGAGCCGGGAGGGTGGAGGCTGCAGTGAGGCCAAGATCATTCCACTACACTCCAGCCTGGGTGACAGAGCAAGACTCCGTCTCAGGAAAAAAAAAAAAAAAAATATATATATATATATATATATACACACACACACATATACACATATATGCGTATATATATATATATATACGTATATATGTGTATATGTATATATATATTTTTTAGGTTAAAACTCTACTGAAATGAAACTAATAAAATAAAATTCAACTTAATTAAAAAATAGTTCCTGAAATATTAATTTTCAAACAATTCTATTTTAGCTTTGACTCTGAACAAAATATAAACGTCAATTTCAAAATATCACAAAGATTGGCTGGGGGCAGTGGCTCATGCTTGTAATTCCAGCACTTTGGGAGGACGAGGCATGAGCCTCACTAGAGGCCAGGAGTTCCAGAGCAGCCTGGCCAACATAGGGAAACCCAGTCTCTACTAAAAAAATACAACAAAAATTACCCGGGTCTAGTAACCCCAGCTACTCAGGAGGCCGAGGCATTAGAATCACTGGAATCTGGGAGGTGGAGGTTGCAGTGAGTGGAGATCATGCCACAGCACTCCAACCTGGGCGACAGACTGAGAGTCCGTCTCAAAAAAATAAAAATAAGGCCAGGTGCTGTGGCTCACACCTGTAATCCCAGCACTTCGGGAGGCCAAGGTGGGCAGATCACTTGAGGTCAAGGAGTTTGGGACCAGCCTGGGCAACACAGTGAAACCTCCTCTCTACTAAAAATACATAAATTAGCTGGGCATGGTGGCACACACTTGTAATGCCAGCTACACCAGAGGCTGAGGCAGGGGAATCGTATGAATTCGGGAGGTGGAGGTTGTAGTGACCTGAGATTGTGCTACTGCACTCCAGCCTGGACGACAGAGTGAGACTCCATCTCAAAAAAAAAGAAAAAAAAAAGAAAATTTAAATTTAAAATTTAAAAAAGTCACAAAGACTACAAATACTCAGGTTTAAGCAAATTCCCACCTTTCTCGAATTAACAGTAATTCATATTTGCTTTGTCAAAAATGTAGATATTTACCTGCCTCAACGGAATGAAATCCTAAAAGCCTAGTGTTCTCAAATGATGAAGACAAAGAAACATGCATATTTTAATTTAGAATTTTGATTCAGAATTAATTTTAACCTAGCTGGAGTATACATAATCATTTATGTATTTATTTACTTATTTAAGAGACTGGGTTTCGCTGTGTTATCCAGGATGGAATGCAGTGGCACAACCTTGGCTCACTGCAACTTGTGCTTCCTGAGCTCAAGCGATCCTCCCACCTCAGTCTCCAGAGTAGCTGGGACTGCAAGTGCACGTTACCACACCCAGCTAATTTTTGCGGAGACGAGCCTCGCTATGTTTCCCACACTGGTCTCTAAGTCCTTGGCTCACTACAGCCTCAAGCCCCTGGGCTCAAGCAATCTGCCTCCCAAAGTGCTGAGATTACAGGAGTGAGCCACCACAACCGGCCTACTCGATAGTGTATACTAAGCAACATATACCCTGCTTTTGCCTAGAACATACTGAAAACATGGCATTAAAAACAATCACAAAAGTTGGGAGCTGAGAAAAATATACTGTAAAACAAATCTGACAGATATTAATCTCAAGAAGCTCCTGAAAATGTCTCAAGAACTCCTATGCTGCACTCTCCCTAATAATTTAGACTTTCTACAGATATTTTCTGATCATCTACCGTGTGCCAGGCACCATGCCAGGTACCAAGATGCCATGGTGAGGTATACACAAAACCGGCTCCTGCTTGCGGGAAGCCTACTCTCTCAAACAGTGCTTGCCAAGCTCGACTGATCACAACTTGGGAGCTTGTTTAAGTTCCAAATCGGCTTCCCTGCTTAGGTGAGCCACAATCCGTGGCATTTTTATCAGGTGCTCCCAATGATTCCTACGCTCTAACGGGTTTGGGAGGAAAGGGTGGGGGTAAGCTCGAGAGCCCAGACCCATCCCGTCCAGCGGGGGTCCCACCTCTAAAGTCCATGTCGCTCAGCATCCTTCCCCCTGACTAGTGGCCCAAACACAGCAGGAAGCTGAGGTGGGTGGAACGCTTTCCAAAACAGCGCTCTGTGATGAGCCACCGACAGACTTGCTCGCCTCCGGGAACGAAGAGCTCACTCCTCACAAACCCCACCAGGGAAAGGTAGCACCTGAGCCTCCCGGGCTGTGCGGACATCTGTCTCCCCGCGGGTGCCGCCTACTGCTCCGGTGGACTCCAGTCCCCAGGTTCCGCCCCACGGGGACTGGGGGGAGGGGGGAGGCGCCGCGCGCATTAGGCGCTGACAGTATACCGACCCCCCCTCCGGTGTGCGCAGGCCAACACCCATACACACCCTCACACACCCGCACACACTCCCGTGGAAACTGAGGCAGGCAGGCGGCGGACCAGGTCCCGCCGCCTGACGGCTAGCGGCTGGGATGGAACCCGGACTGCCAGACGCCTTCCGCCTCACAGGCACTCCTCAGCCGCTGAGGCCCGGCCAGGCTCCCACCGCCGGAGTTTCACAAAGAAAGTCTCCCGGCCCGAGCCCCTCACGCACTCACCGGCGCCGACGCCCGCGGCGACTGGGGCTCCCACCTCCTTCAGCTCCTTGCGGGGGTCGGCCCTGGGGTCGGCTT
Source organism: Homo sapiens (assembly GCF_000001405.40). Lineage (NCBI taxonomy): Eukaryota > Metazoa > Chordata > Mammalia > Primates > Hominidae > Homo > Homo sapiens. The sequence continues at coordinate 33,554,826 of NC_000016.10, forward strand.
GGGCGCCGGCAGCGGCGACTGCTCCACATCCACCGGGTCCGGGCCGCGTCCGCCTCGAGCTAACGGTCCCGCCAGCTAGGCGCGCTCGCCAGTTCCGGGCGCCATGTTCCCGCTGTGCTGCTCGCCGCCGAGGCGACCCTCACTGCCCCCCAGCCACGCGCGCCCCCGCGGGCCCACACACGAACCCCGCACGCGCGCGTTCGCCGCGCCCCCTCCCTCCCCGCGCGCCCCGCCTCGCGCCCTCTGGAGCTGGCCGCTGTTCCCAGTGTCTCGCCCACCCCCGCCGGGCCCGTCCGACTCCGCGGGTGAGCGCGTGGTTCCCGGCTCGGCACCGCCGCCTGCCTCTCTGCAGACCACCCCGGACCCGACCCCTCGGCCACTTCCCCACACTGCCCCTTTCGCTTCCCCCACCACGCGGGGCCTAGGACGAGGGTCTGGGCCAAGAGGAGCTTCCCTGCAAGAAGTGCCCAGCTAAGGACGCTACTAAGGGGGCGGGATCGCCACCGTGGAGGTGTGCAAGCAGGTGCCTGCGTCCCGGAGACAGCCAGACTCAACGGAGAAGCTGAGTTGAAGTCCCACATCTCCACTAACCCTTGCGTGTTAGGGTCAGGGCTTCGGGACTTGTTTCTCCTAAATCTTTTTTTTTTTTTTTTTTTTTTTTTTTGAGACAGTCTCGCTCTGTCACCCAGGCTGGAGTGCTGTGGCGCGATCTCGGCTCACTGCAAGCTCCACCTCCCGGGTTCACGCCATTCTCCTGCCTCAGCCTCCGGAGCAGCTGAGACTACAGGCGCCCGCCACCACCTGCTGATTTTTGTATTTTTAGTAGAGGTGGGGTTTCACCGTGTTAGCCAGGATGGTCTCCATCTCCTGACCTTGTGATCCTCCCGCCTTGGCCTCGCAAAGTGCTGAGATTACAGGCGTGAGCCAGCGCGCTCGGCCTGTTTCTCCGAAATCTGAAGACTCAATATCATAATCAAGAGAACGCCTCAGCACCGCGCCTAGCACTTAGTAGGTAGTGATCAAGAGAGAAGACCTCTTAAGTGGTTTTAATGGTTAAGGACCACAGGTTCTCAAGAAAGGGAAATCTCAATTCAAGTCCCGCCTCCATCTCTTGGAAACTGAGAAACCTTGAACAAGTCACTCAGAGGAGCCAAAGATCCTTGATTTCTACATGTGCAAAAGGGGAGTGTGGCAGTAGCACTGCACAGGGTTGACTGAGCTTTCAGGGAGATGATGACTGTACGATCATGCCTCTCTTAATCACGGGATGGTTCTGAGAAATGCCTCCTTAGGTGATTGCAGCATTGTGCAAACAGCAAAGTGCATTAACACAAACCTTGTATAGCCTTGTATAGCCTACTAAACACCTAGGCTGTATGGCCTATTGCTCCTAGGCTACACACCTGTACAGCCTGATACTTTACTGAATGTACCATAAGCAGTTGTAACGCAATGTAAGTACTTGTGTACCTGAACATAGAGAAGGTACAGTAAGAATAGAGCATAAGAGAATTTAAAATGGTACTCCTGTATAGGGCACTTACCACGAAAGGAGCTTACAGGACTGGAAGATGCTGTGGATGAGTCAATGATTGTGAAGGCATAGGACCTTACTGTACACTACTGTAGACTTCATAAACACCATATGCTTAGGCTACACCAAATTTTTTTAAAGCTTTTCTTCAATAAATTAACCTTAGCTTACTGAAATGTATCTTAAAAATTTTGCCAGTCGTGGTGTCTCACGCCTGTAATCCCAGCACTTTGGGAGGCCGAGGCAGGCAGATCATTTGAGGTCAGGAGTTCAAGACCATCCTGGCCAACGTGGTGAAACCCTCATCTCTACTAAAAATACAAAACTTAGCCAGGCATGTTGGTGTGCACCTGTAATCCCAGCTGCTCAGGAGACTGACGCAGGAGAATCGCTTGAACCTAGGAGGCGGAGGTTGCAGTGAGCCGAGATTGTGCCACTGCACTCCCGCCTGGGCAATTACACGCATGGAGATGTCATCTCCTGTGATAAGAATGCCTTCTTCTTCCAGAATACTTCCTGAAGGACCTACCTGAGGCTGTTTTATAGTTAACTATTTTTTAATGTAAGTAGAAGACATACATTCTAAAATTATGAAAAACACTAAATACACCAGGGCTGGGCACAGTGTCTCATGTGGGTAATCCCAGCACTTCAGGTGGCTGAGGCGGGCAGATCATTTGAGGTCAGGAGTTTGAGACCAGCCTGGGCGGTGTGGTGAAACCCCATCTCTGCTAAAAATACAAAGATTAGCTGGCCGTGGTGGTGGGTGCCTGTATTCCCTGCTACTCAGGAGGCTGAGGCAGAAGAATCGCTTCAACCTGTGAGGCAGAAGTTGCAGTGAGCCAAGATCGCGCCACTGCACTCCAGCCTGTGCGACAGAGCAAGACTCTGTCTCAAAAAAATAAAATAAACCAGTAACATAGTTGTTCATTATCAAGTATTATATATTGTATGTAATTGTACATGCTATGCTTTTATAGAACTGGCAGCACAGATTTGTTTACACCAGCATCACCAGAAACACAGAAATGCATTACCCTAACATTACAATGGCTATGTCACTAAGCAATAGGAATTTTTCAGCTCCATAATCGTCTTATGGTACCAGTGACTTACATGTGGTTTGTCATTGACTAAAATGTCATTATACAACACATGACTGCATATCCCAGGGCCCAATGCCTGGCACACACAAAGCTGAGTTTCACTGGTGTAATTCCCACCCTATCCATCCAAGAATCCTAAAAGTTTAATGAAAGGGGCTCTGCTCCCAAAACCCTGTGGTATAAGTAGCTGGGAGGAGTTCGCCCGACTTGGGGTTTCAAGGACTCTTTCTTCCCACCTGTTTGCTTTCCTTTCTCTCCCCAAAACTTCTCTGAAAACCCTAAAGTTGGCAGAAAAATGGAGAATGTTTTCCCTACTAACAAAAAGAATCTTCAAGAGTCTCTTGGGATTTGTAAATGGTTGCATTTACTAGTCTGGTTTTCTTTTTGTTTTGCTTTTTTGTTTTTGTTTTTGTTTTTTTTTTGAGATGGAGTCTTGCTCTGTCACCTAGGCTGGAGTGCAGTGGCACGATCTCGGCTCACTGCAACCTCCGCCTCCCAGATGCAAGCAATTCTCTTGCCTCAGCCTCCTGAGTAGCTGGGATTAAAGGCACGCACCACCACGCCTGGCTAATTTTTTTGTATTTTTATTAGAGACAGGATTTCACCATGTTGGTCAGGCTGATCTCAAACTCCTGACCTCATGATCCACCTGCCTTGACCTCCCAAAGTACTGGGATTACAGGCATGAGCCACTGCACCCAGCCTTCTAGTTTGGTATTTTTCTTATTCAAGTAACAAGGAAAAAAAAAATAACTCCACCAAGAGTAAAACAGAAAAAAGGAACAAAACTGATAGCATGACTGAAAAGGCCTGGGGTGGTACCTCACTTCAGGCATAGCTGGATACAGGCACTTATACAAGATAAGTCTCTCTAATGTCTCGGTGCTTGCTTCCCTTTGATTACTTCATTCTCATGCAATTCTTTCCACATAGTGGCCTGAGCAGCTCCTAACTCACATCTGCGCAAGAAAGCAGAGGCTGTTCCCCAATAGTTCCAGCCAAAGTCCCAGGACTGACTTTCACTGGACCCGTTTGGGCCACATGCCCCTGCCTGAGCCAACCACCACATCCAGCCTGGCCAGACCTGGCTTTCAGGAAGCCCCTTCAGGAAGCAGTTGGGGTCATCCCCTCCAGAAGGACATGGGGAAAACCAGAAAGTGGGAGGAGGGATGCTTCCTTCTGAAAAATAGGGATGCAATTACCACAGGAGGTGTCAGATACAGGGCTGGCACAAACAAGAGCTATCCATGGCACCATCATGTAGGCATGCAGCAGGTCCACCATGAAGCAACCTGGCTGCTCCGCAAAATGGAATCACAGTTAATTCAGCCAATGAGAAATATCCCTCTATTTGGGTTCCCACCATTCACCCCAGGCCTGGCACGTCCCAAATTTCCTTGGTCAAAGGCAAGCAAATTACCCGCCTTTTATGCTGCACAAAAAGCTGAAAAGATTATCTTACTTCTCTGGCTCAAGAACTTTCTATGACTCCCTCTGGCTACTTATGTGGCTCCCCCACCCTTAATGATAGAAGCCAACATTCATGAATCCCCTACCACATGCCAGGTACCTTATGGACCTGCCTCCTCCAAACAGCATAGAAGAGGTTGGTACTCTTACTGCACCCATTTTATAAATATGGAAACAAAGGCTCAGCAATTTGAGGTAATTTACCCAGAGCCAAAGTTAGGAAGTGCAGAGTTCAGATTAGCACAATATTGTTCCCGCCCTTACCATCCCAGCTCCATTTGTTCATGTTTCAAAGTCCTACACCCACCTCTAGCTAGGGGCCAGTGGGATCCGCTCCATGGCAGAAGAAGCCTCTAGGAACCCCTTCAGCTTCTGCAGTGGTGGGGCTGGGGAGTAGGTGCAAAAGATACTTAGCTTTACCATCCTCTCCCACAAAATTTTTTTTTTTTTGAGATGGAGTCTCACTCTGTCACACAAGCTGGAGTGCAGTGATGCGATCTCAGCTCACTGCAACCTCTGCCTCCTAGGTTCAAGCAATTCTCATGCCACAGCCTCTGGAGTAGCTGGGATTACAGGTGCCTACCACCACACCTGGCTAATTTTCGTATTTTTAGTAAAGATGGGGTTTCACTATGTTGTCCAGGCTAGTCTCAAACTCCAGACCTCAAGTGATCCACCTGCCTCAGCCTCCCAAAGTGCTGGGATTGCTAAGCCACCATGCCTGGCCCCATCTCCCATAACTTAATGGGGTAGGGAAAAGAATTCCTCCAAGATAAAATTAAAGTGACGTTAGGAAAGGAAGTAGATGTTTGGTAACCTTCAATCAGCAGCTGATTTCTCCCATTGGTGAGTCAATTAGTTTTCTATGGCTGCTGTAACAAATTACCATGAACTGATTGGCTTACAACAACACAGACTTAATATCTTATTGTTCTATAGTTCAGAAGCCTCAAATCAGTTTCACTTGGCTAAAGTCAAGTTGTAAAGGACTGATTCCTTCAGGAGGTTCTGAAGGGAAAACCCGTTTTCTTGCCTTTTTCTGCTTTTAGTGGTTACCTATATACCCTGGATTGTGGCCCTTTCTTCCATTTTTAAAGCATATCACTCCAATCTCTGCACAGTGCTATGGTTTGAATGTGTCCCCCAAAGTTCATGTGTTGGAAATTTAATCCCCAATGCAACAGTGTTGAGAGGTGGGACCTTTAAGAGGAGATTAGGTCATGAAAGATCTGCCCTCATTAATAGAGTAATGATGTTATCTCAGCAGAGGGTTAATTATCATGGGGATGGGTTCCTAATAAAAGGATTGAGTTCAGCCCCCTTTCTCTCTTGATGTGATACCTTCCATCATGGGATGACACAGCAAGAAGACCCTCACCAGAAGCAGGCCCCTTGATCTTGACCTTCCCAGCCTCCAGAACTCTAAGAAATAAACCTGTTCTTTATAAATTACCCAGCCTCAGATATTGCATAGCAATACAAAAAAGACTAAGACACTCAGTCATCATCGCATTGCCATCTCCCCTGACTGCTGAGTCCCTCTTAAAAGAACACTGTAGGCTGGATGTGGTGGCTCACGCCTGTAATCCCAGCACTTTGGGAGGCCAAGGTGGGCAGATCACGAGGTCAGGAGTTCGAGACTAGCCTGGCCAACATGGTGAAACCCCATCTCTACCGGAAAAACAAAATTAGCTGGACATGTTGGCGAGCACCTGTAATCCAGCTGCTCGGAAGGCTGAGGCAAGAGAATCACTTGAAGCTTGGGAGATGGAGTTGCAGTGATCCGAGATTGCATCATTGCACTCCAGCCTGGGCACCAAGAGCAAAACTCTGTCTCAAAAAAAAAAAAAAAAAAAAAAAAAAGCACTGTGATGGGACACTGGGCCCACAGGCAACATAGGATAAGTTCCCATCTCAAGATGCTTAATCACATCTGCAAAGTCCCTTTTGTCATGGAAAGGAACATAGTCACAGATTCCGGGGATTAAGTTGAGGACACTTTGGAGGGGCCATTATTCAGCCTGCCATGGAAAATATCATGAGGGGGAGTTAATACAAAATGATCTGGAAACAGAGAAGGGCGGCCGGGCATGGTAGCTCATGCCTCTAATCCCAGTACTTTGGGAGGGAGGCGGGTGGATTGCCTGAGGTCAGGGGTTCAAGACCAGCCTGACCAACATGGTGAAACCCTATCTCTACTAAAAATACAAAAATTAGCTGGGCATGGTGGCAGGTGGCTGTAATCCCAGCTACTCGGGAGGCTGAGTCAGGAGAATCGCTTGAACCCAGGAGGCGGAGGTTGCAGTGAGCTGAGATTGCACCATTGCAGTCCAGCCTGGGTGACAAGCATGAGACTTCATCTCGATTAAAAAAAAAAAAAGAAAAAAGAAACAGAGAAAAGCTGGCTAACTCTCCACAGTGGGAAAAATGTCCCAGGAAACCACAGCCTCCACATTAAATATTCAAATGAGCTAAAACCTATCTAATTGGAAATCTCAGTCTTATTCCTTTAAACATGCAAACCACCTAAATTCCCAACAAACCCCCTACACCCGGCCAGCCAAGTCTCAGAATGCTTATATACCCTTTAATAGAAATTTTCAACCACCATCCCCATTTCCTAAGGAAATGGCTGTGTGCCCTTGAGCCTGCCTTGACTGAATCACCAGTGGCCTTTGAACCATGGCACTCAATTCATGGCATGGCCAGTGAGCTACAAAGTGTCCTAGCATCGACCAAGCAAAGTTATAAAGGCAGATTCAGTGGACAATAAGGAACATTAGTTTTAGAGTCAAAAAGACCTGGGTTGGGTCCCAGCTCTGCCATTTACCAGCTGCGCGACATCAGAAAAGTTACCTTCATCCTCCAACTTTGGTTTCCTCACCTGTGACATGACAGTGGCTAGAGGACCTCATAGAATCACTGTGAGGACAAGAGCAGCCAAGGGTAAGTCTTTGCACAAGGCCTCCCCGGTCATTATTGGGTCATCAAGACATAACCGTGCCTTATCTCCACTTCCAAAACCCAAACAGCTCTCAAAAATGAGTCATTGTAGCTCATTTGGAAGAAAAGACTGATATGAATCAATATGCAACTACCTACAATCTTTCTCTATCCCTCTTACTGTGAATATTTGCTGTGGAAATATTAACATGTTTGGTCTCCACTGGGGTAGGACTCCACATGTGTAGGACTCCACTGGGGTGCTACACATACACATAGTAGATATGCCTTACCACCTTCCGAAAATTGGGTAATTAAATTTCACAACTTATCTAGCCCAAAGGTTTCAGAGACTGTAGACCTGTATCTTTATGAGGGCAAGGATGAGAGTATAACCTGGCCTGTTATTATGCACCAAGGTACCTGCTGTTCTCATGAAGATGTCAGCAGCCAGCCAGCCAGTCTCTACAAACTCCACCCCCAACCTCGCTATGCTCCTTTCCCTGGAACTTTCCAAGGGGCCCTTAGAATTTGCATTCAGCTCTCACAGGCTGAGACCAGGGTGACATCCTGGGAAACCTGCCTAGTGATAGCCAAGGTGTAGCTCCAGATGAAAGGCACACAACAACTTTAAATATAAAAAAGCCATTCAGGCTAGGCATAGTGGCTCACATGTGTAATCCCAGCACTTTAAGAGACCGAGGCAGGCGGATCACCTGAGGTCAGAAGTTCAAGACCAGGCTGGCCAACATGGCAAAACCCAGTCTCTACAAAAAAATATAAAAATTAGCTTGGCATGGTGGCGCATACCTGTAATCCCAGCTACTCAGGAGGCTGAGGCACGAGAATCGCTTGAATCTGGGAAGCAGAGGTTGCAGTGAGCCAAGCTTGCACCACTACACTTCAGGCTGGGCAACAGAGTGAGACTCCATCTCAAATAAATAAATAATAAAGCCATTCAACTAAAGAACCGATTATCAAGCAGAAGCACAAAGCCCAGGTTCCATCAGGTTTTTAATTGTACATCAGTGACTGTGAAAAAGCAATTATTTCCATAATTAATATACAAACTATAAAAAAACAGACTCAAAGAAAAGAAAGATGACAGAGTGAAAGAAGGTACATTTCTTTCATGTTCAAACCACGGAGTTCACAACACAGCAGCACACACAGCCGGGCGCTTTGTGGTCTCGGCACCCTCGGCTTCCCCTTCACGAGGCCGCTTTCGACTAGTAGAAGGCTGAAAATAAAGGAAAATGGAGAAATGTTCAAAAGAAAATCACTGGCTTCTTTAAGATTATCAAAGTTCCTCAATGTACTTCCAGTAAAGTGGGGGCATTTGATGTGAAATTCTAGTACCAAAAATTACTGGTTTTCATCATTGACAACTGAGTCCTCATCACAGCCCGCAACTCAGACATGCTTATCTAATAGATATTTCTCTCCCTTATGGCTTCTGACCTCTGAATGATGTATACTGAAAGCAAGTAGCATAACCAACTTCCTCTTGATCATCCTCTTCTAAATATCAAGTTTAAAAGGACTACAATACCTCTCAGTTGAAGCCCCAAGTCTTGGTCTTTTGCGGGAAGACAACCTTTGTGCCTTAGTTGTTTTCCCATATGCAAAATTGGGAGGAAGGCTGGGTGTGGTGACTCACACCTGTAATCCAAGCACTTTGGGAAGCCGAGGTGGGTAGGTCATTTCAGGTCAAAAGTTCGAGACAAGCCTGACCAACATGGCAAAACCCCATCTCACCTAAAAATACAAAAATTAACTGGGCACAGTGGCGGACACCTGTAGTCCCAGATACTCAGGAGACTGAGGCAGGAGAACTGCCTGAACTCAGGGGGCAGAGGTTGCAGTGAGCTGAGATTGCACCACTGCACTCTGGCCTGAGTGACAGACTAAGAGTCTGTCTCAAGAAAATAAAAATCGGGGGGGAGAAAACAGTGGGAAAAAGGACAGCTACCATTCAACAACAACAACAACAAAAAAGCAGGACTGGAATTAACTTATACTCACAAAGAACTTTAAAGAATAAAATTGTAATCAAGGAATCAACTACGGACCCAAATTTTAATTTTCCAACAAATTTATATTTGAGCCTCTAATAGAGTCTTTTGAAATTGCCTTGCAGGTGACCTTTTGGATGACAATCCCTAGCTGTGCTTATCTGTCTATTATGTGTTAGATATTAAACATAACCTGCATTTTTAAATCTAAGGGTGCTAGAGTGAATCAAGTTCAAAGAGAGTTTCTACTACATTATAACTGAAACAATGTTAAGCAATTATTACTCAGGAAAATCTTGAATTTCATCTCTTTACTTATCAGCTCCTTAAGCCTAGACTACATTTAGTGATCATCAGGAATACGAATACCTGGGCTAGAACCTGGGATAGACCTGTGGATTCATTTTCCTCAGACAGAAGATCTTGAAACTTTCTCTTCATGTCTTCATCCTGTGAGGGAATTAAAAACATAAGTAGCTGTGTCTGAAGGATAATAAACTCCTAGAATGACAGGGCTAGCATGCCCCTGTGGAAAGAGGGAGGAAAAGATGTCCGTCCAAGAATCATCCCCTTGATGAAGCTCCCACAGCGAAGGCATTATGTGTTGCCCCCCTCTACCTTCCCAGAGGAGTCAAATTAGCAGTCAATGCTCCATCAATCCTGGCTGACTCACATCCACATGCCTAAAAGCTCTCAGTGGGTCAATCACAGCCTCCGGCAGTCAAGAGTTTCTGAATTAGCATCCCAGATCCTGAGAAAGGTGACAATCAGGGGGCCAGGGGCTGGGTCTGACTCCGTGCAGCTCCTCAAATCCTTCCAGGACAACTCTCCACCTGCTGCCCCTGCCATGAATGAGGCCAGTCACCCAGGCTGTCCTAACAACCAGCCCAGCACCCTAGGAAAATTCACCCAGCAGATGCCATACAAATTTTCAGAAGTACTTAAGGCCACAATATCCCAGAGCTCAGGTCTAATGAGAAAGGGAGACAATAAACATAACAAAGCATTACAGCTGTTTCATGCTGCAGGAGCGGGAGATGAGGAGGGCACAGACAGTGGGTATACGAGTAGCTCCCACCTCTCTGGATGCTTACTTCTGCAGGGTTCAAGGATTTGCATTAGGAAACCCTGAGAGGTGGTCTGATGCAGCTCTCCCCAACTTCAGCAAGGTGAAAGGAACATCTATAACTAGGAATGTGGCCTTTGAGTTCTGGCCAGAAGCCCAGCTCAGCCACTCACAGGTGGCATGTGCAGAATACAGACCCAGAGTTATCTGACTCCAATGCCTCATGTACTTTCCCACCCAACTCCAGCCCCTCCTCCCACTGAGCCAAGCATACCACAGTGGGGAAAGAGAGAGGATACAGTAAAGTCCTCCACCATTTGGCAATTTGATGGATATGGAAATTTTACAACACTAGGTTGGGCATGGTGGCTCATGCCTATAATCCCAGCACTTTGGGAGGCCAAGGTGGGAGATTTGCTTGAGGCCAGGCATTTGAGACCAGCCTGGGCAACATACTGGGACTTTGTCACTACAAAAAAATTTAAAAATTAGGCCAGGCACAGAGGCTCACGTCCGTAATCCCAGCACTTTGGGAGGCCAAGGCGGGCGAATCACCTGAGGTCGGAAGTTTGAGATCAGCCTGGCTAACATGGTGAAACCCCGTCTCTACTAAAAATACAAAATTAGCCAGGCGTGGTAGTGCATGCCTGTAATCCCAGCTACTCAGGAGGCTGAGGCAGGAGAATCGCTTGAACTCGAGAGGTGGAGGTTGCAGTAAGACAGGATCACACCACTGCACTCCAGCCTGGGCAAAAGACTACGACTCTGTCTCAAAAAAAAAAAAAAAAAAAAAAAAAATTTAAATTAGCCAGACACGGTGGCATGCACCTGTAGTCTCAGCTACTTGGGAGGCTGGGGCAGGAGGATCACTTGAGCCTGAAAGTCATGGTGCAGTGATCATGCCACTGCACTCCAGCCTAGGTGAGACAGCAAGACCCTGAGGAAGGAAGAAAGGAAAGAAGCAAGGAAGGAAAAAGGGGGGGGGATGAAAGAGGGGAGGGGAAAGGAATGGAGGAGAGGGGAGGGGGAAGGAAGGAGGAAGAAAGAAAGAAGGAAAGAAGGACCAGGCACAGTGGCTCATGCCTGTAATCCCAGCACTTTGGGAGGCCAAGGCAGGGCAGATCACTTGAGGTCACTCTGTTTTGAGTTTCTCAGTGTAGCTCTCCATTGCCATTTGACAGCAGCAAGCTCATCTGGATTCCTCTCCGCACCCTCTCACAGCCTTACTTAGGATCTCAATTATCTTGCAGTGTCACTCTCAAAAGTCCACCTCTTGGCAGCCCTTCAGTGAAGCCAAACAGAGCGGTCACAAGCCTAATCAGGCTTATATTTAAAACAAGTAATCAGGTCAGGCACAGTGGCTCATGCCTGGAATCCCAGCACTTTGGGAGGCCAAGGTGGGTGGATCACCTGAGGTCAAGAGTTCGAGACTAGTCTGACCAACATGGTGAAACCCCATCTCTACTAAAAATACAAAAATGAGCTGGGCATGTGGCAGGCACCTGTAATCCCAGCCACTTGGGAGTCTGATGCAGGAGAATCACTTGAACTCAGAGGTGGAGGTCACAGTGAGCTGAGATCACACCATTGCACTCCAGCCTGGTAGACAAAAGTGAGACTCCATCTCAAAAAAGGCAATAAATAAATAAACATTGATTTTCTTCATAATGTCTACAATTATTCCAAAATATTAAATTAGCCAGGAACAGTGGCTCGTGCCTATTATCCAAGCACTTCATGAGGCTGAGGTGGGAGGATCCCTTAAGTCCAGGAGGTCGAGGCTGCAGTGAGCTGTAATTGCACCAGTGCACTCCAGTTTAGGCAACAGAAGAAGTCCTTGTCTCCAACAATAAATAAAATAAAAATTAAATTATAATATCCCTTGAAAGCAAACAGAAGAAATCCTCTATTTCAGGCAGTAAATATGAGGCAGACAGTAGATGTAAGGGATGCTCCCAAAACTGGGCACTCTGTTAATGACAAAACAGAGACCAGAATCCACATTCCCAACACTCAGTCCAGCGCCAGAACCACAAAACCATTTGGTTTTTGTGAAAACACTGAATTTTCCCAAAATAAAACCCAAACTATCACTAACAGATGTTTTAGATGGTCAGTCTTCATCTTTGTCTTCATTCAATGCTCATTCCTCCTTTTACTGCAAAAACAAAAGGTGGCTAAAAGAGTATTCCAGGGAGATTCTGCAACGGAGTTGAACTTCACCTTCTCCTTGGTTGTTAATAAGTTTTCTTTGAGACAAAGAAGCACAAGAAAAATAGGCTATGCTTGCTCATAAATTTCAGGCAGATGCAAACCCTGTTCCCAGGCTCAACTGGCCAGCTCTGTTTTTTTGCTAGAGATGAACACAGCTCCTGTACCTCTACATTTAGAACCAAGAGTTTCCCTATTAGGACACATGAAAAGAGCCAAAAGACATGTTTCTCTTTTTCATCAAAATTAAAATCCCCACATGCAAAGGCACCCTTTGTTTCCAAACCCCCTTCCTCTAGGTTCCTGCTGTTTCAAATCTGTGTGGTCTATTAAATGCTAAATCATCTGACAGATTTCTTCTGGGGAGACTATAGTTTCCAGGGCAACATCCAAAACACATATATCTGTCTTTTTTTTTTCTTAAGTTTTTGTTGTTCTCAACCTGAGCTGGCCTGAGCAAAACTGTTAGGTGTAGAGGATTAGAACAGAGAATGGGGACAGTCTTCCCAGAGTCCCAGAAGTACGGGGCTGAGGCTGGATTTCCCAAGGAGTTCCTGGACCAGTAATCCCCAGAGAAACAGCATTTAGCTCAAGTAACAGCCTCTAGCTCAAGCTACCAGTTCTGTCCCCCATCTCCACAGAAAACGGATTGATACAGTTTGGCTTTGTGTCCCTATGCAAATCTCATCTCAAATTGTAATCCCCAGGTGTTGAGAAAGGGACCTGTTGAGAGGTGATTGGCTCATAGGGGCAGTTCCCCCCAGGCTATTCTCATGATAGTGAGTGAGTTCTCACGAGATCTGACAGTTTCATAAGAGGCTCTTCACCCTTCACTTCCTTCACAAGCTCTCTCACCTGCTGCCATTAAGACATGCCTTCTTCCCCTTCCACCATGATTATAAGTTTCCTGAGGCCTCCCCAGCCATGTGGAGCTGTGAGTCAGTTAAAGCTCTTTTCTCTATAAATTACCCAGTCTTGGGCAGTTCTTTATAGCAGTGTGAGAACAGACTAATACACAGACCAAAAGAAAATTAATAGAAAGGGGCATGGCTGTGCTGAATGGAACTGCTCGTTACAGAAGACCAGACATCTATCAGAAAAACCTGCCCAATGCCGTAGCTAATTCCAAAACTAAAGATTAACCCAGCAAAGCCACAATGTACTTCCAACTCTTGGCAGTTCCAAATGAGGTCAGCATTTAATAATGGCAGCCCCTAACCCTAGCAGGAGCACAGCAGTAACACAGATGAAAGGTGCAGGTGACAGCCTTCACTAAGGACACATTTACTCATCTGAATGAACAAGCAGTGGGACCCTTTATACCCAGTCACTTGGGCTTGAGAAATAGCTGGATTCTCCCCAGGGAGGCTGCCCTCCTCCCCCAGTTCCCTGATTTAAGGTTGAAGATGGCTGGAATGCACCCCACCTGTGAAGAACAGTGGACATGGCTTGGGGTAGAGCCAGAACAAGACCTCAAAAGGACACAGGCCAAACTGGAGACTCGGGGCAGCCAGGTGGAACCAGAACAGGACATAAAGTGAGCTTGTACATCCAACAGCCATGAGTAACATCAAAAAGGTTGTAGCCTGGCCAACACGGCAAAACCCCATCTCTACAAAAAATACAAAAAGTAGCTGGGCGTGGTAGCATGCACCTTTAATCCCAGCTACTTGGGAGGCTGAGGCAGGAGGATCACTTGAACCCGGGGGGCAGAGGTTGCAGTGAGCTGAGATTGTGCCACTGCACTCCAGCCAGGGAGACAGAATGAGAACCTGTCTCAAAAAAGGAAAAAAAAAACAGGTTGTAACCCATCTGCCAAGATACTCCCCCAATACATTAAAACAATTAAACAGATTCAACAAAGTAAATATGTTTCTGTCCTCTGTCTCATGTCTCTCATGCAGCAGGGCTTCCCATGTATTTTATGCTAGCAGGCACTGTCCCACACCCACCTGAAACCATGGTGTCTTAAGGCTTCTTCTGTCGTAAAACATGCCTTTGGATCCACTACCAACAACTTCTTGACAAGGTCCAGAGCTAAAGCAACAATTGGGCAAATCACAGTGAAAAGTATAAATATATTATCAGTAACAGTATGCCAGAATTAACAGGTCACCATCCAGAAAGAGCAGAGAGGGTCTGAGATCATCAGGGAGTCAGCAGACAGGGCCCCTTAATCTTCCTCATTCTCTGTATTCAGAGTACTGTGAGAAGACCAGGAATGACAATGACACTCCCTGTCTCCTGCTGCTGGGACATCAGTCACTACCTCTTCGTTGCCTGTTCCCTCTCTTGTTGCTAGACTCGAGGTCAAACTAATTAAAGCTAAACTTCTACCCAATTCTAAGATAACTGGGATGCACAGCAAACTCTCCCTGACATCTACAGATGGATGGGTGACAGTTACTCAGCCAGGGAGAGGCTCCCTGGAACTGCAGACTTGTCAGAAATAAAACTTGACTACTCCAGCAAGCAACAAATGCACGCTGGCCTGTATATTACAACATTATTATTCCTTAAATATTCTGACATTTAACACAATCACCTATGTTATGTTATTTGACATTTAATTTTCTACTTTCTCTTCAGGGAACTAAAGTTGCCAGGATAAATTATAAAATATAAGGTAACTAAAGACATCTAGTTTTTACACGCTTGCTTACTCAAAGGAAACCTTGTAACTAAAAAGTTACAAGTGCATTTATTTTGCTCATTAAAATAGGTACCAGGCACTTGTGTACATTATCCCTAACCCTCAAAAACCTTTTAAGGTAGGGATTATTGAGGGTCCCTTTACACAGAAAGAAATTGGAGACAGAGGTTAAATAACTTGCCTAAGGCCACACAGCTAAGTAGTAGCAGACCCAGGACCTGAGTGCATGCTCTTAATAATTTCCAGTGCCTCTCAAATGGTGTGAAACTAACGATAGAAAATAAGAACAGAATTGACAGGAGAAAACACCATGGAATTTGGAGAGAAACTCCCACCACAGGACACACACATTTTAGAATACCACAAATTCTTAACCCTTTCATATTCATACCTTTCTCTGAGATTTCTGCCCAGACTTTAGGAATGAAGTTGTGTTTTCCACTGGTGATCTGATCCTTCAGTGACACTTGAGTCCTATGCTCAGAGAAAGGTGGATACCCACTAAGGCTTAATAATGGTAGAGAGAGAAAGGAAAAGAAATCAAGTGGCATTCTCAGTGGCATTCAGATATAAAGATTTCTTTTTCAGCATAATGAAAAGTCTGATTTTTCTTTAAATCAATGGTCAAAAAGTGAGCTAGGCTGGGCACAATGGCTCATGCTTGTAATCCCAGTACTTTGGGAGGCCGAGGGAAGAGGATCACTTGAGCCCAGGAGTTCAAGACCAGCCTGGGCAACATGGCAAAACCCCATCACTACAAAAAATAGAAAAATTAGCTGGGCATGGTGGTGTGCGCATGTAGTCCCAGCTACTCGGGAGGCTGAGGTGGGAGGATCACTTGACCCAGGAGGCAGAGGCTACAGTTAGCCAAGATCAAGCCACTGCATGCCAGCCTGGACAACAGAGCAAGACACATTTGTGACTTCATCTAATCACCTCCTACCAGTCTGTGAAGCAATGAAAATATTTCTTACCAGATAAAAAGAATAACTCCTAAAACCCAGCAGTCCAACACAAACAAGAACTTCAGGAGCCAAGCAGGTGGGGGTTCCACATAAGGTTCTCACGAGAGAGGTCTCTCCCAAAATCTTGGAGTGCCCAAAATCAGTAATCTAAAATTCAGTACAAAAGGGAATAATGTTGAACTTGTCATAAAATAAAAAGATTAACATAGTCTGCCAGTCCAAGAAGGCACGTAGGCTAGATCAGTTTCTATTGTACAATTCACACCTGCCATTAATCTGGAATCTACAGATTCATGTCTTTGCAAGTTAAGACATTTAACTTTGCTTAAATTAAAATTCCTGAGCCTAGGAATCTCAACACTCAGGCTTTCCAACTTAACCTATGTCCTCTGTAATCTTACAAAAAGCTTATTACCTTTATCACAGACACTTCAGGATTCTAATTAGTTCTACATGTTTCTTAGACCCCACTGTCTCAAACATGGCTGCGCTATGGAATACCTGTGGAGCTTGGAAAAACATGCTTATACCTGAGTGCCACTCTCAGCTTCTGAGGTAAAGCCTGGGTATCATAAATCCTAACAAGAGATTCTAAAGTGATGCCAGGCTTGATAAACAGGGAAAGGCAGGGCATGTGATTACACTCATTCATTCATTCACCTATTCTGCTCAAAGGGAGACAGTGTCCCCAAGGTCTGTGCTGAGGAGAAAGCTGCTCTGCCTTCGAGGTGTACCCCGGGTCTGTGCTGAGCAGAACGCAGCTCCGCCCTCGCGGTGCCCCCGGCCCGCCCGCCCGGGTCTGTGCTGAGGAAAACACTGCTCCGCCTTCGCTGTATCTCCGAAGTCTGTGCAGAGGAGAACTCAGCTCGCCCTCACGATGCAATCTGGGTCTGTGCTGAGGAGAGCGCAGCTCCGCCCTCGCAAAGGCGCACAGCGCGGGCGCAGGCGCAGAGAGGCGCACATTTTATGAATAGCAAATCAATTTCTCCCTGTTCCTCTTACATCGAGGCTGGACACACGTTTACAGGGGATCAGTGTGAAGGGAAGCTGGTGAGGCTGCCTGAGAAGCCCCCTGCCTGCGTCTCCCAGTGGACTCCTTGGGAGCGCCCCCTCCCCTGCTCTGCCCAACAGCGCCTGAACTGTGGCCACTTGCACTCCTGTTGCCTACCCAGTGGCTTGAACTCCAGAACTTGCCACCCTTCAGTGGAATTCCTGGAGGAGTGAGGAGCTCTGTGCTATGCTTGGCCACCGAACATGGGCCATCTCTCCTATTATGGTTTGAAATGTACCGTAGTGTCTTGTTTGGTAATTGTATAATAATATGGGGAGACTGTGCGGGTGTCTGCTAGCTTGTCTGCTGGTTCTTACTCATGGTGCCTTCTTCCCTTTCAGACTTGGATATCTTTGTGTGCTTCTTGGGGCCCTTGGAAGGGTGTCTGTGGGGTTTCCGTGAGGCCAAAGACAGAGGTTCCTTCTCACGAGGATGGTGTTTGCTTTCACATGGACAGCCCAGACCACCTGGAACCAAGTGCACAGAAGCCCCACCATCCCCGGGCCTCCCAGTTGTGATGGGTGAGCGGTCCAAGTCCGCAGGAGGCCAGAGGCTCTTTGTGGTTGAATCTGTGAGTTTCCTTTCCTTTTTCCCTCCCACTCCTTTTAATGCTAATGAATTCCTTGTTTGGGGGCAGGGGCCAGGGTTATCTCTTCTTCTGTCTTCACCCAAGGTGAGGCCTTTCAGGCTCCCAGCTTGATATGGGGGTGAATCCCCTATCAGCCTCCTCATACCTTGACCTCTGTCTACCCCCCTACTCCCTCCAAGGTCGAAGCCCAACTTGCCAGGTTGGCAAATGCTCACAGGCAACAATGGCCCCAGCGCTCCTCCCTAGGTTCTTGATTTTCCCCTGAAACTTGGCCTGGAGGTTTCCTACTAGCTTAGCAGCCCTTTGATGCTTTTAACGTAATTTTGTTATTATTTTATCCAAAATTCTTGCTTGTTTTAAGAGGGAAAGCAGGTCGGCCATTACTGCACAGAGAATCTGGGACAGTTATTATAACCATAGAAATTTATTTTCCATGTGCTGTCCCATCTTCTTGATGAGACAGATGTTTAACAGCTGGAGAACTGGACCCCGTATTTGTCCCCATCTTGCCTAGCAACAGAAGGTAGTCACTAATCAGGGATTTTCGAGCCCATTGCTTAAGGCCTTCATTGACCCAAAGGATAGTGGGTCCCTGCTCCTCTTCCTGCGGAGAGGCCCAGGTGCCCAGAGGGCCCTCCTGGCTTGGCTGCCTACAGAGTGGCTGATGAAGTGTCCGCTGTGCGCACAGGACACCCAGCCCCACTCCTCCCCAGGCAGCCCCTCAAACAGCTGTTGCTCTGCCTGCTTCGGCTGTGGACCTGAGGCTGAGAGGCTGAGCCATCGCCCTGAGCCGCATGCAGGGGAGTGGCAGGCCTGGACCCAGTGCCCAGACCTGGCTCACCTGACCTTACTTTTTCCACTGTGCCTGCTTCTCCCTCCCAGGCTCTGTGACCTTGGGCAGCCATGGCCATCCTGTGCCCATTCCCAGCTGTAAAATGAGAGGCTGGGCTGGCTGATCTCAAATGTCCCCTGCCAGCCTGAGATTCTGTGTTGTGTCCTGGGGTGTGACTGTGACATGCCACCAAAGGCAGCTGCCAGTGCTCATGAGGGAGGCCTTTTTCCTGAGTTAAGGCAGGTGGGGGGACTGGGGGTGAGTTGAGGGACTGGGAGGTGGGGGAAGCACACAGACAGTCCTCCCCAGCTGAGCGCTCATGGTGAATTACCTTCAGTCCCAGGCTCAGTGCTTTGGAAATGCTCTCAGGCCCAGCACCCAGGCCTGGAACCAGCCTCCAGGCCCCTGGCCCTCCCTTTCTCTACTGGAATCTTCCAGACCGAGGCAGGTCAGCTGAAAGTCACCGACTCTGCCTTCCACAAACTCATAGCTGACAGACCATTCCATGTCCCCTCCCAGCCCCGTCCCAGGAGCGGAACTCACTTTGCCTTCCCACCCTCCAGGCCGACTCACTGTCCGTCACTCTCTGGGTCCCACCCACTGTCCCACCGACTTCATTGGTCTAAAAATATGCTCTGGCATCTTGTTGGAAAGCAGCAGGAATGATGGGCCCTGCTGATAAGGTGAAGAAAGTGACCCGAGGGGGCAAACTTACGGACGGGACATACTTTGGCAAAACAACAAAACAGCGGGACCTGAAGGCTGGCTTCCCAAGCGTCCTCAAGGCCTTGTGCCAGGAACAGGACCCTCGGGCTTAGGAAAGTGAAAACCAGGCTCAGGTCCCTCACCCAGACCCTTCTGCCCGCTTTGGGAGGGAGCCCAAGAAGTCAGCTAGGGAGGGACCTCCCGGTGGGACCTGAGTCCTGATTGGAACTTTCTGGGGGCTTTCTTGGCATTTTACGTGTGTTGTCACAACTCCTTGATGGGAGAATTAAGCATGGTCTGTGGGATTCCACTGGGAGAGGACCCCTAAAAGCCTGGGCCGGGCCTCCTCCCAATTTCACCCCATATGCCTTTCCCTTTGCTCATTATGCTTTGTGTCTTTTGCTGTAGTAAACCGTAGCCATGACTTTTGCAAGTCCTCCTAGATTAACACTGAACTTGGGGGTGGTTTTAGGGACCCTGACGTACCTATGGATGTCAACTTGCTTTAGCACTATTTGTTGAAACAATAATCTTTTCCACATTGAATTGATTTGGCACTTTTGTTCAAAATCAATTGTAAAGATTTGCTACATGAATGTAAACATTTATTCCTGGACTCTTTTGTTGTTTTTTTCATGAGATGGAGTCTCGCTCTATCACCCAGGCTGGAGTGCAGTGGTGCAATCTCAGCTCACTGCAAGCTCCGCCTCCTGGATTCACACCATTCTCCTGCCTCAGCCTCCTGAGTAGCTGGGACTACAGGTGCCCACCACCACACCCGCCACCACGCTCTACTAAAAATACAATTTTTTTTTTTGTATTTTTAGTAGAGACGGGGTTTCACCATGTCAGCCCGGATGGTCTCGATCTCCTGACCTCGTGATCCATCCGTCTTGGCCTCCCAAAGTCCTGGGATTACAGGCATGAGCTACCACACCTGGCCTATTCCTGGACTCTTATTCTGTTTAATTGCCTATTTTTATGTCAGTACCATGCTATCTTGATGACTATGGCTTCTTAGTAAGTTTATTTTTTATTTTTTATTCTTTTTGGGGATGGAGTTTCTCTCTTGTTGCCCAGGCTGGAGTGCAGTGGTGTGATCTTGGCTCACTGCAACCTCTGCCTTCCAGGTTCAAGTGATTCTCCTGCATCAGGCTCGCGAGTAGCTGGGATTATATGCGTCTGCCACCACACCTGGCTAATTTTTTTGTATTTTTAGTAGAGATGGGGTTTCACTGTGTTGACTAGGCTGGTCTCGAACTCCTGACCTCAGGTGATCTACCCGCCTCAGCCTCCCAAAGTGCTAGGATTACAGACATGAGCCACCATGCCCAGCCCAGCTTCTTAGTAAATTTTAAAATCAATATGTTTTCCAACTCTGTTCTTATTTTTCAAAATTATTTTGCCTATTGTAGGTTTTTTTTTTGCATTTCCATTCAGCTTGCCGAGTTTTATTAAAAAGGTTACTGGGATTTTGATTGAGGTTGCATTGAATGAATGTACCAACTAAGGAGGCTTGACATCTTGACAATAATGAGCCTTCCCATCCGTAAACATGGAATAGCTCTTCTTTTAATATATCTCAGCATTGTTTTGTAGTTTTCAGTTTACATGTCTTGTGATTCTTTTGTTTATTCCTGAGTATTTTATTCTTTTTGATGCTATTGTGAATGGAATGGTTTTCTCAGTTTCAAGATTGTTCAGTGCTATTATATAGAAATTGAATTGGCCAGGCACAGTGGCTCATGCCTGTAATCTCAGCACTTTGGGAGGCTGAGGCAGGAAGATTGCTTGAGCCCAGGATTTCTGGGCCAGCCTGGGCAACATAGTGAGACTCCATCTCTACAAAAAAAATACAAAAATCAGCCAGCGTGGTGGTGTGCACCTGTAGTTCCAGCTCCTTGGGAGGCTGAGGCTGGAGGATGGCTTCAGCCTGGGAAGTTGAGGCTGTAGTAAGCCATAATGGTGGCATTGCACTCCAGCCTAGGTGACAGAGTGATACCCTGTCTAGAGAAAAAAAAAAAGAATTGATTTTTGTATATTGATTATACCCTGTGACCTTGCTAAATTTATTAGTACTAATATTTATTTTATGGATGCCTTAGGATTTTCTATATATAAGATAATGCCATCTGTAAATAAAGACAGTTTTATTTTTTCCTTTCTAATCTGGATGCCTTTAATTTCTTTATTTGCCTCATTGATTAGAAATAGCAAAAGTGGGCATCTTTGCCTTGTTTGTGGTGAGAAGAGGAAAGCAGTCATTCACCACAAAGTGTGATGTTAACTGTGGGTTTTTATAGGTGTCTTTTATCAGATTTCATAAATTCTCTTTTATTTCTACTTTGTTGAGAATTTTTATTATGAATCTGTGATGGATTTTGTCATATAGTTTTTCCAATATCTGTTGAAGTCACCATGTGTTTTTTGTCCTTTATTCTGTTAATATAATATATTATATTGATTTTCAGATGTTAAACCTACCTTGCATTCCTGGGATAAATCCCACTTAGTTATGGTGTATAATCCTATTTATATGTTGCTAGGCTTGGGTTGCTAATACTAGTTTACAGAATGAATTGGGAAGCATTACCTCTCCCTTCATTTTCTCATTCATTTATTTTATTTTACTATCATATATATATATATATATAATTTCATATTATCTTATTTTAGTTTTTAGAGACAGTGTCTTGCCCTGTCACCCAGGCTGGATTGCGGTGGTGTGATCATAGTTCACTGCAGTATCAACCTCCTGGACTCAAGCGATCCTCCTGCCTGGGACTATAGGCATGCACCACCATGCCCAGCTAATCATCCATTTCTTTCTTTTTTTAAAACAAATTTTATGTTTATTTATTTATTTATTTGGATTTCTCCTACCGAAAGGAATCATTCTTTTTTTTTTTTTTTTTTTTTTGAGAGGGAGCCTTGCTCTGTTGCCCAGGCTGGAGTGCAGTGGCACAATCTCAGCTCACTGCAACCCCTATCTCCCAGGTTCAAGCCTCAGCCTTCTGCATAGCTGGGACTACAAGCGTGCGCCACCACACCCAGCTAGTTTTTGTGTTTTTTATTAGAGACAGAGTTTCACTATATGTTGGCTAGGCTGGTCTCGAACTCCTGACCTCAGCTGATCCACCTGCTTCGGCCTCCCAAAGTGCTGGGATTACAGATGTGAACCACCACGCCTGACCCGAATCATTCATTTCTTTTCAAGTGGATATCTTACGGTATTTTAGGGCATGGCTAGGAGCAGTTTTGTTTTCTCTTCTCAAGACAGAGTTTTTGTAGGATGTCATAGAGTTCATGTCTGCAGCTCACAGTGTCATTGCCTGTGTCCCCAGCTCCACGTACTGGCAGGTGTGCTGCAAGCTGGGCAGGTGCTCTGTGTCCGTGGGATACCTTACCCGACACTCCCGGCCCTCCTCTGCAAGCCGTGCCCTGATCCTCCCTGCAGGGACTGGGGATTGGGTCTGCTCACCCAGAAGCTGGGATACCTGGCTGAGGGCACTTCTCTCCCTCTTCTCTTTGAACAGAGTGGCCGCAAACCCAAAGGTGCGGGAGCAAGTGCGGCTGGAGCTGAGCTTCGTCAACTCAGACCTGCAGATGCTCAAGGAAGAGCTGGAGGGGCTGAACATCTCAGTGGGCGTCTATCAGAACACAGAGTAAGTGGGAGCAGCACACCTTCCAGAAGCCTCTGAGCCAGAGATCCTTCATACATCCAGGGTATGAAGAGGTACCTGGGTACGAACCCTATCTGCACAGAGGCTAGATAGGGTTCTAGACTGGGGTGTGGCAGCCCCAACTTTGGGAAGTGAGAGAACCATCAGCTTTGGGGTTGAGTGAGGTGCTAGACTGGAAGGGATGAGCCCATTTGTTGGGAAATATCTGCAGTGTTGAACAAAAAGGCATTTGTGAGGCCGGGCACAGTGGCTCACTCCCATAATCCCAACACTTTGGGAGGCTGAGGCATGTGGATCACCTGAGGTCAGGAGTTCGAGACCAGTCTGGCCAACATGGTGAAACCCCGTCTCTACTAAAAATAAAAAAAATAGCCGGACATGGTGGTGCACACTTGTAATCCTGGCTTCTCAGAGGCTGAGACAGAATTGCTTGAACCCGGGAGCTGGACATTTCAGTGAGCCGAGATCACACTACTGTACTCCAGCCCGGCTGACAGAGCAAGACTCTGTCTCAAAACAGACAAACAGACAAAAAAAAAAAAAAAACAAATGAAGACAGTATAAAATCTAGTGTAAATATATGTGATGAACCAAGATAAGTTTAAAAGTTAGATGCCTTGGATTTTATAGTTAATTTTCAGTAATTCCGCATAGTCACATTTCATAGACATGCAAACATTAGCAAGATATGTTATTAAATTCAACTGAACAGACATTGAGCAAGGATATTTTAGTGAGTCACCATAATTTTCCTAAGGACATTGTTAGGACAATACCTTTCCAATGTTGGCTAATTATTTTCTCATTTATTTGCCAAGGAACAAAAAGCATACGCAAATACTTCGGGATTAAGGCCAAAGGCCAAAATTGACCCTGTAAGGGGAGGCCACTATGCACACACAGAGATTCTGTGCACTGTACTTACGTTGGACTGCAGTCTGTTTCCTAGCTGGAGGTGACAAACTGAAACAGAAAAATCCAAATTAAAACAAAGTAACACACCAGTCTCCTTTTAAGGTTGTATTTCTTTTTTTTTTTTTTTTTTTTTTTTGACACAGAGTCTCCCTCTCTCACCCAGGTTGGAGTGCAGTGGCGAGATCTCAGCTCACTGCAATCTCCACCTCCTGGGTTCAAGCGAATCTTGTGCCTCAGCCACCTGAGTAGCTGGGATTGCAGGTGTGCACCATCACACTTGGCTAATTATTATTATTATTATTATTATTTTTGTAGAGACAGGGTTTCATCATGTTGCCCAGGCTGGTCTTGAACTCCTGGTCTCAAGTAATCTGCCCGCCTTGGCCTCCCAAAGTGCTGGGATTACAGATGTGAGCCACTGTGCCTGGCTCCTAGGTCAATTTTGAAGGCACTTTATCATATCATTCTCCATAACTCAATTTTGGAATCGATTTCTGCAAGGTGAAAGCCAACAACACCATCCCTCAGAATTGCAATACATCTCCAAAAATGGAGATCTAACTATGAAAGAAATGCCCCTCTTGCCTCATGCCTGTAATCCCAGCTCCTCAGGAGGCTGAGGTGGGGGATCGCTTGAGCCCAGGAGTTCAAGGCCAGCCTGGGCAACTTAGTGAAACCCCATCTCTACAAAAAATAGGAAAATTAGCCGGGCATGGTGGTGCACACCTGTAGTCCCAGCTACTCAGAAGGCTGAGGTGGGAAGATCACTTGAGCCAGGGAGGTCGAGACTGCAGTAATGGCAACAGAAAGAAGTCCTGTCTCAAAAAACACAAAAACAAAACCAAACCCTAAGTGAAATGCTTCTTTTTAAGGAGAAATAACTTTGAGACAGTTCAAAGAAGGGTTTACGTGCTTTTTCAGTGTGGGCATGAGACTTCTCAAAAAGTAGGTGGGCCCCAGGGGAAACTCAGTTGGAAAATAGCTCCCTGGATTTGGAAACCTTGAGTCACCTATGGAATGTGTGTTTCCTGGTGCTGGTCCTCCACAGGGCACCGGGGTGGTTTCAGAGCTGGAGGGGAAGCGTCAGAAGTGTCTGTCATGGATATGCTTTGAAATTTAAAACTTACATCCTCTTTTATTAATAGCGTATTTTTTTCTTAAATCATGTATCCAGTTTAGGTTATGTCTTTGGAAGAATAGCTAAAGTTTTTTCTCTAACATTTTATTATGAAAATTTCCAAACTTTTCAAAAAATTTTAAGAATTTTCTAGCAAACCCCTGTGTACTCACTTCTTCCAAGAACATACTATCAGCATTGCTTCCTGACATATTTGTCCATCTGTGTATTCTTGTGTCTGTTAGGTTGGTTTGAAGGTAATTGCAGTTTTTGCCATTGAAAGTAATGGCTAAAGGCTGGGCACAGTGGCTCATGCCTGTAATCACAGCACTTTGGGAAGCTGAAGCAGGCAGATCACTTGAGCTCAGGAGTTGAAGACCAGGCTGGCTAAAATGGTAAAACCCCTGTCTCTACCAAACGTACAGAAATTAGCTGGACGTGGTGGTGCACACCTGTAATCCCAGTTACTGGAGAGGCTGAGGCAGGTGAATCATTCGAACCTGGGAGGTAGAGGTGGAGGTTGCAGGGAGCCAAGATCATGCATGCCACTGCCCTCCAGCCTGGGTGACAGAGTGAGATCCCATCTCAAAAAAAAAAAAAAATTAACTGGGCATAGTGGCATTTGCCTGTAATCCCAGTTACTCAAGAGGCTGAGGCATGAGAGAGGCGCTTGAACCCAGGAGGCAGAGGATGCAGTGAGCTGAGATTGTGCCACTGCACTCCAGCCTGGGCAACAGTGAAACTGTCTCAAAAAAAAAAAAAAAGAGAATGAAATTAATGGCTAATATCAGTCTGTCTTATTTGTGATGCAATTTCAAAGGAAATCAAAGATGTCAATTCACTCCCATTAAATATTTGAATAACCAGAGTCTTTGCTTGTGTGTCCCCCTGCCACATTCCTGGGTATCTGGACTCCTCTCCCATTTGGCAGATCCTCATAAGCCCACCTGTGCCTGGCACTGTGCTGGGTGCCAGAGGTGCCACAAGCCCTGCCTGCGGGGCCCTTGGGTCAGTGGGGGATTCAAGTGGGAAGTGGAAGGGGTGCTTCAATGGAGAACACAGGAGAGACCATGCCCCAATGCTGGGGCTGGGAGACCATCCTGTGCCTGGAATACCCTCCTCTTCCTTCCCTCTTCAACTCCATCAATTTGAGTTTTTAACCAGTCGCCTCCAAATTCCATCAAGGAGGGGAAAGGGGATGAGGTGCAGGGTGGCCCAAGTTTGCATCATGCAGCCCAGGCATTGGTTATAGGAATTAATCCTAGCATCACGAAAATTGCTTCGAAGAAATATTTTATGTTCTTTTTTTTTCTTTTTCTTTATTATTTTGAGACAGAGTCTCACTGTTTCACCCAGGCTGGCATGCAGTGGCATGATCTTGGCTCACTGCAACCCCTGCCTCCTGGGCTCAGTTGATCCTTCCACTTCAGCCTCCTGAGTAGCTGGTAATACAGACATGTGCCACCGTGCCTGGCTAATTGTTGCATTTTTCTTTCTTTTTTATTGAGATGGAGTTTAGCTCTTGTTGCCCAGGCTGGAGTGCAATGGCATGATCTCGGCTCACCGCAACCTCCACCTCCTGGGTTCAAGCGATTCTCCTGCCTCAGCCTTCCGAGTAGCTGGGACTACAGGCACGTGCCACCATGCCTGGCTAATTATGTATTTTTAATAGAGACGAGGTTTCTCCATGTTGGTCAGGTGGGTCTCGAACTCCTGACCACAGGTGATCCACCTGCCTTGGCCTTCCAAAGTGCTGGGATTATAGGCATAAGCCACCAAGCCCGGCCAATTTTTGTATTTTTCGTAGAGACAGAGTTTCCCACTGTTGCCCAGGCTGGTCTCAAACTCCTGGGTTCAAGCAGCCCTCCTGCCTCAGCCTCCCAAAGTGCTGGGATTATAGGCATGAGCCACTGTGCCTGGCTTATTTTACTTTCCATGATAATCCTCTTAGTTGGCTCATCTTGGACTACTTTTAGTTTAGAAAAGAAAACATCTTATGACATTTTGACTATTACTTTTTTTTTCTTTCTTTCTTTCTTTTTTTTTTTTTTTTGAGCTGGAGTTTCGCTCTTGTTGCCCAGGCTGGAGGGCAGTGACGGCCATCTCAGCTCACTGCAACCTCCACCTCCCAGGTTCAAGTGATTCTCCTGCCTCAGCCTCCTGAGTAGGTGGGATTACAGGCACCCGCCATCATGCCTGGCTAATTTGTGTTTTTAGTAGAGATGGGGTTTCACTATGTTGGCCAGGCTGGTCTCGTACTCTATCCACCCGCCTCGGCCTCCCAAAGTGCTGGGATTACAGGTGTGAGCCACCGCTCCTGGCCAACTACTACTTTTAAAAGCAATTGGTTAATACTTTGGAAGCACTTGACCTTCATTCTCAGAGACGGTGAGTTGTTTGACATAAATAGAGGCCTTTTTGACTGCTGCCTTGCTTAAATCCTGTGAGTTTGGGGTTTATTTTGGGACTGGAGAAGGGAAGTTGGTATTCTGAGTGTTTCAGGACTCAAGTTTACCAGAAAGTTTATGTTCTGGGTAGAAAGCAATGAAAACAATCCAGGAATTGCAGCTTTATGCCACACTGCCACAGCCTGCCTGAACTTTTACGTGAGACTTATGCCCAGATGCAATGGTTCACACCTATAATCTTAGCACTTTGGGAGGCTGAGGCAAGAGGACAGCTTGAGGCCAGGAGTTGGAGACCAGCCTGGGCAACAGAATGAGGCCTTCTCTCTCTCTCTCTCTTTTTTTTTTTTTTTTGAGACACAGTCTCACTGTGTTGCCCAGGCTGGAGTGCAATGGTGCGATCTCAGCTCACTGTAACCTCCACCTTCTGGGTTCAAGCAATTCTCCTTCCTCAGCCTCCTGAGCAGCTGGGACTACAGGCATGCACCACCATGGCCAACTAATTTTTGCGTGTATATATGTATATTTTTTTGAGATGAAGCCTCATTCTGTCGCCCAGGCTGGAGTACAGTGGCGTGATCTCGGCTCACTGCAAACTCCACCTCCCAGGTTCAAGCAATTCTCTGCCTCAGCCTCCTGAGTAGCTGGGGTTTTTCAGGAACCCACCACCACGCCGGCTAATTTTTGTATTTTTAGTAGAGACAGAGTTTCACCATCCTGGCCAGGCTGGTCTTGAACTCCTGACCTCATGATCCACCTGCCTCGGCCTCTCAGAGTGCTGGGATTAGAGGTGTGAGCCACTGCGCCAGGCTAATTTTTGTATTTTTAGTAGAGACAGGGTTTCACCATCCTGGCCAGGCTGGTCTTGAACTCCTGACCTCAGGTGATCTGCCCACCTTGGCCTTCCAAAGTACTGGGATTACAGGCATCAGCCACCATGCACAGTCATCTCTTTCTCTCTCTCTCTTTTTTTTTTTTCTTTTTTAAGAGATGGGGTCTCCTCACTATGATGCCCAGGCTGGTCTTCAGCTCCTGGCCGCAAGCGATCTTCCTGCTTCCACCTCCAGCAAAAGTGCTGAGATTATAGATGTGAGCCACCACACCCAGCCCCATCTCTATTTTTATTTAAAATATATGTGTGTATATATAAATGCAAAAATAGATGTGACTTGCCACTGGTCTGTGGGACTCAAAACAATCCACCTGTTTGGAAATGTCTGTTGCTGCTATTGTAGAAGTTTCTTTACGATATAATTTGTTTGTTGCTTGGTGCTGGGCTACAAGAATGTAAGCATTTTTTTTTGAGATGGAGTTTCACTCTTGTTGCCCAGGCTGGAGTCCAATGGCATGATCTCAGCTCACTGCAACCTCTGCCTCCTGGGTTCAAGCGATTCTCCTGCTTCAGTTTCACAAGTAGCTGGGATTACAGGCATGTGCCACCATACCCAGCTAATTTTTATTAGCAAAGACAGGGTTTCACCATGTTGGCCAGGCTGGTCTTGAACTCCTGACCTCAGATGATCCGCCTGCCTCAACCTCCCAAAGTGCTGGGATTACAGGCATGAGCCACTGCGTCCGGCCAAGAATGCAAGCATTTCAAAGGAAGAGTCTCTTGGAGAAACTTAGGAATTTTATAGGCATTTTTAAGGATTCAACTGGGTCATGTTCTGAATTCCACATTAAAGCAAATGAAAATATTCACATGTTGTGGACATGGCCAACTGCCATTCGGCACAGGCTTCCAACCATGTCATTTTAGCCTAAAAGAGACTCTACAAATGTCAGTCATATGAAAATGAGAACGTTTGAGGGATTTTCTGTTGTATTTTTTCCCTTCTATATTTGAGAGAAACACAGGTACTGCAGAAGTGGTTCAGCAGACTGAATTAGAGCAATTCCATTTCAAATGTGACTTGTGTGTCCGTGTGATTTTTTTAATAATCAGTGAAGCTTCACAGTGTGATTTTGTTTTATTTTATGTATTTATTTATTTAGAGAGGGAGTCTCGCTCTGAAGCCCAGGCCGGAGTGCAGTGGCACAGTCTTGGCTCACTGCAACCTCTGTCTCCCAGGTTCAAGCGATTCTCCTGCTTCAGCCTCCTGAGTACCTGGGATTACAGGCATCCACCGCCACACCCAGCTAATTTTTATATTTTTAGTAGAGACAGGGTTTCACCATGTTGGCCAGGCTGTTCTCGAACTCCTGACCTCAAGTGATCCACCCGCCTCAGCTTCCCAAAGTGTTGGGATTACAGGCGTGAGCCACTGCAGCTGGCTGATTTTGTTTTATTTTGAGGAAATAGGGCCAGGGACAGTGGCTCACACCTTTAGTCCCAGCTACTTAGGAGGCTGAGGTGGCTTGCTTGAGCCCAAGAGGTCGAGGCTGCAGTCAGCTGTGATTGAGCCCCTGCAGTCCATCCTGGAAAACAGAATGATACCTTGTCTCATAAAAAAAAAAAAAAAAAATTCGAATCAATGAAAGAAAATGAAATCACATCTGTTCTTCGGTAAAGTTTAATAGTTTTCTGCTTAATTGTATTAATTTTATCCCTAGAAATGTATTTTTGTTGCTATTGTGAAAGGTATTGTTTCTCTGTTAGGTTTTGTTTGTTTGTTTGTTTGTTTTTGAGACAGAGTCTCACTGTGTCGCCCAGGCTGGAGTACAGTGGTGCAGTCTTGGCTCACTGCAACCTCTGCCCCCCAGGTCCAAGTGATTCTCCTGCCTCAGCCTCCTGGGTAGCTGGGATTAGAGGCACCTGCCACCATACCCACCTAATTTTTTGTATTTTTAGTAGAGACAGGGTTTCACCTTGCTGGCCAGGCTGGTCGCAAACTCTTGACCTCAAATGATCCGCCTACCTCAGCCTTGAAAACTGCCAGGATTACAGATGTGAGCCACCACACCTGGCTGTCTGTTAAGTTTTTCTAATTGGTTATTGCTTGTATAAGAAAGGAAAAATATTGACTTTTCTTTTTTACTATTGACTTTCATGTGTTAACTTCTTTGCCACTTTATTGAATTCTTATTAATTTAGTAATGTTTCAGTTGATGCTATTGGGTTTTATAAACATGCTGTTGTGTTGCAAAAAATTATTTTGTTTCTTTCCAAGATTTTATGTCTCTTATTTTTCTTAATGTGTGGGCTAGAGAATGTTTGGAATTAGGCTAAGTAATAACAGTGATGGTAGAAATTCTCATTTTGTCCCTAATGTTTACAGTGGGTTTCAGTTAGGATTTTTTTTTTTAGATGAAGTCTCGCTCTGTCATCCAAACTGGAGTGCAATGGCTCAATCTCAGCTCACTGCAACCTCCACATCCTGGGCTCAAGCTATTCTCCTGCCTCAGCCTCCTGAGTAGCTGGGATTACAGGCACCTGCCAGCATGCCTGGCTAATTTTTGGATTTTTAGTAGAGATGGGGTTTCACCAAGTTGGCCAGGCTGGTCTCGAACTCCTGGCCTCAAGTGATCCACCTGCCTCGGCCTCCCAAAGTGCTGAGATTACAGGGGTGAGCCACCGTGCCTGGCCAGTTAGATAATTTTTTTTATCCCACTAAGTACATTAATCTACCCTAGTTTACTAAGTTTCAAATTCAGGATCACATATATAATTTAATCAAAATCCTCTTTGACTTTTATGAGGTGAACATAAGATTGGAGTGCAGTGACGTGATCATGGCTCACTGCAGCCTCAACCTCCTGGGCTCAAGTGATCCTCCTCCTGCCTCAGCACGCCTGGCTAATTTTTTTATTATTTGTAGAGATGGGGTTTCACTATGTTGTCCATGCTGGTCTCAAACTCCTGGTCTCAAGTGATTCTCCCACCTTGGCCTCCCAAAGTGCTGGGATCACAGGCATGAGTCACTACACCTGACCCCTTTTAACCACCATGCCCAGCTATTTTATTTTTTTATTTTTTTAATTTTTAATGGAGACAGGGTTTCACCATGTTGGCCAGGCTGGTCTGGAACACCTGACCTCAAGTGATCTACCTACCTCAGCCTCCCAAAGCGCTGGGATTACAGGTGTGAGCCACCATACCCAGCCCATGGCCAAGTTTAAAGAAAAGAGGCATAGTCAGCTGAGCGCAGTGGCTCATACCTGTAATTCCAACACTTTGGGAAGCTGAGGTGGGAGGATCACCTGAGGCCAGGAGTCCAAGACCAGCCTAGGCAACATAGGAAGACTCTGTCTTTACGAAAAATAACAATATTAGCTGAGTGTGATGGTGCAGACCTATAGTCCCCTCTACTGGAGAAGCTGAAGTGGGAGGATGACTTGAGCTCAGGAGTTCAAGGCTGCAGTGAGCTATGATTGCACCATTGCACTCCACCCTGGATGACAGAGCGAGACCCTCATCTCTTAAAAAAAGAAAAAGAAGGCACAGCAAAGTTGTATATTTAGTACAAATCCATTTTTGTAAGACAAGTGTTTGTCTGTGTGTCTGTACGTTGAACACACAAAAACAGGAGGAGCTTTAATGTAGAAGTTGTGTAAAGAGGTTACACAGTCACTTGGGAAGACATAATTGAGCGATCTATGTGATCACCTTTCTTGCAGCTTGGGGGAGCCAGCACTTGTAGGGGCAGCGGTGGGGTGACGGGGCAAAACCCCATCTCTATTAAAAAATACAAAAATGAAATTAGCTTGTGGCACGTGCCTGTGGTCCCAGCTACTTGGGAGGCTGAAGTAGGAGGATTACTTGAGCCCAGAGAAGTCGAGGCTGCGGTGAGCCGCGATCGCACCACTGCACTCCAGCCTAGGCAACCACGTCAGACCCTGCCTCAAAGATAAAATAAAATAAAATGCCTTTATAACATGGTTAAGGGTCTTCTTGGCAAAGGAAACCTGTATCAGGGGACTGTTATGACAGTCCTACCCTCAGGGTCTGTGCTGGGAAACTTGTCCAGGTCCTGAGGGAGGCCCAGAATTGCAAGTCTGAGCCCCTGAATATCTGCAGTGTTTGCAGTATGGTTGAATGTATAGTCCATAGACTAGTCTCAAACTCCTGGGCTCAAGTGATTTACCTGCCCTGTCTTCACAAAGTGCTGGGATTACAGATGTGAGCCATGATGTGCAGACACAAAGACATTTTTAAGCAAAAAATTAACTTCAACTCTCACTTTTACTGAAGCAACACAGCATTTAAAAACATAGGCATGGGGTGCAGTGCTCACACCTGTAATCCCAGCACTTTGGGAGGCTGAGGCAGATGGATTGCTTGAGCCCAGGAGTTTGAGACCAGCCTGGGCAATGTGGTGAAACTCCATCTCCACTAAAAATACAAAAATTAGCTGGGCATGGTGGCACATGCCTGTAATCCCAGCTACTTGGGAGGCTGAGGCATGAGAATCACTTGAGCCTGGGAGGTGGAGGTTGCAGTGACCCGAGATTGCAACATTGCATTCTAGCCTGGGCAACAGGAGTGAAACCCTGTTTAAAAAAAAAAAAAAATCTATGGCCGGACACGGTGGCTGACATCTGTAATCCCAGCACTTTGGGAGGGTGAGGTGGGTGGATCACCTGAGGTCAGAAGTACAACAATTAGCCAGACGTTGTGGTGGGAGCCTGTAACCCCAGCTCCTTGAGAGGCTGAGGAAGGAGAATTGCGTGAACCTGGGAGGCAGAGGTTGCAGTGAGCCGAGATTGTGCCACTGCACTCCAGCCTGGGCTACAGAGCAAGACTCCATATAAAAAAAACTACATAAATTAAGAAAATAAATTCCCCCACTTTGAAAATCACTGTAAGTTTTTCTTTATTCTGCCTTTTTAGAAACAGGTTCACAATTGACATATTACTGTTATGCACATACATGGTTTTCAATCACATTTTATAGTATCTAACCTCACTTTTCTTTAAGGATTTTATCCTGGAACATTACAGTGAAGATGGCTATTTATATGAAGATGAAATCACAGATCTTATGGATCTGAGACAAGTAAGTTTTTGTGTGCAGCAGAGAGGGGAGGGTAGCTTTTCCAAGTTTTCAGGGAACCCCATTATTGCACGCTTGTGGTCTTAACAGAATCATGGGCAGATTGAGGTGATGGCTGGGGGGTGCTGGAATCATCCATTCCATTTGCTGCATAAGAAAACTGTAGAAGGAGGCCGGGTGCGGTGGTTCACGCCTATGTAATCCCAGCACTTTGGGAGGCGGAGGCGGGAGAATCACCTGAGATCAGGCGTTCCAGACCATCCTGGCCAACATGGTGAAACCCCGTCTCTACTAAAAATTCAAAAATTAGCTGGGCGTGGTGGTGCATGCTGGTAATTCCAGCACTTTGGGAGGCTGAAGCGGGTGGATCACCTGAGATCAGAAGTTTCAGACCAGACTGGCTAACACCGCAAAACCCCGTTTCTACTAAAAATACAAAAACAAGCCAGGCATGGTGCTACACGCCTGTAATCCCAGCTACTAGGGAGGCTGAGGCAGGAGAATCACTTGAACCTGGTAGGTGGAAGTTACAGTGAGCCAAGATCGCACCACTGCACTCCAGCTTGGGTGACAGAGTGAGACTCCGTCTAAAAAAAAAAAAAAAAAGGAAAACCATAGAAGGGGAGAGACCTGCCTCCTGGCAGGGCTGGGACTGGATTCCAGGATTTCTGACTTCCTCCCAGGTTCTTTCCACCCCTCCTAGAGTTGATGATGCCAGCAGTGAGGTCGTCATACTGCAGAAATAGTTACAGGCATCTGCTGGTATGTGCAGGGCACCTTCCGGGAAGGGCTGTCAGCTGTGTCCTCCTCTGCTCATGCCCTCTGGGGTTCTTTTCCTCGCAGGCTTGTCGGACGCCCAGCCGGGATGAGGCCAGGGTGGAACTGCTGATGACATACTTCATCCAGCTGGGCTTTGTTGAGAATCGATTATTCCCACCCACATGGCAGATGGGATTCCTGTTCACCTGGTAGGTGCTGGAGGTCTGCGCTGGCGCTTCACGTGTTATGGCAGCCACAGTTTTGGAGCCTCAGCATCACAGACGCCCCTCTGTGGGCACCTCAGCCCCTTTTCCTATCTTGCATTTTTCCGGGGTGCACCCCTGTGCACCTCAGCCCCCTTTCCTATCTTGCATTTATCCAGGGAAGTCTAGAAAGGTGTCAATACATTGGTATTTATTTATGAAGGTGATCCGAGGGAGATGGCCCCAACAGACTGTGGCCTCTTGCTTCTCAGAACAAGTGAGCCAAGGAGAGGAGACATTTTTCTTGCTTGTTGTATCACTGGGGAAGCACAGGGCTCTGAAGTGGAATTAGCCAGAAGCAAGATTCTTGTCTCAGATTGGACTGGGGCATGCGTGTGTATGTGTGAGTGAGTGAGAGAGAGAGAGAGAGAGAGAGAGAGAGAGAGAGAGAAAATCAGGTCTTGTCCAGTGAGACAAAAGCACCAAACAGAAATAGATCAGGTTTCTTTTGAAACGGGGTCTCACTGTGTTGCCCAGGCTAGTCTTGAATTCCTGGGCTCAGGTGATATTTCTGCCTCAGCCTCCTGAGTAGCTGGGACTATAGGCATGAGCTACACACTCAGCTTAGATCAGATTTAAAAAATGGAAGTAGAGGATTTGATTCTTCTCCACAATTGGTATTTTCAGACAAGATCAGGCATGTCAGGGTGGTATGGCCGTAGACCCAGTTGGTGTTTTCAAAGATTAGTATACTTTAAATACTTGGGGGGCTGGGTACAGTGGCTTTCATGCCTATATTGCCAACACTTTGGGAGGCTGAGGCAAGCAGATCACTTGAGCCCAGGAGTTTGAGACCAGCCTGGGCAACGTGGCAAAAACCCATATCTACAAACAATACAAAAATTTGCTGGGTACGATGGTATGCACCTGTAGTCCCAGGTACTCATGAGGCTGAGGCAGGAGAATCACTTGAGTCCGGGAGGCAGAGGTTGCAGTGAGCCGAGATCACACCACCGCACTGCAGCCTGGGTGATAGGAGTGAAATCCTGTTTCAAAAAAGAAAAAAAAAAGGCTGAGTGCGGTGGTTCACACCTGTAATCCCAGCACTTTGGGAGGCCGAGGCAGGTGGATCATGAGGTCAGGAGTTCGAGACCAGCCTGTCCAATATGGTGAAACCCTGCTTCTACTAAAAAATACAAAAATTAGCTGGACATGGTTGTACATGCCTGTAGTCCCAGCTACTTGGGAAGCTGAGGCAGGAGAATTGCTTGAACCTGGGAGGCAGAGGTTGCAGTGAGCCAAGATTGCACCACTGAACTCCAGCCTGGGCGACAGAGTGAGAGTCTGTATCAAAAAACAAAAAACAAAAAACAAAAAACACCAAAAACCTAAAAAAAAAGTACTTTGGAGATGCTGCACCCCTTCTCTGAGTGTCGTTAGGAGTGTCAGTGAAAGGAGAATACATCCTAGAAGGTGGGGGCGTATCAGAATTGAATGTTTCTGTAGCCAATGGTTGGCTACTGATGCCTTCTTCATGGAAAGCAAAGGAAAGGGGGATGACTTTTCCTAACAATGCACCAGGCTGTCTGCATGGTGAAAGGTGGTTTCTCCTTAGTCATGAATTAGGGAGAAGCTGTCTGCACACCCCTTGGTTCATGAGTAAACTTTAAAACAAGTCCTAGGGCCAGGTGCGGTGGCTCACACCTGTAATCCTAGCACTTTGGGAGGCCGAGGTGGGTGGATCACCTGAGGTTGGGAGTTCGAGACCAGCCTGACCAACATGTCTCTACTAAAAATACAAAAATTAGCTGGGTGTGGTGGCGGGCACCTGTAATCCCAGCTACTCAGGAGGCTGAGGCAGGACCATTGCTTGAACCCCGGAAGCAGAAGCTGCAGTGAGCCGAGATGGCGCCACTGCACTCCAGCCTGGGTGAAAGAGCAAAACTTTGTCTCAAAAAATAAAAATAAATAAATAAATAAAACAAGTCCTAGGCTGGGTGTGGTGGTTCACATCTGGAATCCCAGCATGTTGGGAGGCCAAGGTGGGTGGATCACTTGAGCCCAGGAGTTTGAGACCAGTCTAGGCAACACAGTGAGACCCCATCTCTACAAAACAATTAGAGAAAATGTGCCAGGCATGGGGGGCACATGCCTGTAGTCCCATCTACTTGGGAGGCTCAGATGAGAGGATCACTTAAGCCCAGGAGGTTGAGGCTGCAGTGAGTCATGATCATGCCACTGCACTCCAGCCTAGGCAACAGAGTGAGACTTGGTCTGAAAAAATAAAAAAGTAAAACAAATCCTGAGGTTTTAGATTTCAGAAAGAATTATGAGGGGTTAGTAATTGCCATATTTCATTTAGGAGAAGCCATACACACACACACACACACACACACACACTTTTTTTTTTTTTGAGACGGAGTCTCACTCTGTCACCCAGGCTGGATTGTGGTGGTGTGATCTCAGCTCACTTCAACCTCTGCCTCCCAGTATCAAACCATCTTCCCACCTTAGCCTCCCAAGTAGCTGGGCTTAAAGGCACATGCCACCACCATGTATTTTTGATAGAGAGGGGTTTCACTATGTTGCCCAGGCTGGTCTCAAACTCCTGAGCTCAAGCCAGCCACCTGCCTTGGCCTCTAAAATGCTGGGATTACAGGTGTAAGCCACTGCACCCGGCCTTTTTTTTTTTTTTTTTTTTTTGAGACAGATTCTCGCTCTGTTGCCCAGGCTGGAGGGCAGTGGCGTGATCTCGGCTCACTGCAACCTCCGCCTCCTGGGTTCAAGTGATTCTTCTGCCTCAGCTTTCTGAGTAGCTGGGATTACAGGTGTGCCCCACCACGCCTGGCTAATTTTTGTATTTTTAGTAGAGATGGGGTTTCACCACGTTGGCCAGGCTGGTCTCAGTCCCTGGCCTTGTGATCTGCCTGCCTTGGGCTCCCAAAGTGCTGGGATTACAGGTGTAAGCCATCGCACCCAGCGCATTTTTTTTTTTTTAATAATTGAGGAATTTACCTGACACATCATTATCACCCAGAGTCCATAGTTCCCATTAGGGTTCATTCTTGCACTTGTGTATTCTGCGGCTTTTGACCAACATAGAGTGACAGTGATCCATCTTTGCAGTGTCGTACAGAAGAGTTTCCCTGCTGGAAAAATCCTCCGTGTGCTCTGCCTGTTCCTCCCTCCCTCCCCCTAAGTCCTGGCAACCCCTGATCTTTCTTCTGTCTCCAGGGTTTTTGGCTTTTCAGAATGTTGGACTCACACAGCGTGCTATACGGTAGGTAGCAATGTTCAGGTTGGCTCTTGGTAATGTTTCTTCTGCATCTTTTCAAGGCTTGCTTGAAAAGGCTCCATTTTTAGTACTGAGTAATAGTCCATTGTCTGGATGTCCCATGCTGTGTTTATAAAGTTACCCCATCAGATATTTTTGTGTGTGGCTGTGGTGGTCAGTGTGATTAGTCCTGTCATCTTGCTTGGAAACAAAAGCCTCAGTGCATGTGCATTCTTGAATTTTATTGAAGAAATGAGTTTGTTGTTGTTGTTATTGTTGCCCAGGCTGGAGCACAGTGGCACAATCTTGGCTCACTGTAACCTCCGCCTCTCGGGTTCCAGCAGTTCTCCCGCCTCAGCCTCCTGAGTAGCTGGGATTACAGGTGCCCGCTACCATGCCTGGCTAATTTTTGTATTTTTAGTGGAGACTGGGTTTCACCATGTTGGCCAGGCTGGTCTCGAACTCCTGACCTCAGGTGATCCACCCACCTTGGCCTCCCAAAGTGCTGGGATTACAGGTGTGAGCCACTGCACCCAGCCAACCCAGGAGTTTAACAGCAGTTTGGGTAACATAGTGAGACCCCATCTCTACAAAAATTAAAAAAAAAAAATTAGGCAGGTATGGTGGCATGCACCTGTAATCCCAGCTTTCTCATGAGGCTGAGGTGGGAGGATCAATTGAGCCCTAAAGTTGGAGGCTGCAGTAAGCTATGATCACACCACTGCACTCCAGCCTGGGCAACAGAGTGAGATCCTGACTCTTAAAAAAATAATAATAGAGCCAGGCACAGTGGCTCACGCCTGTAATCCCAGCACTTTGGGAGGCTGAGGTGGGCGGATCACGAGGTCAGGAGATCGAGACCATCCTGGCTAAAACGGTGAAACCCTGTCTCTACTAAAAATACAAAAAAATTAGCTGGGCGTGGTGGCGGGTGCCTGTAGTCCCAGCTACTTGGGAAGCTGAGGCAGGAGAATGGCATGAACCTGGGAGGCAGAGCTTGCAGTGAGCTGAGATCGCTCCACTGGACTCCAGCCTGGGTGACAGAGTGAGACTGTATCTCAAAAATAAATAAATAAAATAATAATAATAATAATAATAATAATAATTTTTCCACTTGCATCCAAAAGTAGCATTAACTAGCCAAGTAATCTGTATTCCCTAAATGCATTTCTTTCACATAGGTATGACTCCCTCACTGGGGTTCTGGTCAGCCAGCAGAACCTGCTGCTGGAGAAGGCCAGTGTCCTGTTCAACACTGGGGTCCTCTACACCCAGATTGGGACCCGGCGCTATCGGCACACGCAGGCTGGGCTGCAGAGTGCC
The DNA here is from genome assembly GCF_000001405.40 of Homo sapiens. Taxonomy (NCBI): domain Eukaryota; kingdom Metazoa; phylum Chordata; class Mammalia; order Primates; family Hominidae; genus Homo; species Homo sapiens. The sequence continues at coordinate 33,593,578 of NC_000016.10, forward strand.
ATAGATGCCTTTCAGAGAGCTGCAGGTATGTCTCCTCCAGGGCTAACTGGACAGAGCCTTGGCCCCGCCTGGAGGCACCAGGTGACCCCCCCACTGAAGAGGGTCTACAGGTCGTCCCCTGCAAGGGCCAGAGCAATCTTCAGCTCTGGTGTAACTTCCCATTAAGAAACTTGCTCCAGCCGGGCGCAGTGGCTCATGCCTGTAATCCCAGCACTTTGGGAGGCCGAGGCAGGTGGATCACGAAGGTCAGGAGATCGAGACCATCCTGGCTAACATGGTGAAACCCCATCTCTACTAAAAATACATAAAATTAGCTGGGCCTGGTGGCAGGCACCTGTATTCCCAGCTACTTGGGAGGCTGAGGCAGGAGAATGGCATGAACCCGGGAGGCGGAGCTTGCAGTGAGCGGATATTGCGCCACTGCACTCCAGCCTGGGTGACAGAGTCAGACTCCGTCTCAAAAAAAAAAAAGAAACTTGCTCGGTGGTTCAGACCTCAGTCTGGGATGGCTTGATGTACATGGTGAATCCTGTGGCTGATGATTGATCTTTTCCAGACAAGTGGCCCTGGGATGGCAGTGCATAACTGTTTCTTTCAACACTGTCATGAAGAGCAGAATAACTTTTCCCAAATAGTGAAACCGTAGGCTTCTTTTTCTTGTATTAGGTGTACCCTATCTGTGCGTATTACTCTCCGTGCCTTTATTTATTTATTTATTTATTTATGAGATGGATTTTCGCCCTTGTCGCCCAGGCTGGAGTGCAGTGGCGCAATGTTGGCTCACTGCTTGAAACCTCCCGGTTTCAGGTGATTCTCCTGCCTCAGCCTCCTGAGTAGCTGGGATTACAGGCACCCGCCGCCACGCCCGGCTAATTTTTGTATTTTTAGTAGAGATGGGGTCTCACCATCCTGGCCAGGCTGGTCTCGAATTCCTGACCTCAGGTGTTCTGCCTGCCTCAGCCTCCCAAAATGCTGGGATTACAGGCACCCGCCACCACGCCCGGCTAATTTTTGTATTTTTAGTAGAGATGGGGTCTCACCATCCTGGCCAGGCTGGTCTCGAATTCCTGACCTCAGGTGTTCCGCCTGCCTCAGCCTCCCAAAATGCTGGGATTACAGGGTGAGCCACCACACCCTGCCCCTCCATGCCTTTATGTCACCTGCATTCTGCCAGCTTCTCCAGCATGAGGTGGGTGTTCTCAACCCTTTGTCAAGTGATGCATTCAAAGGATGTCTCATAGCTCAGTTCCCTTCTTCTGGGAACTGTCTTTTGTTGTTTTATTTTATTTTATTTATTTGTTTATTTTGAGATAGAGTCTTGCTCTTGTCACCCAGCCTGGAGTGCAGTGGCACAATCTCTGCTCACTACGACCTCTGCCTGCTGGGTTCAAGCAACTCTTCTGCCTCAGCCTCCCAAGTAGCTGGGATTACAGGCGCCTGCCACCATGCCCGGCTAATTTTTGTATTTTTAGTAGAGATGAGGTTTTGCCCTGTTGGCCAGGCTGGTCTCAAACTCCTGACCTCAGGTAATCCTAGTATGAGAACAAGGTGCGGGGTCGAGGAGAAAAGCAGCCTAGTGCTTACACCTGTAGAGGACCGGGGTCACCAGACCCAGTGCTGTGGGTGAGCCTGGCATGGCTCACCCTTGCCTGCGGGTTCTGCCTTGCTCCCCCATAGCAGGGCCTGTGTCTGGGTCAGACTCCGCATGGGGATGGATGCAAGAGCAGGGCACAGTGTAGACCACAGTGTGTTCTCCACACTAGCTCTATAGTGTGTTGCCTTCTAGGTTGATCATCGACATTCTGCTTTGGGGTGTGATCCCCTTCCACCCGTGTGGATCATTGTTTGATATCACTTTGCCCTGCAAGCTTGTGAAGAACCAGAGCTTTGCCACTTCAACTCATTGTGAAATTTGTGATGTTACAATGATTGGTCCTAACAGCCTGGGCCACACAGGAAGACCCTGTCTCTACAGAATATTTAAAATTAGCCAAGCGTGGTGGTGTACACCCATAGTTCCAGCTACTCCAGAGGCTAAGACGGGAGGATCAATTAAGCCCAGGAGTTTGAGGCTGCAGTGAGCTAGGATTGCCAAAAAGAATTTTTTTTAATTAAAGAAATAGGCCAGGCATGGTGGCTCATGCCTGTAATCCCAGCACTTTAGGAGGCTGAGGTGGGTGGATTGCTGGAGCTCAGGAATTTGAGATCAGCCTGGGCAACAAGGCAAAATTCCATCTCTACAAAAAGTACAAAAATTAGCTGGGCCTGGTGGTGCATGCCTGTAGTCTCAGCTACTTGGGAGGCTGAGATGGAAGGATCACCCAAGGTTGTGGTAAGCCAAGATCGTGCCATTGCACTCCAGCCTGGGCGACAGAGCAAGAACCTGTCTCAAAAAATAATTAATTAATTAAAAAAATGAAAGATTGTTCTCTTAGGATGAAGTGATATGCTAAGATTCCAAGTATGAGTTGATTTCTTTTGTTGTAAATCTTTTTTCTGGACTCATCTTTCTGGGGAATCTTAGGCAGGCACTCTGTGTCCTGTCTCTGAGATTATAGCAATGGAGACAAATTATAGATGAAATGAAGCAAGTGGGAGAACAGTGGGGAGTGTGAGGGAACCCCCACGGAGCTCACAGCTCAAAACAGCAGGTGCCATCCCTCCGCAGGGCGGGGATTTTTTTTTTTTTTTTTTTTTTTGCTCAGCAACAAAACCAGAGGACCCAGTTGGCTGGGATTCATATGAGAGACTCTATTTCAGTTCCAGATTGATTGTCAGTTAGCGCTTTGGACAGTTAATTTTCTAAACTATAAAGAAGTCAGTGGAAGGCTGCAGCATGAAAATTTCCATTGGAGCAGACGGATTGAGTTTTTTTTTTTTTTTTTTTTTTTTGAGACGGAATCTCACTCTATCACCCAGGTTGGAGTGCAGTGGTGAGATCTCGGCTCATTGCAGCCTCCGCTTCCCGGGTTCAAGTGATTCTCCTACCTCAGCCTCCTGAGTAGCTGGGATTATAGGTGTGTACCATCATGCCTGGCTAATTTTTATAATTTTAGTAGAGGCAGGGTTTTGTCATGTTGGCCAGGCTGGTCTCGAACCTGACCTCAGGTGAACCACCCGCCTTGGCCTCCCAAAGTGCTGGGATTAGAGGCATGAGCCACCGTGCCTGGCCAGAACAGATCTTTCTTGAGGTCCAGGGGAAAAGCCCTGGACTGCTGAATGACTCAGATCTTATGTGTGAGCCTGGCCCCCTGTGAGCCCCTCAGTCCTTGTGCCTGCTCTCTGCTTGCATCTCCATACCTGTCATGATGGAATTTTGTCCCAGGTGACACAGGAGTTGTGGGGAGCAGGCTGGTTTCTCTACTCAATAGAGATGTAAGTGTTTTGGAAGATAATCCAATTTTTAAAAATTGGGTTAAAAGGCTAGGTGGGGTGGCTCACACCTGTTACCCCAGCACTTTGGGTGGCCGAGGCAGGCAGATCACCTGAGGTCAGGAGTTCAAGACCAGTCTGGCCAACATGGTGAAACCCCATCTGTGGTAAAAATACAAAAATTAGCTGGGTGTGGTGGTGAGCACCTGTAATCCCTGCTACTTGGGGGGCTGAGGCAGGGGGATCGCTTGAACCTGGGAGGCAGAGGTTTCAGTGAGCTGAAATCATGCCACTGCACTCCAGCCTGGGCATTTATTTATAAATAAATAAATAAATAGTGTTAAAATATACATATATAACCTAAAATGTACTATTTTAACCAGTTTTTTTATTACAGTAAAATAATACAACATAAAATTACCATTTTAATGATTATCTTAAATTTTTAAAATTTTAAAATTATCCTGCCAACCAGAAGCACATTTTAACCATTTTGAAGTGTGTAGTTCAATGGCATTAAGTGCATTTGTACATTCATAGTGTTGTGCAGCCATTACCACTAAACATCTCCAGAAGTTAAAAATATTTTTTGTTGGTTAGGCAAGGTGGCTCACACCTGTAATCTCAGCAGTTTGGGAGGCTGAGTCAGGAGGATCACTTGAATCCAAGAATTGGAGACCAGTCTGGGCAACATAGGCACACCCCATCTGTACAAAAAATTTTAAAATTAGCTGGGTGTGGGGTAGTGCATGTCTGTAGTCCCAGCTCTTCAGGAGACTGAGGTGGGAGGACTGCTTGAGCCCAGGAGTTTAAGGCTGCAGTGCGTCATGATCATGCCACTGCACTCCAGTCTGGGCAACAGAGTGTGATCTTGTCTCAAAAATAAATAAAATAAATACATTTTTAAAAAGTATATATTTTTTAAGAGACAGGGGTCTCAGTATGTTGCCCAGGCTGGTCTTGAACTCTTAATATCAAGCAACCCTCCCACCTCAGCCTCCCTCGTAGCTGGGATTACAGGCAGCAGCCCCTGTGCCCAGCTATCTCCAGAACTTTTTCATCTGGATGATGGATAAGCAAAGCTCTGTACTCAGTTAAGCAATAACTTCCCATTGCCCCCTTTCCCAGCCCCAGCTAACCTCTGTTCTCCTTTCTGTTTCTGTGAATTTGACTATTCTGGGTACCTTATCTAAATGGAATCCTACAATATTGGTCCTTTTGTGACTGGCTTGTTTCACTTAGCATAATGCCCTTATTTACACTGTACCATGTGTCAGAATTTCATTCCTTTTTAAGGCTGAAAAATACTCCATTGTATGGATAGGCCACATTGTGTTTAATCATTCATCTGCTCACGGATGTCTGGGTGGTTTCCACTTTTCAGCTCTTGTAAATAATGTTGCTATTAACACGGGTGTTCAAGTATCACTTAAGCCCCCACTTTCAATTGTTTGGGGATATATATCATAGGAGTGGAATTGCTGGACCATATAATTGAGAATCAAACTTTTTAATATGTTGTAGGACACCGGTTCTTTTTTTTTCCTCCTATCTTTCCTTTTTTTTTTTTTTTTTTTTTTGAGACGGAGTCTTGCTCTGTCACCCAGGCTGGAGTGCAGTGGTGAGATCTCAGCTCACTGCAACCTCTGCCTCCTGGGCTCAAGCAATCCTCCTGCCTCAGCCTCCAGAGGAGCTGAGACTATAGGTGCACGCCATCACACCCAGCTAATTTTTGTATTTTTTGTAGAGACAGGGTTTCACCATGTTGCCCACGCTGGTCTTAAATTCCTGACGCAAGTGATCTGCTCACTTTGACCTCCCAATGTGTTGGGATTATGGGCATGAGCCACCACACCTGGCCTCCTATCTTTCTCTACAGCAACGTGATGAAGTAAATATAAACCCGAACTAATGGGCAAAACATTTTCCACTTTTAGGGGTTTTAAACTACCTGAAAGAGACATTTACCCATAATCCAAGTTACGATATGATCCCTGCCATGCTCAGCGTGCTTGTCAAAATGATGCTTGCACAAACCCAAGAAAGCGTGTTTGAGAAAATCAGCCTTCCTGGGATCTGGAATGAATTCTTCATGCTGGTGAAGGTGGCTCAGGAGGCTGCCAAGGTAAGACTCCCTGGTTCCTGTGACTTTGGGGGGTGGGCAGGAAATGCTGGCACAGGAGCACTGGAAGTAATGGGGCCTTCCCACAGGAGCTTGCCTGTGACCTGGGCATTGTGCCAGCTCCGGCCAGTACTGCTGGCTTGAGTTTTCTTGGCAAGTGTTGGTGTTTCAGATACGGATCACTGATTCCATCTGCAGCTTAACCTAAAAACCAGCATAATGACAGCAGCCTGATCCCCCTGTTAACTGTGACAATGACAGAACGGGGGGTTGCTTGGAGTTGCTCCCAGATTCTGGAGCAGCCCCTGGCAGGGGCTGTTGCATGAGAAGAAGAAAGGGCTCTTTCTCTGCAAATGGGTTCATGAGGGCCCTTGTGCCGGGCTGCCCCTTCCCAATGCCCCTTCTATTTCAGGTGGGAGAGGTCTGCCGACAGCTGCACGCAGCCATGAGCCAGGTGCTGGTGAAAGAGAACATCCCCTACTCCTGGGCCAGCTTGGCCTGCGTGAAGGCCCACCACTATGCGGCCCTGGCCCACTACTTCACTGCCATCCTCCTCATCGACCACCAGGGTAAGGCCTGTGGGGTTCGGGGGTTTGGCCAGGGCTGTGGTCCAGCTGCCCCAGGGGCGATTCTGAGCTGAGTGAGAGCTAACTGCCTTCCCTGGAGATGCTCACAGGCTGAAGGCAGAGGATGAGAATGACCCATGACTGAGGCAGCTGCTGCACAGGCCATGGTGGGGTTAGGGGTTATAAGCTTCTTTAGAGGGAGGAAGAGGAGGCACCTTTAATTCTGCCTGTGTGCAAGAGGATGAATTTTCACCTGGAATCTAGAATCTAAGGGAATGCCAAAAATGCTGGCATCAAGATAAGTAACATTTTAAGGTAATATTTTAAAAGAATCAAAATTAATGCAGGCCGGGTACAGTGGCTCAAGCCTATAATCCCAGCACTTTGGAAGGCCAAAGCAGGCAGATCATTTGAGGTCAGGAGTTTGAGACCAGCCTGGCCAACATGGTGAAACCCTGTCTCTACTGAAAATACAAAAATTAGCCGGGCATGGCGCGTGCCTCTAATCCCAGCTACTCCGGTGACTGAGGCAGGAGAATGGCTTGGGCCGGGGAGGTGGAGGTTGCAGTGAGCCGAGATTGTGCCACCACACTCCAGCCTGGGCAGCAGAGCAAGACTCCATCTCAAAAAAACTAATAATAATAAAATAAAAATTAATGCAAAAAAAATCTGTGATGATCGGAATTTAATTTAATTTTATTTTATTTTATTTTATTTATTTTTAGAGATGGGGCTGGAGTGCAGTGGTATGATCATGGCTCACTGCCTTCTTGAACTCCTGGGCTCAAGCAATCCTCCCACTTCAGCCTCCTGAATACCTGGGACTACAGGCACATGCCACTACACCAGTTAATTGAAAAAAATTTTTTTCGTAGAGATGGAGTCTCACTATGTTGCCTAGGTTGGTTTCAAATTCCTGGCCTCAAGCAATTGTCCTGCCTTGGCCTCCCCAAAGTGTTGGGATTACAGGCATGAGCCATGGTGCCTGGCCAGGGATTTTTGATCTAATAAGTACTAATCCAGGCAGCCTCCCGAGGAATTAAAAAGACAGCCTCTGGAGCCAGACTTCCTGGGTTCATATCTCAGCTCTGCCATGAATGAGCTGTATTACCTTGGGCAAGTTACTTAGCTGTCCTCTGCCTCGATTTTCTCATCTGTAAAATGGGTATATGGAGAGAATCTACCTCACAGGCTGTCATGAAAATGAAGGGCCTGTATGCAAAGCTCAATAATGCTTTATATGCTGTAGGTTCTCTGAAAGTGTGAGCCACCACTCCTAGTACTATATAGTCTATTAGGCGAGACAAGATGTTGAAACAAATAGAAATACCATATAGTGCCTTGGTGATTGCTGCAGAGACACAAATGCAGCAGCAGGTGGACTCCATGGTGCAGTCATTGATGGCTTCTCAGAGGCGGTGACATTTGAGTTCAACTTTTCCATCTGCACAGGAGGGAAGGGTCAGCCTAGAGGGAGTAAAGTGTCTGAGCACAGGAACAGAGGCCGAGGGTGCTGGGGAAGTGGAGAGTGGTTTTGTGAGGTTTGAGAGCAGGATATGCACCAGGGAGGGTGTGGTTGAAGCAGGAAGGGGCTCTGCTGCAGGTGTGCAGGACTGCAGAGGGGTGCAGGCCAGGCATGACAGGGTCTGGGCTGTGCTAGGAGGTTCTGTGTGGTGGGTGAGTCAGAGGAGGTAGTGTGTGGGGGCTCAGGGTCAAATTATGAACCTCACCAGGTGTGGTGGTTCACGCCTACAATCCCAGCACTTTGGGAGGCCGAGATGGGTGGATCATGAGGTCAGGAGTTTGAGACCAGCCTGGCCAAGATGCTGAAACCCCGTCTCTACTAAAAATAGAAAAATTAGCTGGGCATGGTGACACATGCCTGTAATCCCAGCTACTCGGGAGGCTGAGGCAGGAGAATCACTTGAACCCGGGAGGTGGAGGTTGCAGTGAGCCAAGATCACACCACTGCACCCAAGCCTGGGCGACAGAGCGAAACTCCATCTCAAAAAAAAAAAAAAAATTCTGAACCTCTGAACCTCTGGAGCATGACTGGTTCCAGTGAGCAAGAGCTTCGGGGTAGCCAGGCATGGTGGCTCACACATTTGATCCCAGCACTTTGGGAGGCTAAGGCAGGAGGATCGTTTGAACCCAGGGGTTTGAGACCAGCATGGGCAATGTAGCAAGAACTTATCTTTACAAAAAAATTTAAAAATTAGCCTGGCGTGTGGTGGTGCATGTCTGTAGTCCTAACTACTCAGGAGGCTGAGGTGGGAGGATCACTTGAGCCCAGGAGTTCAAGGCTGCAGTGAAATATGATTGTGCCATTGCACTCCAGCCTGGTGACAGAGTGAGACCGTCTCAAAGAAAAAAAAAGCTTGAGGGTCAGACTGCCTGGGGTGTGTCCAGGGGCAGAAAGGAGAGCCATGATCCCAAATGCCTTGTGAAACTGCAGAAGAAAGGAAACTAGAGACATGGTAGAAAGAGAAATCTCTATGTGGGTCTGTGGCCAGGTCCATGAGAGGGGATTTAACCTGTGGTTCTCTTTGCAGTGAAGCCAGGCACGGATCTGGACCACCAGAAGTGCCTGTCCCAGCTCTACGACCACATGCCAGAGGGGCTGACACCCTTGGCCACACTGAAGAATGATCAGCAGCGCCAACAGCTGGGTGCATGTCCCTCTGCACCCAGATGTGGGTCCCACTTGGTGACCAGCTGGTCCTGCTCACAGACAGCCACAGAGAGGTCCCTGAAGAGGGCCCGGGAGAGGGGGGTGTTCCAAGTCATCGTGGCCACTTTGGGTTCGGAAGTCATGAGGCACAGTCCTGAGCCTCAGAGGGCTTCCCAGGCTGTGTTCTCATGGGTTCCATAGCACCCAGGCCTCCCCCTGTGGAGCCAGGACTTTAACCATCTCCCTTGGGGTCCACAGGGTGGCCTGTATCATGCTAACAGGGAAGGAGACGTTTGTTGATTTCCTTATGCATGGCTGAATTCCCAAGAACACCTAATGACTGGTAATGAAGTGTCCTGGTTTGGTCTCTGCCATGTCTCAGTGTGAATATCTCTTCCCATGTGCAGACCTCACCTCCACCACCCTAATCTGCCCCCACGCACACATACGCAGCTTCCCCGTCTCAGTGATGGCAACTCCCACCCCTCTAGGTGCTCAGGCCAGAAACCTTGGACTCACTCTCCAGTCTTCTTTTCTTTCCTCCTCTTTCCCCTCCCCTCCCCTCTGCTCCCCTCTCCTCTCTTCCCCTCTGCTCCCCTCCCCTCCTCTCCCGTTCTCTCCCCTCCTCTTCCCTCCCCTCCTCTTCCCTCCCCTCTGTTACCCTCCCCTCCTCTCCCATTCTCTCCCCTCCTCTTCCCTCCCCTCTGTTACCCTCCCCTCCCCTCCTCTCCCCTTCTCTCCCCTCCTCTCTTCTCCCCTCCCCTCCTCTCTCTGCCGTCCTCCCTCTCCTCTCTCCTCCGTCCTCCCTCCCCTCCCCTCCTCCCTCTCCTCTCTTCCCCTCCTCCCTCTCCTCCCCTCCCTTCCCTTTCTCCCCTCCCCTCCCTTCCCATCCTTCCTCTCCTCTCCTCCCCTCTCCCACCTCCCCTTCACTCCCCTTTCTCCTCCTCTCCCCTCCCCTCTCCTCTCATCCTTCCTCCTCTCCCTTCACCCTTCCCCTCTCCCCTCTCCCCTCCCCTCTCCTCTCCTTTTCTTTTTCCTTGTTGCTTTCCTTTTCTTTCCCTTTCCTTTCCTCTCTCTCTTTTATTCTTTCTTTCTTTCCTTTCTCTCTTTCTCTCCTCCCCATCTACCCTTCCTCCCTCCTTTCCTCTTTCCTTTTCTTTCATTTGCTTTCTTTGACAGCATCTTGCTGTCCCCCAGGCTGCAGTGCAGTAGTGCAATCACAGCTCAGTGCAGCCTCAAACTCCTGGCTTCAAGTGATCCTCCTGCCTCAGCCTGCTGAGTAGCTGGGACTATAGACATGCACCACCATGCCCGGCTAATATTATAAAAAGGTTTTTTTAGAGATGCGGTCTCACTATGTTGCCCGGGCTGGTTTTGAACTCCGAGCTTCAAGTGATCCTCCTGCCTCAGCCTGCTGAGTAGCTGGGACTATAGGCGTGCACCACCATGCCCGGCTAATATTGTAAAAAGGTTTTTGTAGAGATGCGGTCTCACTATGTTGCCCGGGCTGGTTTTGAACTACTGGCCTCCAGCGATCCTCCTTCCTCTGTCTCCCAAAGTGCTGGGATTACAGGCACGAGCCACCACACCTAACCTCTTGTCTTACTTTCTCACCCTACATTTGATTAGCAAATCCCTTTGGCTGTACCTAGAAGACACACTCAAATCTGGCCACTTTAACCCTGCTGCCCTGGTGGAAGCCACATGTGTACAGTGCTTATGTAAGAAACATTTACTCACTTAAACCCCACACAACACTATGAGGTGGGTCTCATGGCATCCCCATTTTACAGCTGAGGAAACTGAGACCCAGAGCGGTCACGTGGCTTGCCCTGCTCATAGCTGGTTTTCTTGCTGCCCCTTCAGAGTCTGCTCATGCAGGCCAGATCACATCAGTCCCCTGCTCACACCCCAGTGGGCTCCCATCTCACGCAGAACAGGAGTGAGAGCCCTCATCTCGCACGCATGAGATCCACCATGATCTGGCCTTGTTCCTTCCCTGCACTCATTCTCTCCCACCTTCAGGCACACCTTAGCTCCTCCTTGCCCTTGAACACCTGTGCGTGCCCCTGCTCCAGGGCCCTCGCACCTGCTGCTCTTTCACATCCATCAGGGCTCTTCTCAAAAAGGACCATATCACAAAGCCTTCCTTGGCTGGGTGTGGTGGCTCATGCCTGCAATTCCAGCACTTTGGGAGGCTGAGGTGGGAGGATGGCTTGAAGTCAGGAGTTTGAGACCAGTCTGGGCAACATGGAGAAACCCCGTCTCTACCAAAAATACAAAAACTTAGCCAGATGTGGTGGTGTGTGCCTGTAGTCCCAGCTACTTGGGAGGCTGAGGTGGGAGAATCGCTTGAACCTGGGAGGCAGAGGTTGCAGTGGGCCGAGATCGTGCCACTGCATTCCAGCCTGGGTGACAGAGTGAGACTCCGTCTCAAGAAAAAAAAAAAAAACCTTTCTTGGTCAACCATCATAGGACAACCCCATTCCCAGTCTTCTCTTACCATCTCTGCTTACCCTGCTTTATTTTTCTCTATAACCTCATCACCACCCCATCCATTACATATTTCTTGTCTTGTTAGTTATCTGTCTTCAACCACTACATGTAAACTCCATGAATGTGGGGGCAGTTTGTTTACTCGTTGCTTTATCTCTAGTGCCCAGCACATTTGGTAAATATTTGTTGAGTGAACATCTTATGGACACAAGTGAGCTTATTACATATGCATTTAAGGGAGGCTTGGGCTGGGCGCGGTGACTCACGCCTGTCATCCCAGCACTCTGGGAGGCTAAGGCAGGCAGATTGCTTGAGGCCAGGAGTTTGAGACCAGCCTGGGCAACATAGCAATGATAATGAAATGATAATGATAATGAAAACATTATCCAAGTGTGGTGGTGCATGCCTGTGGTCCCAGCTACTCAAGAGTCAGAAGCGGGAATTTCAGTTGAGCCCAGGAGTTTGAGGCTATGGTAAGCCATGATTGCACCACTGTACTCCAGCATGCGAAACAAAGTGAGACCCTGTCTCTAAATATAAAATATAAAATGAAATAAAATAATATTTTAATAAAAGGCTTGTTGTAACCAAGTGAATTGTAGAGAAACGCCACACTTTGAGACTAATTCAGGAGTCATTTATTAGCCGGTGACCGAGAGACGGATAATGCTCGAAATTGTCTCGGGCCTGAAGAAGGGGCTAGATTTTCTTTTATACTGTGGCCTAAATAGGGGAGGGAGGTTTAACTGAAGCAATTTTACAGAAGTAGAATAGGCAAAAAGTTAAAAAAGTAATTGGTTATAGAAGCAGTTACAAAAAATAAACAGTTCCAGGTGCAGGTGCTTAAACTATCACTAAGAGATAAATGCAGGGGCTTTAGGTACCTGCCACTGAGCACATCCCCAGGAGCTGCTGGTACAGCCTGCCTCAGTATCTTATCAGCAGTTTGCATTCCTGGGTGTGCTTGGAGTCAGCTTACACTAGTTATTCCCTTAAGGGGGATAAAGGGGGCTGCAAGTGAAGAAACTAAAATGTAGTCTGTCTGTCTCTCTCTGCTAGGAGAGAGTCACTCAGGTTAAAACAAGGTAGGGTATCACGGGCTCTAGCTATCCAGGCAGATCCTTTAGAAAAGAGAACGTCCAACCTCTTGGGCTGCCCTTTGGGCCCTTATGCTCTGTTTGGTGGATCTCCAAGTCACGTGGGTGCTGGCTTCCGTCTGCAGGGAAGTCCCACCTGTGCAGAGCCATGGCTCATCACGAGGAGTCAGTGCAGGAGGCCAGCCTCTGCAAGAAGCTGCAGAGCATTGAGGTGCTACAGAAGGTGCTGTGTGCAGCACAGGAACGCTCCCGGCTCATGTACGCCCAGCACCAGGAGGATGATGACCTGCTGAACCTGATCGACGCCCCCAGTGTTGTTGGTGAGTAACCTAGACTGTGTTCCCTCTGTGGGGGTGCCTGTGCCGCGGAAAGAGTACGCCTGGCCTGTGGGGGTTGAGCAAGCCCTTGCTGTGTGCTTGGCACAGGGAGGGCTGCACAGGGCAGGGACCGAGGTGCTTATTTTGCCCTGGAGTTCTCTTTTCTTTTTGAGATGGAGTCTCGTTCTGTTGCCCAGGCTGGAGTGCAGTGGCATGATCTCGGCTCACTGCAACCTCTGCTTCCCGGGTTCAAGTGATTCTTCTGCCTCATCCTCCCGAGGAGCTGGGATTACAAGCGCCCACCACCACACCCAGCTAATTTTTGGATTTTTAGTAGAGATGGGGTTTCACCATGTTGGCCAGGCTGGTCTCGAACTCCTGACCTCAAGTGATCCACCTGCCTTGGCCTCCCAAAGTGCTGGGATTACCAGAGTAAGCCACCACACCTGACCTAGATACACTTTTTATGCTGTTTGTAGAATCAGCCTGCCCTGGGATCCTTTGTTAGAAATTGACCAGCCTTATGTTAAGGGTAGTCCGAGCCTGCTGTGAAGATGCTGGTGGGGGTATGTAGCTGTCAATGGTTATGACTTGCCAAACCTCCTTTTCACTGGGAAATCCTCATACCACATTAATAATGAAAAGGTCAAGCACGGTGGCCCAAAACTCTAATCTCAGCACTTTGGGAGGCCGAGGCAGGAGGATTACTTGAGCTCAGGAGTTTGAGACCAGCCTGGGCAACATAGTGAGACCCCATCTCTACAAAAAATTTAAAAAAAATTCATCAGGTATGGTGGTGCATACCTATAGTTCCAGCTACTCGGGAGGCTGAGGCAGGAGAATCATTTGAGTCCAGGAGGTCAAGCTGCAAGAGAGCTGTGATCGCACCACTGCACTCCAGCTTGGGCGACAGAGCGACACCCTGTCTCAAAATAAAAATAATGTTGAAAACAGAAAGCTCAGTATCCCAGGACTGTGTCCAGTGAGGCATGGAACTTCCATAACAATAACGCTTGAAACATAGATGACTTCTCAATAGGTTTTTTGTTTGTTTGTTTGTTTGTATGTTTGTTTGTTTTTGAGAGGTCGTTTCACTCTTGTCACCCAGGCTGGAGTGCAGTGGTGTGATCTCAGCTCACTGCAAACTCTGCCTCCCTGGTTCAAGCCTCAGCCTCCCAAGTAGCTGGGACTACAGGCGCATGCCACTACGTCTGGCTAATTTTTTGTATTTTTAGTAGAGATGGGGTTTCATCATGTTGGCCAGGCTGGTCTTGAACTCTTGACCTCAGATGATCCTCCCACCGCGGCCTCCCAAAGTGCTGGGATTACAAGCATTAGCCACCGTGCCCAGCCTCCTCATTAGGGTTTTATGAGTGCCAGAGAAGCCCACTAAGCCCCTTAAATATCAGGAAACCCCATGGGAATGTGTCTGGTTATCACTCCTTGGTCCCAGCTCAGGAATGAGTTATACCTCCTATGGCTCACATGAGGTACCCAAATGGAAGGTAGAGTTCAACCTAGGTCGGGGTTTGAGCTGTGTTCCATCTTCTTGTACTACTTGTCTAAACCGAGGGGAAGGATGTGTGACTAAGAGAAAGTTCTGTACTGTCTCATTCCCAAGGATCACTTTCTTTTTTTTTCCCCCCCCTGGAGTCTTACTCTGTCACCGGGCTGGAGTGCAGTGGCAAGACTTCAACTCACTGCAACCTCTGCCTCCTGGGTTCAAGTGATTCTCCTGCCTCAGCCTCCCAAGTAACTCAGATTACAGTCGCCTACCACCATACCTGGCTAATTTTTGTATTTTTAATAGAGACGGGGTTTCACCATGCTGGCCAGACTGGTCTTGAACTTCTGGCCTCATTGATCCACCTGCCTTGGCCTCCCAAAGTGCTGGGATTACAGGCGAGAGCCACAACACCGGGCTATAAGGATCACTTTCAATTACAGAAACATTTATCCTCCCATTTCTAATCCTCTATTCTAGCTAAAACTGAGCAAGAGGCTGACATTATATTACCCCAGTTCTCCAAGCTGACAGTCACGGACTTCTTCTAGAAGCTGGTATGTTGAAAGCTCTCTACATAAATGACCGAAGGGGACAGCTCTTCACTTTGGCGAGTATGGTGTCTTAGTCCATGTGGGCTGCTATAACAAAATGCCTCAAACTGGGTGGCTTATGAACAGCAGAAATATATTTCTCAGTTTTGGAGGCTGGGAAGTCCAAGACCAAGGTATGGGCAGATTTGGTATCTGCTGAAGGCCCATGTTCTGGTTTATAGGTAGGGCCTTCTACCTGTGTCCTCATGGCAGAAAAGGTGATGAGCTCCCTTGGGCCTGTTTTAAAAGCATGTATCCCATTCTTGAGGGCTCAACCCCAAGACTGAATCACCTCTCAAGGGGCCCCACTTCCTAATAATTACATTGATGATTTTAATATACATTTTAAATTTTAATAAATATTAATAAAATTTTAATATTTTAATATACAAACTTTGGGAGGGTACAAACATTCAGACCATAGCATATTTTATTTTATGCACTTATTTTTATTTATTTGTTTTTTGAGACAGAGTCTCACTCTGTTGCCCAGGCTGGAGTGCAGTGGTGCGATCTCAGCTCAGTGCAGCCTCCACCTCCCAGGTTCAAGTGATTCTCCAGCTTCAGCCTCCCGAGTAGTCGAGATTACAGGCCTTTGCCACTACGCTCAGCTAATTTTGTATTTTTAGTAGAGACAGGGTTTCACCATGTTGGCCAGGCTGATCTTGAACTCCTGGGCTCCAGTGATCCCCTCACCTCGGCCTCCCAAAGTGCTGGGATTATAGGCCTGAGCCACTGTGCCCGGCCCCACAGCATATTTTAAAAGTAGTTTTTAGGTATTGTCTATTTAAAATTTTTTAAAATATTTTTTAACTTTTTTTAGAGATGTGGTCTCACTGTGTCACCTAGGCTGGATTACAGTGGCATGATCATAGCTCACTGCAGCCTGAACCTTCTGGGCTCAAGTGATCCTCCTGCGTTAGCTACCCTAGTAGATGGGACTACAGGCACACACCACCACGTCCAACTAATTTTTATTTCTTGTAGAGATGGGGTCTTGCTATGTTGCCTAGGCTGGTCTCAAACCCTGGGTTCCAACCATCCTCCTGCCTAGGCATCCCAGAGTGCTGGGATTACAGGTATGAGCCACTATGCCTGACCTGAGATTTTTTTTCCTTTTTTTTTTTTTAAGACAGGGTCTAACTCTGTTTTCACCCAGGCTGGAGTGCAGTGGCACAATCAGTTCACTGCAGCCTCGAACTGCTGGGCTCAAGAAGTCCTCCTGCCTCAGCAGCCTAAGTAGATGGAACCATAGGCGTGCACCACCATGCCTGGCTAATTCTTTTATGTTTTTGGTAGAGAATGGTTCCCGCTATGTTGCCCAGGCTGGTCTCAAACCCCTGGCCTCAAGCAATCCTTCTGCCTTGGTCACACAAAGTGCTTAGGATTACAGGCAAGACATGTCTGGTCTTAAGTTGTTTATATTAGAGATTTTATTTAAGATAATTTTGGCTGGGTGTGGTGGCTCACGCCTTTAATCCCAGCACTTTGGGAGGCTGAGGCAGGCGGATCACCTGAGGTCAGGAGTTTGAGACCAGCCTGGCCAACATGATGAAACCCCATCTCTGCTAAAAATACAAAAATTAGCCAGGCGTGGTGGTTCGCACCTGTAATTCCAGCTACTCAGGAGAATTGCTTGAACCCGGGAGGCAGAGGCTGCAGTGAGCCGAGATTACACCACCACACTCTAGCCTGGGCGATAGAGTGAGACAATGTCTCAAAAAAAAAAAAAAGAAAAAGATAATTAATACAATGTCTAAAAGATAATTTTATTGTAAATATATTGGGTATGTTTGAGAAGATGGCTTTCCAGGTTCTCGCATGACTGCTGTAGCATGTATGCCCCCAGATGTGTCATTTGTCCCTGAACAAGGCCAAGTGAGATCTTCAAGGACAGCAGGCAAAATTCCCTTTAGCTTTCAAGTGTCTGATCCAGCCTTCAAATCCTACACCTAATGATGCTCTCTTCCAAAGGGCCCCTTATCTGTGTTTTTGGCTAACAAGCAGTAGACGCCTCCTCGAAGCATCCCCTTCACTGCAGAAGAAGGGGACTTGGGGTTCACCTTAAGAGGGAATGCCCCCATTGAGGTTCACTTCCTGGATCCTTACTGCTCTTCCTCGGTAAGCACATGCTTTTCTTGGTTGGCAGCAAACACAGATATCTGGGTGATTGAATTTAGGGCGGGTTCACCCATGTCAAAGGCCTGACTTGATGTGAAAGGCCTCATGGGTGCTACAGTCCCTAAAAGAAAAGGATTAATTTTTACTGTCTTTTTTTTGTTTTTAGTTTTTTTTAGACGTTGGGAGGTGGACGTTGCAGTGAGTCCTGATTGTGCAGTGGCACGATCTCAGGGCTCAGTGCAGCTTCTGCTTCCTGGGTTCTAGTGATTCTCCTGTCTCAGCTTCCTGAGTAGCTGGGATTACAGGCACGTGCCACCACACTCAGCTAATTTTAGTTTTTGTTTTTGTTTTTTGAGACACATTTTTGCTCTGTCGCCCAGGCTGGAGTGCAGTGGCGCAATCTTGGTTCACTGCAACCTCCACCTCCTGGGTTCAAGTAATTCTTCTGCCTCCGCCTGCTGAGTAGCTGGGATTACAGGTGTGTGTCACCATGCCCAGCTAATTTTTTGTGTGTTTTTAGTAGAGACGGGGTTTCACCGTGTTAGCCAGGATGGTCTTGATCTCCTGATCTTGTGATCTGCCCACCTCGGCCTCCCAAAGTGCTGGGATTACAAGTGTGAGCTACCTGGCCCGGCCTAATTTTTGTATTTTTAGTAGAAACGGGGTTTTGCCATGTTGGCCAGGCTGGTCTCGAACTCCTGGCCTCAAATATTCTGTCTGCCTTGGCCTCCCAGAGTGCTAGGATTATAGGCGTGAGCCACTGTGCCTGGCCAATTTTGACTTTTTTTTTTTTTAATTGCACCCAGGCTGGAGGGCAGTGGCACGATCTCGGCTTACTGCAATGTCTGCCTCCCGGGTTCAAGCAATTCTCCTGCCTCAGCCTCCCAGGTAGCTAGGACTACAGGTGCCCACCACCACACCTGGCTGATTATTGTATTTTTAGTAGAGATGGGCTTCACCGTGTTGTTCAGGCTGGTCTTGAACTACTGACCTCAAGTGATCTACCCGTCTCAGCCACCCAACGTGAATTTTTGCTTTCTTGATGTGAACTTACGCAAATACCTATTTTGTTAATGGGGACTGATTCAAGGATTTGAGTGAACAAAACGTTGACTTATTTTCAACAATACTTTTTCAGGTGGCAGGAGCCCGGGAAGGAGATTATATTGTCTCCATTCAGCTTGTGGATTGTAAGTGGCTGATGGTGAGTGAGGTTATGAAGCTGCTGAAGAGCTTTGGCGAGGACAAGATCGAGATGAAAGCCGTGAGCCTCCTGGACTCCACATCATCCGTGGTGAGCACTGACACCTCCCTGGGCAGTCAGTAGTGGCGTGGAGTGAAATCTACATGAGTTCAGCCCCAGGGTTGTTTACCAGACCCTCTGTCTCCTGCCTGTGTAACATGGTACAAATGACTGGACTCCCAGGCTTGTAATCACTGTAATGTGCTCACCTTGGGTCAAAGAGAAAATTGGCAAACTGTTTCTTTTTAAAGACAGGGTCTTGCCCTATTGCCCAGGCTGGTTTGCAGTGGTATGATCATGGCTTACTGCAGCCTCTATCTCCTCGGTTTAAGTGATCCTCCCACTTCAGCCACACAAGCAGCTGGAATTATAGGCACCCACTACCACCCCTGGCTCATTCTTTATTTATTTATTTATTCATTTTTTATTTTATTTTTTTTTTGAGACGGAGTCTCGCACTGTCGCCCAGGCTGGAGTGCAGTTGTGCAATCTTGGCTCACTGCAAGCTCTGCCTCCCAGGTTCACGCCATTCTTCTGCCTCAGCCTCCCAAGTAGCTAGGACTACAGGTGCCTGCCAACGCGCCTGGCTAATTTTTTGTATTTTTAGTAGAGATGGGGTCTCACCGTGTTAGCCAGGATGGTCTCGATCTCCTGACCTCGTGATCCACCCACCTCGGCCTCCCAGAGTGCTGGGATTACAGGTGTGAGCCACCATGCCCAGCCCATTCTTTATTTTTTGTAGAGACAGGTTCTCGCTGTGTTGCCAAGACTGGTCTTGAACTCCTGGGCTCAAGCCATCCTCTGACCTTGGCCTCCCAAAGTGCTGGGATTACAGGTGTGAGCCACTGCACCCTGCTAGCAAACTTTTAAAAATATCCTGTGGATAAAATAATCAACTGATCTATTTTTCTGATCAAATTGTTTAATTACAAAAGTAATACATACTCAGTGAAAAAAACAAAAAACAAAAAAAATTCTAATGGTACAGAAGAGCTTAAGACGACCTGTGAAAGTTAAGACAATCCCTCTGTATGCCCTAGAGGCAGTGTCAGCCATGTTCTGGGAGATTTGGGAAGCATTTGAGTCTCTCAAGTTCACCTGCACAGTTACCACCTTTAATTTTCCCCATGTGAGGCCGGGCACGGTGCTCATGTTTGTAATCTGAGTACTTTTGGAGGCTGAGGTGTGTGGATTGCTTGAAGTCAGGAGTTCAAGACAAGCCTGACCAACAAGGCAAACCCTGTCTCTACTGAAAATATAAAAATTAGCTGGGCATGGTGGTGCACGCCTGTAACCCCAGCTACTCAGGAGGCTGAGGCAGGAGAATAGTTTGGGAGGTGGAAGTTGCAGTGAGTGGAGATTGCGCCATTGCACTCCAGCCTGGGCCAACAGAGTGAGACTGTCTGCAAAAAAACCCTAAAATTTTCCCCAAGTGCTAGGGTTCATGCCACACTTAATGACGTTCTCCTCTGCACTTTGCCACACTTAATGACGTACCCTCGACCTTCCCTCTGTAACAACACTCATTTATTCATTCAACAAATATTGATTGAGGATCAATTGGGTGCCAGACACTCTCTTAGGTGTCAGAGCTCCAGTTTACATTACACAGGTAAGGTCCCTGCCCCTCCCCACGAAGCTGGCACTAAGTCAGTAAATAAATGGTCAGGATTTTGATAAGTGTTGTAAAGGAAAAAAGACCTGTAATGGGGTGGAATGACTGGAGAGGAGGCGAGGCTCTATCTAGGCAGGGCTGGAACAGACATGAGAGTGACCAGGAGGTTCGAGCCAGTTGCAGAGAGACAAGAAAGGCCTTCTGGGCAGGGGCACCTACAGGTACAGGGCCCCTGCAGCAGAATAAGCTTCTCCTACCAGAGAGGCAAAAGGAAGGCCTTTTGGCCAGAGCACCAGGACAAGGAAGGGAGCCGTGGGAAGTGAGGTAGGAAGGAGGCCTTGGCGGCAGTGGTGGGAGCTTGGAAGCCACTGAGCATTTTCAGAAGGGGAACGGCGTGGTGTGATGTTTGTTTTAGAAGGGCGTCTGCTGCCGGAGACTGGCCATGGCAGTTGTCCAGGCTGGTGAAGTTAGTGGCTGAGGTGATGGGGGTGGCTGTAGAGTTGGAGAGACATGAGTGTCCCTGGGACATAGTTTGGAGGTAGAGCTGATGGGGGATTTGTGGATGATTTGTGTAAAGGAGACAGTGAACAGGGAGGTGAGGCCTCAGTTTTTGGCTTGATCAATCTCATGGGTAGTGGTTATTTTTCTACCTTTAATTTCATTTTTCTCTTGTTGTTTTTTTGTTTGTTTTTTGTTTTGTTTTGTTTTGTTTTTGAGACAGGGTCTTACTCTGTTGCTTGCCTGGAATGCAGTGGTGCAATCATAGCTCACTATAGCCTTGACTTCCTGGGCTGAGGCAATCCTTTTGCCTCAGCCTCCCGAGTAGCTGGAACTACAGGTGTGTACCACTATGCCTGGCTAATTTGTTTATTTACCTATTGTAATTTTTTTTTGGTAGAGATGGGGCCTTGATATATTGCCAAGGTTGGCCTCAAACTCCTGGCCTTAAGCGATCCTTCCACCTCCGCCTCCCAAAGTGTTGGGATTACAGGCATTAGCCACCATGCCCAGCCTGGTTATTTTTCATAATGATGGGTAATGGGTGTGAGGGAGGTGAAGGAGAGAGAAATCAAGAGTCATGTTTTGAATGTTTCAGATGCTATTAGCAGTCAGACATAAGCATAAAGGAGGAGACTGGATGTGAAGTCTTCAGTTCGAGGAAGAAATCAGAGCTAGAAATAAATATTTGAGAATCATTGCACATGGATGATATTTGAGGCTGTGAGACAAAATGCAGCTCCCTGCAAGGGGGCTAGGGCTGAGGGCTAAACATTTAGAGGTCAGTTGGAAGAGAAGCAAGTGCAAAGAAAATGCAGGAGAGTTCAGAGATGTCGGAGGAAAGGAGCTTCTCAAATTAAGAGGAGAAAGCTCTGCAGGAGAGAGTGATGGGTTGCATTGAATGCAGTTGAGAGGTGGAGAATGAGGTTGGCTTAGCTGTGCCTATTGTATTTGGCAGCAGGATGAAAAGACACTTTGGTGGAGAGGTGGCAACAGAAGTCAGTTGAGAGAGGGCCAGAGAGCCAATGGATTTTGAGTCCGTGGATATGAAATGCTCAGCATAGGCAAATCCAGAGACAGAAAGTAGATGCTGCTGGGGCTGGGCAATGGGAGTGGGGAGGGACTGCTGAAGGGTCATAAGGTAGAAGGTTTCTTTTTGGGGGGATGGAAATATTCTGAAATTAGGTAGTATGATGGTCACCTAACTTTGTGAATATACTAAAAAATCACTGATGTTTTGGCATACTGGCTCACACCTGTAATTCCAGCACTTTGAGAGGCTGAGGCAGTATGTTCGCTTGAGCCCAGGAGTTTGAGACCAGCCTGGGCAACATGGCGAGACCGTGTCTCTACAAAAAATAAAAAAAATTAGCATGGCATGGTGGCACACACCTGTAGTCCCAGCTGCTTGGGGGGCTGAGGCCGGAGGATCACTTGAGCCCAGGGAGGTTGGGGCTGCAGGGAGCTATGATTGTACCACTGCACTCCAGCCTGGGTGTCAGAGCAAGACCCTGTCTCAAAAATAATAAATAAAAGCCACAGAAGGGTATTAAAATGGTGAATTTTATGCATGTATGTGAATTATATCTCAAAAAAATTTTTTTTTTTTGAGACGGAGTCTTGCACTATCGCCCAGGCTGGAGTGCAGTGGCGTGATCTTGGCTCACTGCAACCTCTGCCTCCAGGATTCAAGTGAATCTCCTGCCTCAGCTTCCCGAGTGGCTGGGATTATAGGCGGGCACCGCTATGCCTGGCTAATTTTTGTATTTTTAGTGGAGACAGGGTTTCGCCATATTGGTCAGGCTGGTCTCAAACTCCTGACCTCGTGATCCATCCACCTCGGCCTCCCGAAGTACTGGGATTATAGGCGTGAGCCACTGCACCTGATATACTTCAAATTTTAAAAGAAGATAAAGTCAAGGGACGCAGAGCATCTTGGGAGAAGGGATCATAAGAAATTATATTTTTAGGGACAAAACGCATGGAGTTTATGGACAAGTGATTAAGGTCCGCAGCAGAAACAGAAAAGAAGTTTGTCCAAAAGGAGGTTAGAGAAAAGAGCCGAGCCACATACTGAAGGTTGGAGTAGGGACCCCGTCAGCAGAGGCCTGAGTTTATGGGGCATGCCCTGCCCCCTGTGAGAGGTGCAAAGGCTTGACTTTCAAGCCTGTGACATCTTTACACCAGGCCAAGGAAGGGGCTGCTGTAGTAGCTAAAAGCAAGGGTTCTGCACTGAGACAGTCTAGATGTGTATCCTGGCTTTCCACCACCGTTGTGTGGCCTTCAGCAAGTCAGTGAATAGCTGTGAGCCTCAGGATAAACTGAGTTTACATAAAGCCCTTCCAAGAGGGCCAAACATGAGCTGCATTTCAATTCACAATAAGCATTATAATGATGATAACCATGATCATGATGTTTATTCTTTTCACCCAGCAGGATGTCTTTAATTTTTTTAAAAATAATGTTTTTAGGCCGGGCGCAGTGGCTCACGCCTGTAATCCCAGGACTTTGGGAGGCTGAGACGGGTGGATCACGAGGTCAGGAGATCGAAACCATCCTGGCTAACACGGTGAAACCCCATCTCTACTAAAAATTAGCTGGGCGTGGTGGCAGGTGCCTGTAGTCCCAGCTCCTTGGGAGGCTGAGGCAGGAGAATGGCGTGAAACCAGGAGGCGGAGCTTGCAGTGAGCTGAGATCGTGCCACTGCACTCCAGCCTGAGGGACAGAGCGAGACTCCGTCTCAAAAAAAAAAAAATGTTTTTAGGCTGGGCACAGTGGTTCACTCCTATAATCCTAGCACTTTGGGAGGCCGAGGCAGGCAGATCACTTGAAGCCAGGAGTTCGAGGCCATCCTGGCCAACATGGCAAAACCCTGTCTCTACTAAAAATACAATAATTAGCGGGATGTGGTGGTGCATACCTGCAATCCCAGCTACGTGGGAGGCTGAGGCATAAGAATCGCTTGAGCCTGGGAGGCAGAGGTTGCAGTGAGCCGAGATCATGCCACTGTACTCCAGCTGGGGCGACAGAGTAAGACCCTGTGTAGAAAAAAAAAAGTTTGCTTTTTGTTTTGAGACAGGGTCTCGCTCTCATTGCCCTGGCACGATCTTGGCTCACTGTGGCCTTTACTCTTGGGCTTAAGTGATCCCCCCACCTCCACTTCCTGAGTAGCTAGGACTACAGTCATGCAACACCATACTCAGCTAATTTTTCATATTTTTTTGTAGAGATGGGGCTTCACCGTGTTGCCCTAGCTGTTCTCTAACTTCTAAGCTCAAGAAATCCACCTACCTTGCCTCCCAAAGTGCTGGGATTACAGGCATGAGCCAGCATGCCCGGCCAAATAATTTCTTTTGTTGTTGTTTTTTGTTTTGTTTTGTTTGTTTTGAGACAGGGTCTCACTCAGTTGCCCAGGCTGGAGGGCAATAGTGCAATCATAGTTCACTACAGCCTCGAGTTCTAGGGCTCAAAAGATCCTCCCTTCTCATCATCTGAGGTCAGGAATTCTAGACCAGCCTGGTCAACATGGTGAAACCCTGGGTGTGGAGGTGGTGGGTGCCTGTAATCCCAGCTACTTGGGCAGCCAAGGCAGGAGAATTGTTTGAACCCAGGAGGCAGAGGTTGCAGTGAGCCGAGATCATGCCACTGCACTCCAGCCTGGGCAAGAGAGGGAGACTCCATCTCAAAAAAAAAAAAAAAAAAAAAGATCCTCCCAAGTAGCTGGGACTACAGGTGTGCACCACTATACCCAGCTAATTTTTAATTTTTTTTGCAGTGACAGTCTCATTTTGTTGCCCAGCCTGGTCCCAGACTCCTGGGCTTAAGCAATCTTCCTGCCTCCGCCTCCCAAAGTGTTAGGATTACAGGAATGAGCCAGTGCACCAGGCCAAAAGTAATTTCCTTTTGTCTTTTATTTAACTAATTTTGTAGTGATGGGGTCTAACTGAGTTATCCAAGCTGATCTTGAATTCCTAGCCTCAAGAGACCCTCTTGAATCAGCCTCCCAAATAGTTGGGATTACAGGTGTGAGACACTGTACCTGGCTCTTTTTTTTGTTTTTGGAGATAGAGTCTTGCTCTTGTCATCCAGGCTGGAGTGCAGTGGTACAATCTTGGCTCACTGCAACCTCCGCTTCCCGGGTTCAAGCAATTCTCCTGCCTCAGCCTCCCGAGTAGCTGGGATTACAGGCACCCACCATGATGCCTGGCTAATTTTTGTATTTTTAATAGAGATGGAGTTTCACCACATTGGCCAGGCTGATCTTGAATTCCTGGCTTCCGGTGATCAGCCTGCCTTGGCCTCCTTAAAGTGCTGGGATTACAGGAGTGAGCCACCATGCCCAGCCCCTGGCTTTTTAAAAATAATTTTTAAAAAATAATTTGTCTATTAATTTTTATGATAAGGATTTTAGATAATGACAGCCAAGCACTGTTTTTAGTGACTGAACCTTTCAAACAAAATCAAATAAAGAGAGCATCTATCCTAGCACTCTGGCTGAACCGATGACCTGCTGCCCTTGGCTACCCTCTTGACTACAGTGGGGATCCCTAGCTGGACAAATCTAAGCTTGGAATCAAGCTCTGGAATTAGGCCCTGACTGCCGTTCACAAGCTGTGTTACCTTCAGCACGTTCATACCCTCCCTGGGCCTCGGTTTTCTCATCCAGAGGATGGAAGAGTTAGGCCTACACAGTGGTTTTAAACTGTGCTCTATAAAGTCCTAAGAGTTCTAGAGGGATACCCCAGTGGATTTGAGTGAGGAGTGGGTGGCGTGGAAAGAAATAGTAAATGGAGCTGGGCACAGTGGCTCAAGCCTGTAATCCCAGCACTTTGGGAGGCTGAGGCAGGTGGATCACTTGAGGCCAGAAGTTGAAGACCAACCTGGCCAACATGGTGAAACCCTGACTCTACTAAAAATACAAAAATTATCTGGGCATGGTGGCATGTGCCTGTAATCCCAGCTACTTGGGAGGCTGAGGCAGGAAAATCACTTGAACCTGGAGGTGGATGTTGCAGTGAGCCAAGATTGGGCCACTGCACTCCAGCCTGGTGACAGCAAGACTCTGTCTCAAAAAAAAAAAAGGCTTTTCAAAGAAAGTAGTGGTACACATTGCAGGAGTGAGAGAGAGTGTATGTGGGTATGATACTGGGGTGGACCTGGAGGGGAATAGGGTCAAGAAAGGCTTTACTTTTTTTTTTTGAGACAGAGTCTCACTCTTTCACCCAGGCTGGAATGCAGTGAGTGGCGCTATCTCAGCTCACTGCAAGCTTCACCTCCTGGTTCACACCATTCTCCTGCCTCAGCCTCCCGAGTAGCTGGGACTACAGGTGCCTGCCACCACGCCCGGCTATTTTTTTGTATTTTTAGTAGAGGCGGGTTTCACTGTGTTAGCCAGGATGGTCTCAATCTCGTGACCTTATGATCCGCCCGCCTTGGCTTCCCAAAGTGCTGGGATTACAGGCGTGAGCCACTGCGCCCGGCCAAGAAAGGCTTTTCAAAGAATGTGATGGTACGCATTGCAGGAGTGTGTGTGTGTGTTTGTGTGTAGAGAGAGGGGTGTGTGTGTGTGTGTGTAGAGAGGGGTGCGTGTAGAGAGAGGGGTGTGTGTGTGTGTGTGTGTGTGTGTGTAGAGAGAGAGGGGTGTGTGTGTGTGTAGGGAGAGGGGTGTGTGTGTGTAGAGAGAGGGGTGTGTGTGTATGTGTGTGTGTGTGTGTGTGTGTAGAGATCTGGGAGGCAAGGGTGCCTGGAGGAGAGAGGGAATGGGATCCAGGCACACAGAAGGGCTTGGTCTTGGGGGACGGATGCCATGAAGTATACGGCAGGGATTTCAGGAGGGTGCGTGAGTGGCTTCAGGAGGAGAGTGAAGATAAGAAACAAGAATACAGGAGAAAAGGAAATGAAATTACTAGGGACACACAAGAGTGCCAGGAAATGGGTGCCTATTAGAGGTTTGGGGTCAGGTTAGAATTCCAAGGGAAGCCTTGGTGAGTGTCCTCCAGCAATGAACAACCTTTCAGATACAGGCCCTAGGGGAGGCAGAGGGTGGAGATGAGCGAGTTAGCATTGCTGGGGGCAGATGGAAGAGAACTGAGGGTATTTATAAGGCAGTGGTTTTGATACACAATGGACTTTGAGCAGCTGAGGGTTGGGAAATTCTTTCAGGCCTCACATCTGTCTCCAGGATTATTCGTTTTATTATTGTTTTAAATGACATTGTGTAAAACATGGTGGAGTTAGTGGTCAGTTTTCCAGAAAAGGAAGAGGCATCTCCATCCTTAGGGGCTCAAAGTACCCCCTACTTTATTGCTGCATAACTCAGATTCCTGAGGGTTTATTTTATTTATTTATTCATTATTTATTTATTTTTGGCGATAGAGTCTCACTCCATCGCCCAGGCTGGAGTGCAGTGATGTGATCTTGGCTCACTGCAACCTCTGCCTCCTGGGTTCAAGTGATTCTTCTGCCTCAGCTCCTGAGTAGCTGGGATTGCAGGTGTGCACCACCACACCCGGCTAATTTTTGTATTTTTAGTAGAGATGGAGTTTCACCATGTTGGCCACCAGGGTCTGGAACCCCTGGCCTCAAGTGATCCACCCACCTCAGCCTTCCAAAGTATTGGGATTACAGGTGTAAGACACTGTGCCCGGCCCCTCTTAGGGTTTATATTAGGAACAATGTCCTCAACTATTGCAGCGATATATTGTATGCCTAATTTTAGTGCCAGAACATAGTAGACCATCAATAAACATGTGGCGAACTAAACAATCTCAATATTAGGCAAACCTTAGAAGCTGGCGATAGCCCATGTGGAAGTCTTCAGAAAGCAAGCTTCCTTAGATTTCCAGTTTGAATCCTACATGATTCTTGGAAAGTTAATAGTAGAGAGTGTTTAATTGTACAAAGTTTCAGCTGAGGAAGATGAAAAAGTTTTAGAGATGGATGGTGGCAGTGGAGCATAATGATGTGAATGTAGTTAATGCCACTGAACTCTACACTTGAAAATGATGAAAATGGCACTCCAGCCTGGGCGACAGAGCGAGACTCCGTCTTAAAAAAAAAAAAAAGAAAAAAAGAAAAAAGAAAATCAGGTGTAGAATAGTGTAGTTTATTCCTTTTAAGAAAATGAATGGTAATATATTTATGTACATACAAAAATACCTGTACATGCACATCATCTCTAGAAGTATAACATGGAGGGCCTAGAAGCCCAGGTGACAGGGAGACCTATTGCTCACTGCATATTCTTTTTTTTTTCCTTCCCTTCCCCTCTTCCCTTCCCTTCTCCTCTTCCCTTTCCTTTCCCCTCTTCCCTTCCCCCCTGCCCTTTTTTTTTTTTGAGACAGAGGTCTCACTCTGTTGCCCAGGCTGGAGTGCAGTGGCACAGTCACAGCTCACTATACCCTCAACCTCCTGGGCTCAAGCAATCCTCCCCTCTGAGCCTCCCAGGTAGCTGGGACTGTAGTCATGAGCCACCGCACCCCACCCTGTACTTTCATATTCGTGACCATTAGTAATTATTACTTTCTCAAATAGAAGAAGAACCTTAAAATGTGAGTTGTGGCTCCTAAGCTTAAATTTTTACTATTGAGTACATTCCTTAAAAATTATCCTTGTTGGGCTGGGCGCAGTGGCTCATGCTTGTAATTCTAGCACTTTGGGAGGCCGAGGCAGGTGGATCACGAGGTCAGGAGATCAAGACCATGGTGAAACCCCTTTCTACTAAAAATACAAAAAATTAGCCAGGTGTGGTGGTGGGCGTCTGTAGTCCCAGCTACTCAGAGAGGCTGAGGCAGGAGAATGGCATTAACCCGGGAGGTGGAGCTTGCAGTGAGCCGAGATCGTGCCACTGCACTCCAGCCTGGGTGACAGAGTGAGACTCCGTCTTAAAAAAAAAAACAAAAACAAAAAACAAACAAACAAAAAATTATCCTTGTTGCACCTGGTGGCACACACCTAGAGCCCCAGCTACTCAGGAGGCCAAGGCAGGAAGATCACTTGATCCCAGGAGTTCAAGACCAGTCTGGGCAACATAGCAAGACCCTGTCTCAAAAAAGAAAAACAGTTTGTCCTTGTTTTAAGAACCTAATTCTATATAAGCATTGGTCACCTGAGTTTCTGAATTATGTCTGTTTAATTTATTTTTTGGAGACAGAGTCCTGCTCTGTCGCCCAGGTTGGAGTGCAGTGGTGCGATCTCAGCTCACTGCAACCTCCACGTCCTGGGTTCAAGTGATTCTCGTGCCCAGCCTCGCAAGCAGCTGGGACTACAGACATCTACCACCACACCTGGTTAATTTTTGTATTTTAGTAGAGATGGGGTTTCACCATGTTGGCCAGGCTGGTCTTGGACTCCTGACCTCAAGTGATCCACCTTCTTCAACCTCCCAAAGTGTTGGGATTACATGTGTGAGCCACTGCGCCTGGCCAGACTTTGTAGTTTGTATCATCTATCTTGATGATGCCTGACGCCCTTTTTCTTTCTTTTCTATGTGCAGCATAATAAGAGTGCCACATACTCCGTGGGAATGCAGAAAACGTACTCCATGATCTGCTTAGCCATTGATGATGATGACAAAACTGATAAAACCCAGAAAATCTCCAAGAAGCTTTCCTTCCTGAGTTGGGGCACCAGAAAGAACAGACAGAAGTCAGCCAGCAACTTGTGCCTCCCATCGGTCGGGGCTGCACGGCCTCAGGTCAAGAAGAAGCTGCCCTCCCCTTTCAGCCTTCTCAACTCAGACAGTTCTTCATACTAATGTGAGGAAACAAACACGTTCAGGCCCCGAACATTTCCGGTGCTGACTCAGCCTTAAACATTTGTGCCATAATGGAAAATATCTATCTATTCTCAAATCCTGTTTTTCTCATAGTGTAAACTCACATTTGATGTGTTTTTATGAAGGAAAGTAACCAAGAAACCTCTAGGAATTAGTGAAAAAAGAACGTTTTTGAGGCCTGTTACTATATTGCTATAAGTTATTTATTATATAAAGTATTGTAAATAGAATAGTGTTGAAGATATGAAATACGTCTATTTTTAATGGTGACAATTATGACTTTTAGTCACTATTAAATTGGGGTTACCTATAATAGTACAATTTGTAGTTGTTTCCAGGTTTGGCTAATAATCATTCCTTAACCTAGAATTCAGATGATCCTGGAATTAAGGCAGGTCAGAGGACTATAATGATAGAATTAAATTGGTGTCACTAAAAACTGTCCCAAAGTGCTGCTTCCTAATAGGAATTCATTAACCTAAAACAAGATGTTACTATTATATCGATATACTATGAGTGCTATTTCTAGAAAAAGTCTAGTGCCAAATTTGTCTTATTAAATAAAAACAATGTAGGAGCAGCTTTTCTTCTAGTTTGATGTCATTTAAGAATTGCTAACACAGTGGCAGTGTTAGATGAAGATGCTGTCTACAAGGTAGATAATATACTGTTTGATACTCAAAACATTTTTCATTTTGTTTAAAGTAGAAGTTACATAATTCTATATTTTAAGTCTTGGGTAAAAAAGTAGTTTTACATTTTATAAAGTAAAGATGTAAATGATTCAGGTTTAAAGCTCTATTTGACTTTTTTGTTGTTGTTTGAGATAGAGTCTTGCTAGTGTCAATAGCAAAAGCCTTCTAGCTATCTGCCTTTCAGGTACATGGTGGGGCATACTTAACTGTTTTCTCTGATGTTGGGCATAGCATGGACCTACTTGGTTCAATATCTGACACTATTTGCATTTATTGACACTATCTGCGTTGATTTGTGCTATTTCCTGTGTGTGATTTGCACGTCTGTCATTGCTTTTTGTCTCTAGTTACTGCTTTCTTTTCCTGTTTGTCTTGTTCTTGTAGGACCCTTTCTGACTCTCTCAAGAGGGACCTTTTCAACCCCAACTCCCACTGGTCTAATCCTAACCAGCACCAGCTGGTTGGGAAGTAGAGCAGGAACTCTGGCTGCCCTAATCTACATGGTGCTCTCTGCTCCTGGGCAGGGGTGTGGGTGTTTTTATATAGTATTCTCTTGAGTATGAAATGCCTGAACAAAGCAGTGATTTGGCAAGCCTGAAGTCACACACTGGGGCTCGTAGTAACTTGCTTCTGCTAGCAACGTGAGCATTAGAAACATTTCCTGGCCAAGTAGCCTTGAATCAGCTAGGAGTAGGGGTGCAATGAGTCTGAGTTCACTTTGCTCAGGGTGACAAGGCTTTAGAGTATTGGTTAATTGTCAAACTCTTTTGTTTAAGAGACAAGGTAAACATTCATACATATATACATAGAGAAGCTTTCTAGGGTTACTTAGGCTTTATGTGATTACTAGCAGAAATGTTTGTATTTGCAAGCAAAGCTTATAAATCACCTCTTAGATATCTTTGCAAAATGAAGCTAAAACATGGTTTAAAGAATCAAAAATATAAGATATTTACAATGATTTATAATTGAATCAGGAATGCATTTGGTATTTTTTAAAAGGAATAATTGGCTAAGATTTAAATTAATTTGCTTTCCTTAAAAACCCAGAGCCTAAACAATAGAAAGAAATAGGAACAGTTACACTGGGTGTGTGAGGGGTGGAGGGGGGGACCCAACTGGGACTGAAATTTCTTGGAGAAAATCTACAAAGTCGGCCAAGCACACATGGATTGTGTGACTTCATTTAGTTGGAGGAGAACTGAGCAACCCGCTGATCTCAAATGTCTTTCCCCAGGAGAAATAATCTCTCTTGTCTTGGAATGGCTGTAGCACTGAAAGTCTATTCCACCCTTGGCACTTACCTTAATCTATGTGGTAATATTATCTCTTTTAGAAATGTTTTTATCTCTTCATTATAACAATTATCTTTTTATATGCCTGACTTACCTAGGATGCTCATTCATTCCAGGTGGCCTGGAACAGTTCTGATTTGTGCCCGTTGCCATGGTTTAATTAATAGTGCCCCCTTTCACTCTCAGAAGTGTCCTGGCTTGGATGATAAATTATAAGGTACCCATAGTCTTATCCCAACTAAACAGAAAGTTCCTGTGTTAGTCAAGATCCCAGCAAGAAACAGAATATTATGTGGGGATTTTTGAAGAGATAAAAGTCCCTTTAATAAAGGGACTATTTACAGAAGTGTGAGCAGAGTTAAGAGCATCAAAAAAGGATGTTGAGGCACCAGGCCTGAAAAGGTAAAGGGAAGAAATGATGCCATTGAAGCTTACCTGGGGGGCACAGCTTTTGAAGAGGGGCTGCCCTAGAGAAGCCATAGTCCTGGAAGGGCTCAAACACTACAGAATGGGCCAAGCAAGGGAAGATATTCCCTACCACTGTCCTCCCACCCATCTATTACCTATCTGTGCCTTCTATTGGTTGAACCCAAATGCAAGCCAGAAGGCAAAGGAGCCCTGGTGATAAAGTTGGAAGGTGTTTGTTTCCTTGGGAAGAAGAGCAGGGAAAGGCAGAGAATGAATTGAGGGGGATCAGGGTATCTTGGGTCCTAGGGAAGTGGCAAACAGAAAATAAAGCTTCCTAAGGGGAGTCTCCTTGTCTTCAAGTCAATTAAAAACACATGTGTGCACACACGTGCAAAACACTACAGGAAAGGCCATGATTGGCAAGACTTGGCAGCTATTTAAGGGAGATATTCTCTACAATGGGGAACAAGAAATAAACTTAAGGAAGTTAAATTGCAGACTGAAGGTAAATAGCAGACTACAACAATATTATGCAGTATATGGTGATTGTCAGATTAATGGTGTAGGCCCTAGATGTTAAAGGAGTTTGAAGGATGAAAGATCACAATGGGCTGGAGCAATCTGAAAAAATAATTTATGGAAGAGGAGAGGTTTTCAGCAGCATTGAAATTAGAGCCAACTTATATGGGCAAGAAGGAGAGGTTGGTCTTCTTTGGGGCAATGGCATCAACAAGAGCACAGGTGTTAGCCTGAGACACAGCTTCCCATGGGTGGAGGGCTGGTGTTGTTTCTGAGATTTTCAAAAATCTTACAAACATTCCAGGCAAATACCTATGGAAGGGGCTAAAGGACATTAAATGGGCTGTAAGAGGTATAGGTTGTGGGTGGCCATTGATTCATTCCTTCAATAAACATTTATTGAATGCTTGGTATTGGTCAAGCCACTGTTCTGAGAGCTGCTGATGCCAAGTAAAATAAGACATGGTTCTTTCCCTTGAAGAAAGGGAATGGAAAAGGTAACCAAGGGAGAAAATAATTATTTTGCCTTGTGTCCAGATGAGGTTTTTCACATTCTTGGCTGGTCTTTTCACTCACTGCTTAAACTCTTTGGAGAGCCTTTACTCCCTTCAGGGGAAAGGATCGAGGCCCTTCCGATGTGGCCTTTTCTTGAGTCTCCAGCCCCATCTCTTACCACTCCTCCCAACACAGAGGTATGCACAGACGATATGCAAGCACACAGGAGATCATCTAAATGAGACTTGAGCAGAGAGTGATTAAGGAAGACTTCCTGGAGGAGGTAATGCAATCTGAATTCTGAAGTGTGAGCAGGGGCTTTGTAACGGTGTTTCCATTTATTTGTGTCTATCCTGATGCATTCTAAAAAGGAAGTAAGATGGTTGGCTTAAGAAATACACAGAGCAGGATAAAAAGAAAATTAGGTAAAACATAGGGTGAGCTTATTTGCCTTTTATGTACACTGCTGCATTTGATTTCAGAAAAGCTTTTTAAAGTTGCAGTTTTATTTTCATTTTCCAGATGAGGAAGCCAAGACCCAGTGGTTGAAGTACCTTGCCCAGAGCACACAGTCTTGACAGGCAGTGGAAGCAGAACAGAACCAAGCTGGTTTGGTACCAGTCTGTGAGTTTTCAGCTGTGTGCACTAGTATAAAAGATGTGCTTTACCAGTCTGTGAGTTTTCAGTTGTGTGCACTAGTATAAAAGATGTGCTTTACCAGTCTGTGAGTTTTCAGTTGTGTGCACTAGTATAAAAGATGTGCTTGTGACTTCCGTGGCTTACCTCCCTGCATAGAGCTCAAGGCCTGAAGGTGCTGCACGGGGCAGTAAAGGATGGCTGTGCACTTTGAAGACTGAAAAGTGAGTGAAGGGGGTGTGTTAGTCCATTCTCACACTGCTAATAAATACATACCCGAGACTGGGTAATTTATAAAGGAAAGAAGTTAATTGACTCACAGTTCAGCATGGCGTAGGAGGCCTCAGGAAACTTACAATCATGGTGGAAGGGGAAGAAAACGTGTCCTTCACATGGTGGCAGCAAGGTGAAGTGCTGAGCAAAGGGAGAGAAGCCCCTTATAAAACCATAAGATCTTGTGAGAACTCACGTTCACTACCATGAGAATGGCAGCATGAGGGTAATCACCCCCATGACTCAATTACCTCCTACCAGGTCCCTCCCACAACATGTGGGGATTATGGGAACTACAATTCAAGATGAGATTTGGGTGGGGACACAGCCAAACCATATCAGAGGGGAACTGGGAAAGGCATTTCAGGCAGAAGAGTCAGGGTGTTCAAAGCAAGCGGGGTGTGAAGGAGCATGGCATGTTGGAAGGATAGTAATTAGCTCATGATGGTTGGGAGTGTTAAGAGCACTGCTGAGAGATGGGGCTGGAGACAGAAGCAAGGGCCACATCTGAAGGGCTTCATATAGCCCTTGGCCTGAAGGGAGTGAAAATTCTTGAAGGAGTTTAAGCAGTGAGTGACAAGACTGAGAATGTTAAAAACCTCACTTGTACAGCAATGTAAGCAAGTCTAGGTCGGGAGGAGCCTGGAGGCTAAGAGGCCAGTTACAGGGCTTGCTGCAGTCATAGAACAACAAGATGGTAGAAATGATAAGGAGGGTGTTAGAGTTTGGGAGCTATTATGGAGAAACATTAGACAGAGGTGGGCCCCTGGATTGGGGATGGGTAAAGGTAACAAATTCTCACTTGGGCAGCCAGCGAGTTGATGCCATTCATGAGGCAGGGATGGTGGGGAAGAACCAGCTTGGTGCTTGAAGGTGATGAGTAGAGATGATGATGGTCATAAACAACTAATAAAGAAAATGAGCTTCACTTTTTTACCTTCTGTTCTGTCTAGTTGTTTAGTTTATTGAGGCCTTAGAAAAAAATATGACAGCCCCAGAGAAAATACTGTCAATAAAAGTTAAATGTATTTATTTTGATAAGACATTGTTTTTATTGCAAAAGTAATATATACACAGACAATTTAGAAATTACAGACAAGCCAAAGAAAATGTTGTTACACAAATGCAATGTTACAATGACTTGTAACACTTTGGTGTGTATCCTTTTTTTTTCTAAGCACATATGTGTAAATATATGCATTTTTAAAGGATTTCAGTAATGTTCTCATGATTAAATATATCATGCACATCCTTCTTTCTTTTCTTTCTTGCTTTTTTTTTTTTTGAGACATGGTCTAGCTCTGTCACCTGGGCTTGAATGTAGTGCAATTCTGGCTCACTTCAACCCCCATCTCTTGAGTTCAAGTGATCCTTCTGCCTCAGCCTCCCAAGTAGCTGGCACTACAGGTGTGCGCCACCATGCCCAGCTAATTTTTGTATTTTTTGTTGGGACAGGGTTTTGCCATGTTGCCTAGGCTTGTCTCAAACTCCTAGGCTCAAGTGATCCACCCACCTTGGCTTCCCAAAGTGTTGGGATTACAGGCATGAGCCACCATGGCTGGCACATGCACATCTTTCAATAACATTGGTAATTCTATAAGATCATTTTGGAGATTGCATGGTATTCCATTTATGAATGCACTGTCTCCTGTTCAACTATGTTTCTGCTGAAACATTTAGGTTGTTTCCATTTTTGTTTTTACTATTACAAACAAGTCTGCAGTAAAGTAATGAAAATTTAAATTTTCCAATTAACCTTTGGTTTTTAGTAGTGCAATTTAGTTTATGAAATTAAGTTTGGGCATGGTTTGTTTTTTTAAGTGGTTGTAGAAAGAAACAGATTTTTTTTTTTTTTGAGATGGAGTCTCACTCTGTCACCCAGGCTGGAGGGCAGTGGTGTAATCTCGGCTCACTGCAACCTCTGCTTCCCGGGTTCAAGCAATTCTCTGCCTCAGTCTCCCGAGTAGCTGAGATTACAGGCACCTGCCACCACACCCGGTTAATTTTTGTATTTTTAGTAGAGACGGGGTTTCACCATCTTGGCCACGCTGGTCTTGAACTCCTGACCTCGTTATCCACCTGCCTCAGCCTCCAAAAGTGCTGGGATTATAGGCGTGAGCCACCGCGCTTGGTGAAACAGTTGTTTTTAAATTGCTCTGAAAAAATATGTGGTCTCTCATTCTCATGTATGAGAGCAAACTGATATAAGGTATGGCTATTAAAAAGGAAGTATGGAAACTATCTGTCAGTTGAGTCATTCTTTAACTTTCAGTGAGGACAGAGACCACATTTTCTAATGAGATTCCTTTGCTTTAATGACTTTTTCAGTGTCTCCCCAAGGAGCATACAAAATTTTGTCAATTCTTCAAAATGATCTACAAATTGATAAACCTCATGAATAATTGCAATTGTAGTTAAATTCAACTTCCTTTTGATTGTGTACAATAAATTTTTTGCATACATCTTTAAAATTTTTTCCCTTAATTTAGCAGCAGACTTTGAGGATAGGAAACATATTATAGCTGACCTTTTTTAACTGATCATTGCCCTTTTCCTCAGAGTTCCTACTGACTCAACTCTGTGCTAGGTGTCTGCTCTCTCTGCCCTTGTCAAGCCTCTAATAGTCAAACATCTGAAATTCCTCTTTTCCAGTGAAGATGCTGCAGAGTACTTGGAAGAGAAAAGGAGATATTTCTGGCTTGTCTGGACAAGGTTAGACCCCCGATAGCAGCAGAAAAGGGATACGGGATGTCAGTGATAAATGGGTGGTCTCTGTTCAAACAATACAATGCATGCATTCTCCCATAGTGCTTGGAAAATCCCCAGTAGCTGTGTACTCCAGGCCATCCTGGTTGGATGTAGATACATTTCACCAGTCTCAGTACCCTTTTTCTTTCATAAATATCTTCTATTCTAAAAGAAAGTGAATAGAAAATACAAGCTAATCTCACACATAACCTAAGCGTAACATAAAGGAGAAATTTTAAAAATTTAATTTACAGTAAACATACATTTTAGCCAGATGCTTGTACTTATACCTAGAATCGTTGTGAATGTGACACCTACAAATGCAGACTGATACTGGAGTGATACATTGATGACTCAAATACCACAGGGGGCATCACCATTGGTATTGTAATTTTCCAGAATGATGAACTACAATGGGTTAAGTTATGTGTGAAGCAACATCCAGTTTTCCTTGCCTTTATAAAGTGCATTCCTAAAAATTCAGTGAAGCAACATCCAATTTTCTTTGCATTTATAAATTGTATTCCTAGAAAATTCAGTGCATTTAAAACTACTCAAAAGTATTTTGTGTTTTATGTGTAAATTAAAGTTAGATTTTAGGCTCACATCATTGTAAATAGGTTTTTCATCTACTTGAAAGACATTCAAAGCTCATGTCTGACATGAGACAGCTTTTTTTTTGCATGACTGACCCACATATTATTGGGCATCTCTAATCCCAGGACCCCAGCAAGTTGTACCCCATTCATTGTTAGAGCCAAAATACAAACAAACTAGGCCGGGCGTGGTGACTTAATGCCTGTAATCCCAGCACTTTGGGAAGCTGAGGCGGGCAGACCTGAGGTTGGGAATTTGAGACCAGCCTGTCTCTACTAAAAATACAAAAATCAGCTGGGCGTGGTGGCATGTGCCTGTAATCCTAGCTACTTGGGAGGCTGAGGCATGAGCACTGCTTGAACTTGGGAGGCAGAGGTTGCAGTGAGCTGAGATAACTCCTGCACTCAAGCCTGGGCGACAGAGTGAGACTCTGTCTCAAAAAAGAAAAATAAAGCAAAACCCCCAAATATTGACAAACTTACAAATTGTCCCTTTAGGTGGGTATAATTCCCCTGCCTTCACCTCAATCACTGGTTAAGCAGCTCCTGACTGTTTTTCTTTTTTGGACCTGGGAGGATTTTCCTCTGAGGTACAGAGAATTAGGTCAACTTGAGTCTGATTTAAAAAAAGTATTTATGTTAAAAATTGTGCACATATACACAATTATATATAACACAATATATAATGTTAAAAATATACATATAATAAAAGTTACCATTTAAACCATTTTAAATGTATAGTTCAGTGACATTAAACATTTACATTATTGTACAACCAATACCACTATCCATCTCCAGAACAGTTTTATCTTCTCCTCCTGGTTTTTTAAAGAAATCACAGACAGTAGTCTGTTTTGTCTCTCGTTTTCTTTTTTCTTTTTTTTTTTTTTTTTTGAGACAGAGTCTCACTCTGTCTCCAGGCTAGAGTGCAGTGATGTGATCTCAGCTCACTGCAACCTCCACCTCCTGGGTTCAAGCAATTCTTGTTCCTCAGCCTCCCGAGTAGCTGAGATTAGAGGCACCCGCCACCACACCCAGCTAATTTTTGTATTTTTAGTAGACAGGGGGTTTCACCATGTTGGCCAGGATGGCCTCAGTCTCCTGACCTCATGATCCAACTGCCTCGGCCTCCCAAAGTGTTGGGTTTATAGGCGTGAGCCACCACACCTGGCCTGTCTCTTGTTTTCTTAGGTCTTCTCATTGGCACTCATTCTGAGAATTGGTCTATTTCTTTTTTCTTTTTTTTCTTTTTTCTTTTTTTTTTTTTTGAGATGGAGTCTAGCTCTCTCACCCAGGCTGGAGTTCAGTGGCACGATCTTGGCTCACAGCAACCTCTGTCTCCCTAGTTCAAGTGATTCTTCTGCCTCAGCCTCCCAAGTAGCTGGGATTACAGGCAGCCGCCACCATGCCCAGCTAATTTTTGTATTTTTAGTAGAGACAGGGTTTCATTGTGTTGCCAGGCTGGTCTCGAGCTCCTGACCTTGTGATCCACCCACCTCACCCTCCCAGAGTGCTGGGATTACAAGCATGAGCTACTGCTCCCGGCCTGGTCTGTTTCTTGATTCTGATTAGGCCAGGTTTGTGACTCAACTTTTTGTCTCTGGTGAGGCTGTCATGCTCTGAGCTCTGCTTGTGCTGCTGACCATGCCTCTGCCCCCAGCCATATGGTAACCACACATGGCACCACCTCTCCGGCAGGCCCGGGCCTCCCCAGCTCTGTGGCTGTGTCCAGGACTGAGTCGCCCTATGACTCCTCTTCACTCTCCCTTCTGGAAAATTCATCTTTTCCTTGGCAGGTTACATCATAATTTCATATTCATTTGATCACTTCAGACATCCTATATTCAACTGTACAGTCCTGTTTTGTCTACACTTGTCTATCTGAAATCCTATGTTATTAGGCTGTGTGTCTGTTAGAAGAGGCAACTTGGCAGTGTGGAAAGAGCATTAGAACTGGAATCAGAGGACAGTGAGTAAAAAGTGAGAGGGCTGATCACTAGATAATCTGCAGCTTCAAAGAAAAAGTTAATACATTAATTTGTATAAAATATCATATCTGCCTACCTCATAGAACCTTCATAAGCATTGAATGCAAGTGAAAAATCGTAAAAGCATAAGGCATTATTATATAGCCCTTACTGTAATAAAAGATGCATAATACATGCTTTTTAAATGACAAAAGATATAATGGCATACACTACTAATTGGTAAAGAACATAAGGCTGGATAATAGAATCTGCAAACCCAGATATAGGCTGTTTTATTTAGTAGGGATGTAGTCTTCAATAAATGTTAAATGAACATATGTGCTCCAGAAAAGTTATTCAAAACCTTCATTTGGGGGTATTTAAAAGACAGTAACTCTCAGATATTTAGTGCTTGGAAGTCCACATAGATGTTCTGGAGCGTCAGCAGATGTGTGAGGTTGATTTCTGCCTGTTGTCATGAGAACACAGCTTGTCTTTATTGGCCTTTAGGAACATGACCCTAAAAATCAGCCTGACAGTGATATTCTTCTATGAAAAGAGAGACTACTACCCAAAGGAGCTCTAACAGGAGACCTGAGGAGTCAGATATGATCAGATGATCTGTTTCCATTTACAGAGTCCTGAAAATCTTTGAGGCTGGTAGCCGCAAGTCATAGTTCCAGCCAGTGCTGTGCTGAGCCATGTTGCAAAAGGAAGGATGTGTACTACATACTATATAACTGGATACATGATTTTACGTATTTTTAAAACCAGTTATTGGCGGCCAGGCGCAGTGGCTCATACCTGTAATCCCAGCACTTTGGGAGGCCGAGGCAGGTGGATCACCTGAGGTCAGGAGTTCATGACCAGCCTGGCTAACATTGATGAAACCCCATCTCTACTAAAAATACAAAAAAAATGAGCTGGGCATGGTGGCAAGCACCTGTAACCCCAGCTACTCGGGAGGCTGAGGCTGGAGAATCGCTTGAACCTAGGAGGTGGAGGTTGCAGTGAGCCGAGATGGCGCCATCACACTCCAGCCTGGGCAATAAGAGTGAAACTCTGTCTTGGAAAAAAAAAAGGTTATTGACTTAGATAAAAATATCACCTATGAGTTTGCTTCCATTAAAACCAGCAAAATAAATTTATAGTAAATTCTGATTTTGGTATAAATCAAATACTTAATGTGAGTTTTAATATATCTACTTTTCAATTGTTTCAATATTTTAAAACTAGTGTTCTGAAAAAATTGATATCTGCTTAAGGTATTATTTTTATTTTATTTTATTTTTTTTGAGATGGAGTCTCACTCTGTCGCCCAGGCTGGAATGCAGTGGCGCAAACTTGCAAGCTCCGCCTCCCGGGTTCACTCCATTTTCCTCCTCAGCCTCCTGAGTAGCTGGGACTACAGGCGCCCGCCACTGCGCCCAGCTAATTTTTTTCGTATTTTTAGTAGAGACGGGGTTTCACCGTGTTAGCCAGAATGTTCTCAATCTCCTGACCTCATGATCCATCTGCCTCGGCCTCCCAAAGTGCTGGGATTACAGGCGTGAGCCACCGCGCCCGGCCAAGGTATTATTACATAGAATTTATCATAATTAAACATCAAAAATACATAAAAAACATGTGAATAGGGTTGTATGTTTTTCTGTTGTAGGCTCCAATATGGCTTAACATGGCACTATCAGTTCTTGTTTTCATTTAAAATGTTATTTTGTTCTTTATGGATTTTTGCATTAATTTAGATTTTAAAAAATATTATATTAAAATATTATTTATCTTGACGACTGAGTTTTTGTGCCCCGCCCCTTATATTTTCTGCCTGAGGTTAGTGTTTCACTTGCCTGAACCTGTTCCTGGCCCTGGTCCCAACCCTCTATCCCAACAAACTATAATACAAAAACTGCTACAGGAATGAAAACTGTGCTCACTACGCTAGAGGAGATATTCAAATCCAACTAATTTCTCCACAATCCAAGTGAGTCCAGGAAGCAACATGTCAAGTGGGGCAGGGAATGTGAGCTTTAGGGCTAGACAGATCTGGAATTAAATCCTGCCTTGCCTCCTTATGAGTCTGAGTAATTACTTACCCAGTCTGAGCCTGTTTGCTTATTTTTAAAAGGATCAGTCATTTTTTAGTGAGAGTTAAACGAGATCGCTTGTGTAAAGCCTCTGTATTCAATGAATGTCCACCTGTCTGCTTCCCTATTTTAGAAATAGTAGATTGACTCACAAACACTGAGTTGCCCAAAGACTTGCTCCCGGAAGTGCTGGCATTGAAATTTGAACCCAGGTGTAGAGAAAGTCCCATGCTCTTCTCACTAAATTGCACTAATTCTAGCTGCTGCAGGGTTGCGTCTTTCTAAGGACATAATTCCTAGTTATACCAGCTACATCCCAGAGAACTTGGATAAGCAGCTCTGGAGCAGAGGTGGAATATGTAGCCCTTTGACCCGGCCATATACCACCAAAATATAAACATCAATGCAGAAATTAATGCCATCTCCTCTTTCTGACTCTACAAATATTTATTAGCAAGGGATAAGATTTCCGAAAGATCTGAAGAGAGTCAAGAAACTTTTTTCCCCCCTTTTCTTTAGAGGCAAGATCTCACCACGTTTTCTGGGCCAGTCTCGAACTCCTGGCCTTGTTACCATGGCAAATCCCACAGGTCTGCAGCAACCTCAATTCTCGTTTCCTCAGAAGAAATAATTTGACTGAGGGGCAGAAGGCAGAAGGAGATACTGAGGCAAGTTTTAGAGCAGAAGTGAAAGTTTATTAAAAAACTTCAGAGCAGGAATGAAAGGGAGGAAAACATACTTGGAAGAGGGCCAAGTGGGTGACCTGAAAGACAAGTGTGTGGTTTGACCTTTTGATTTGGGGTTTTATACATCAGCATACTTCCAGGATCTTGGGTTACTTCTCCCCACTCCTGAAAGCTTATCCAGAAGTTGATCAGTTTCAGGTGTTTTCTATTTATTGGGAGCCTGCCTTTCCCTAGCACCGGCTGGGACCAATTATTACTTTAGAGAGACAGTTAACAACCCCCTCGCCTGCCCAAGACTCCTGGGTTGGGGATGGGGGAACCCTCTCCTGCCCATTCCTTTCCTCTCCTGCCGACTCCTCGCCTCTCCTGCCCTGCCCTGCCCTGCTCCACCCATGTCTGACTAGCTACTTACTGTAACAGCCTCAAGCGATCCTCCCACGTTGGTCTCCCACAGTTCTGGCATTCTAGGTGTGAGCCACTGTGCCTGCCCTCAAGGAACTTGAATACTGTGCTTTTCAACATATGAGACAATTTGCAATTAGGAATTAGATATGTTTGTTAATTGTATGTATGCATTTTGGTATATTTCTTGTGATGATTGATATTTTATCTCATTTTAGAGGCAGATTGTATAGAATAAATTGAAATT
The DNA here is from genome assembly GCF_000001405.40 of Homo sapiens. NCBI lineage: Eukaryota > Metazoa > Chordata > Mammalia > Primates > Hominidae > Homo > Homo sapiens. Next base: position 33,635,617 of record NC_000016.10, read on the forward strand.
TGCCTAGTGATGGTGGAAAGCTTTGCATCTCTTTTAGGGGTGATTAGCTATGCTTACAATAAAACTGTGCATATATATATTTGGAACATCCTTATAATAAAAAAATAAGCAACCTACATGTCCAACAATAAAATAGTGTTTATATGAATTATGGCATACCATAGAATATTATGCTGTGATTAAACATGGTATTCCCAAAATATAAAATGAAAAAATGAGGACATAAGACTGTTTAATATGTATCTGGCTGGGTGCAGCAGCTCATGCCTGTAATCCCAGCAATTTGGGAGGCTAGGCAGGAGGACTGCTTGAGCCCAAAAGTTGGAGACCAGCCTGGGCAACATGGCAGAACCTTACCAAAATAATACAAAAATTAGCCAGGTGTGCTGGCTCGTGCCTGTGGTCCCAGTTACTCGAGAGGCTGAGGTGGAAGGACCCCTTGAGCCCAGGAGGCAGAGGTGCATTGAGAGCCATGTTCATGCCACTGCACTCCAGCCTGGGTGACAGAGTGAGACCCTGTCTCAAAAAAACAAAAAACAAAAACTGTATAATATAAATCTAACTCTGTAAAGTTTTTAAAAATGTACTTATGTAAATAGAGAAAACAACTAAGTAAAGATATTGAAATGTTGACGGTAATTAGTGATGGGATTATAGGTGACTTTTATTTTTTAAACAGTCTTTCATAGATTTTTCCAAAATGTCTATAAATTAACAAATATTATTTTTCTATAATTAAAAAATACTTTAAAATACAGTTTCTTTAATGGTGGAGTTTAAATGATATCCAAAATAGACCTGCCCAGTTTTATTTTGGAGCAAATAAATTTGACAATTAGAACAATTGCAATGTATGTTTTTATTTTTATTTTATTTTTACTTTTATTTTTTCTAAAGACAAGGTCTTGCTCTGTCACTCAGGCTGCATAATCATAGCTCACTGCAGCCTCAAACTCCTGGGCTCAAGCGATCCTGCTGCCTTAACCTCCCAAGCAGCTAGGACTACAGGCGCATGCCACCAGGCCCAGCTACTTTTAAAAATTTTTGTAGAGACAGGATTTTGCTATGTTGCCCAGGCTGGTCATGAACTTTTGGCCTCAAGCAATCCTCACTGCCCCACCTCCCAAAATACTGGGATTACAGATGTGAGCCACCACACTTGGCTTCAATGTATGTCTAAATAGTCATACAAACCTTTAAGTAAAGGAAATTTTTTTAACTTTTTTTTTTTTTTTTAAAGACAGGGTCTTGCTTTGTTGCCTAGGAGTGCAGTGGCTCTTCACAGGTGTGATCACAGTGCACTCTGGCCTAGAACTCCTGGCTTCAAGCCATCCTCTCTTCTTGCCTCAGCCTCCTGAGTAGCTGAGAATACAGGCAGGTGCTACCATACCCAGCTTAAGTTAAGGAAATTTTGAGTCACCTTTGTCCTGGTTTAGCCATAGTTCTTAATGTTAAAAAAGAACTTTATTTCTGGTGCCAAAGTATCACCACAGTTTTTACTGATTTGTTCTTATATGCTTTCACCTCTGGAATATAAAATAAGTTAGGAGCAAAATATATGTAATGGAATGCTGTACGTAGGGAGAAAATTGGGTTGACCATAACCCCTGAAAAAGAAAAATAATGCATCTCTCATTTGTAGCAGCAGTAAATTGAACAAATGCTTTGCTTTGTTTCCCACTTACAATATTAAAGAAGACATTTGATAAGTCATGGCACACACTCCTTTCCTGATCTTTTTCCTAACACTCCTCTCCTTGTGAATGTTTACCTTTCACTCTGCTGAGTGTCTGTATCTTTTTTTTACCCTCTAACATTAACCCATCTCCTTGTCACTAGAAGGGAAGCAGATGTGAGCATAGCTGTTCCATAGTACCACTTTCCCCATCTATATGACTACCACAGAAACAATCATGTTCTTATAGAACTCTGCTGCCCCCATCTCTGTTGTTTGGCCCAGGGGTTGGGGACACCACACAAACCATGTCAAAGACTTCTAGACTTTTCCTCTGGTAGGGGAGACTTTAGATGCAAATATTGGAAACTGTTATTATTCGTTGTTGTAGTTGAATTATGTCTCCTGCAAAAAGGTATGTTGAAGTCCTAGCCCCCAGTACCTCAGAATGTGACCTTATTTGGAAATAGGGTGTTTATACATGTAATCAAGTTACAATGAGGTCATTAGAGTAGGCCCTAATCAATAGGACTGGTGTCCTTATATAATAAAAAAGGGAAATTTAGACTCAGAGACAGACACACACAGAAGGAAGACCATGCGAAGAGATACAGGGAGGAGATGGTTATGTGACTGGAGTAACGCATCTAAAAGCCACTGGCTGTCAAGGATTGCCCACAAACATGGGAAGCTGGGAGAGGCCAGAAAGGATTCTCCCCGAGAGTCCTCTGAGTGGGCATGCCCTGCCAACTCCTTGAGCTTGGACTTCTAACCTCCAGAATTGTAAGACAATAGATTTCTGTTGTTTTAAGACAACTCGTTTTTAGTGTGTTGTTATAGCAGCCCTAGAAAATAATACTGTGTTGTGTGTGTGTGTGTTTTTTTTTTCTCATCATATGGAGTGGAGAGAACTAGTGAGAGTATGCAGGTTTTTTTTTTTTTTTGAGAGAAGAGTCACAGTGAGTCTGATAGCTTTTGAATCTTGGTTTTGAGTCCTTTCTGAGACCTAAATGCATGACTGTCCTTTCTGTGTATTGGTTATTCAATCTTTTCTTGGATTACATGAACTGATTATCAGTTTTTGTGAGGGTGGAGTGTCTAAGTTGATTGAGTTGGATTTCTGGCACTTTTCTGGCACTTGCAATGAGAAATAGCTAATGAATCCTGAGTATCTAAGCAGCCTAGGAACGTGATATTTTCTAATACAAATGACATAAAACTTTTTTAGGTGTTGTATTACCTGAAGGCCAAAGTTCTCCTTTTCTAACACTATGACACATTGGTATATTTAATTCCTCACATAAAACAGGAAAAAATTACTTGAAGAATATACAGCTTTTATTATAAGGATGCAGGCAGGTCTCATGCATCTGAGCTTTTTATTTATTTGTTAATGTTCATTCATGTTGTCTTTTTTTCAATTGGAACCACCAAAACTTAAGAAAAAATTATGGGAGAAATAAATTTTAGTTTAATGATTGAACAACTGCTATGTTCAGGCACTGAGCTAGGTGTTATGTTACAACTGTGAGCAGGACTAAATCCTTGCCTTGGAGGAGTTTATAACCTAGTAGGGGAAAAAGAGAAGTAAACAGAGTGCCAGGTGTTGTGGTGTGAGCCTGTAGTCCTTGGAGCTGAGGTGGGAGGATGGCTTTAGCTCAGGAATTTGAGGCCATGGTGCACTATGATCAGGATTGAGAATAGTCACTGCACTCCAGCCTGGGTAACATAGCAAGACACTGTCTCTGAAAAAAAAAACACAAAAAACAAAATTAAAACAGGTAATCAAAATACAGTGACTAGGTTGTAGCATGACTAGATTATGGAGTGCAAGGGATGAAATTTTTGAGATAAAAGAGATAGATCAAGAAATGCCTTTCATGCCACATAAAAGAGTTTTGTTTAGACCAATGGCAGTGGGAGTAGGTTTTGAGCAGCAGGGTGAGAAAGGTAGGACTGAGCCTTTGAAAGTTCTAGTGCTTTAGAAGAGGCTCAGCATTTCAGTTAGGAAGACTGTGTGTAACATAGGTTTGAGATGGTAGTGGTCTCCTCCCCCAGGATGGTGGTGATAGAGATGGAGGGGAGTGGACTGGTTCAGGGAAAATTATTAATAGGAGTTGAAATTGACAGGCTTGGTCATGGGTGGTTGTGAGGGAGAGAAAGTCAGGTGTCTGGCTGAGGAGCTTTGCTGGATGGAAGTGCTATTTGCTGAGGCAGCAGACAGGAAGGGGAGTGGTTTGGGAAAGAGTGGGGGATGATGGGAGCATTGCTGAATGTGATGGGCTGTAGGACCAGCAGTGGGGATGTACACAAGAGTTGGCTATATATCATTGGTGCTCAGTGGAGGGGCCAGAGGATTTGAATATAGTTAATAATTAAAAATGCGGATGTGATTACCAAGGGAGTACATATTATGTAAGAAAATCAAACAATGAGGACGCATCTCTGAGAAACTCCAACCATTCTGAAAAACTCCAAAAGACCATTCTTGGTAACTGTGCCAAGTGAATGGCCTGGTCTCTGAAACTCTACGCTCAGACACAGGTCATCCTGGAGAGTGGTGTCCTTCTGGATTGTCACATACCCTGTGAGTGAAGCATGTGTTACAACAATAATGGAAAATATGCAAATGAGAAAAAAAGTTTCTCAGTGCCCCACCACCCTAAATTCTGGCTCCACCCCTATTTGTTTTCTCATATTTGTCTGAATTTCTCCAAGGAGCCCATAATCAATGCTGGGTCATTCCTGGAGTCTTGACGGTCACCAGGATTCACCTTTGGCTTTTGTTTCAGTCCAGAAGTAAGAGTTAGTGTCACGTGTGAGGCAAACACATGCTGCAACTTGTTTGAGGGACCACTGAGATTTCAAGTTGAGGAAAAGCCTTCTGGTACATGAGGTCGATTGTACAATGAATATGAATATTGAACATTCCTGCCAGCAGTCTGCAGACTTCTGATTTCAGGCCCCTGCAAACTGTTATTTCCTGGGCTTGTTTTTAAAAGCAGAGCCCAAATTTATTTCTGAGAAAGGACAGAATTAAAATTCAGCAGATAATTGTTCATGCTGTATAAATAAATTCCTCTTCAGAGAGTGAAGGAATCCTTTTTCTCAGGGACCACAGGACCGCTTATAATGACTGTTTTCCTCACATCAAGAGCTCAGTCTTTGTGGCACCTTGACTTTTTTTGGAGGGGGCAACCAGTAACTGTTGTGTAAATGTATGTCATATACATTAATTTTTACCATGAAATCTGAATGCTTGGGGATATACAAGTAAATGTTTCTTGACATATGATTTCCCTAAAGTGAATGTAAAAATGCCCTGATCTTGAATTGAAAAACAGAACATGTGGTTAAACTAGCAAAGACAGAAAACACTATAGTAAATATTGTCATTCAATGATCAGCTAAACTAAAGCTGATTATTGAAGGTTTCTCATTATTTTGTGCTTACTTCCTATCTCTCCCCATTTCTTGTAGTTTTAGAATTCCAGATTCTCTTATGTATTATCATGTTGGGGGTCTACTTTGATCAAGAATAGCATTTTTTAATATACTATTCCTCTGAACAATATAGGCAGCCCCTATTTTGTATTGATCTATTACTCTGACACTACTTTAAACAGACAAATAAGCAAACATTCTGATTCCTTTAGGGGCCTTTTATCAGATTTTGGTGGGACTCTTGCAACAAATAGCTGATGTAACTCAGTTAGTTTGGACCCTGCTAAACTTGTGGAAATATCTCTGAGGCTAGCAGGCTTCTGGCCACCAGGTACTTTTAGAAACTAAGTTGTAACACTCAGTGACAGTGTTTATTCCCATGGAAATAATGTAATAATTAAAGATTGAATTCCTTGGACAGGGATATTTGGCCGGATACTTAATGATATCATTAAATAAAAAACACAGCAGCACAAGTTTCTAAACCAATAAAAAAAAAATAGTAAAACTGTTTTCTAGCTTCTTTAAAATGGGCTTACTATATTGTTACTTTGATTTTAGCAGGGACCCTAACGATTGACAAAATGTACTCATAGTACATGAAAATACAACTCCACTGTGGTGTAAATTTGCTCTAAAACTGATATGCTGGTGATAATAAACATTACGCATTTAACTAACAACAATTTTGCTTCGTTTGCAGAATTTAGAAAAGCTTTTTGGTAGCATTTTGGAAGGCTCAGATTTCTTTAAGACATCTGTCTAGGGAAATTTGAACTAATTTCTCTTCTATTTCCCTCTTGTAAAAATTCCCATTAGCAAGCAAATGCATTCAAAACCATTCCATTGATCTTATAACTGTGTTTTATAACAATAGCCATGAGCTTTTCCTTTCTATCCTGTGGGCTGAAAGCACTGCAGTGGGGTGTCTGAATGGCACACAGGAACCAGGGGAACTGGGAAGTGACGGGCAGCCAGCTTTGAGAGGGACCCCGGTCTGTCTTTCTAGCACAGCAAATGTCAGGGGAAAGGGATTTGGCTTCACCCTTTTTGTTTTCTGACCCTGTTTCCAGGAAGACTTTGTAAAAGTTGAAGACTGCCAGGAACTTATTTAAAACTATAATGGAAGTTTTAAAATGATCACAAAATGCCAGTTTCATGACAGCTTCATGACAAAATCAGTTTGGCCTTCTTCTCCAAAAACCAAAGAATTCCTGTGAAGCAAATCACCCACCCCAAATTCAGTCACATCCCATATTTACATTTCTCCCAGTACCTTCTGGTCCTATCAGTTCAATGTCATGCTGAGGATATAAAGGCCCAGGGACAAATGTGGCAGGGGATGGGTTCAATTTATCTGATGCAACCCTGCTGAAATTGTCTTTTTCTACAGACATTTTATCAAGTCATAGGAGAGTTTAACTTTCTCTCTTTTCTAATTAGTTCTATGAACTTATCTATTTTCCTCATATTTTCTAACCCAGTCCTAGAGAGAAATTTGACCTTTATAATGACTACAATATATCAAGTACTTATGATATGCCAGGTAAAATGCTAAATATTACATGTATTATTATAATTATTTGAGACAGGGTCTCACTCCTGTCTCCCAGACTGGAGTGTAGTGGTGCCATCTTGGCTCACAGCAGCCTCAAATTTCAAAGTTCAGGTGATCCTCCCACCTCAGCCCCCTGAGTAGCTGGGACTACAGGCAAGTGCCACCATGCCTGGCTGGTGTGTGTGTGTGTGTGTGTGTGTGTGTGTGTGTGTGTATTTTTGGTAGAGATGGGGTTTCACCATGTTGCTAGGGTGGTCAAACTCCTGGGCTCAAGCGATCCACTCACCTCAGCCTCCCAAAGTGCTGGGATTACAGGCGCGAGCCACTGTGTCTGGTCTGTGATACTTATTATTGCATTGAATCCCCAAGTAAGTTAGAGATTCTTAGTCTCTCTACAGTTAAGGAAACCAAGGCTCAGCAGGATCATACAGCAAGATTTCCCCTGATTGCATGGCTAGTAAGTGTTGAGGCTGAGATTCTAACTGAGGTCTATCTCATGGAAAACCCATGCTCACAGCCACTGTGCTGTGTGCTCCTCCTGTCTGGATGTGGTCCTTGTCTGGGTACCTCAGTGTTTGCATGAGGCACCTCTGGCTTCTGAGATGTAGACAGAAACATCTAGATATTAGGTTGATGCAAAAGTAATTTCAGTTTTTGCCATTAAAAGTATGTTTAAGAATTAACATCCCAAATGAAAGGTACTTGAAGTTTAAGCCACTCTGAATACTAATAAGATACATAGTGTAGTAGTAACGTATGCCTGAGACCCAGCCTAATATTCTTCTTTGAATTCACACTTAACACTCACACAACCAATTTTATTGAAGCTCTCTTTGTGCAAGAAAGTCCACTTTGAAACTAGAGTTCTCCAGGGAAACAAAAGCCTCCTTAGAAACAATGTTGGAGTCTGGATTGCTGTGGAAGAAGCTTAAAAAGCTTGAGTCCCTTCCACTTCTATTCTTGAATGGGTTTTGGCCCCAGCTGGTTCAGAAATTCTTTATCCTCATTTAGATTCTCTAAGGGAGTGGCTCATTCCAGCCCAGCACAGCCTCATTCTGCCCATAGCAGGTTTCCACCCTGGCTCTGCTCCCCCACAGGGTGAGCACCAGGAGGGGACAGCTGCTGGGCCCACTTTGCATAGGGGCATGTATGACCCAGGCAGGGCAGACTCTCTGCGGAAAAACCTCAGGGCTGCTTTCTGGCTTTAGTCATATTCTTTAGATGAAACTTGTGGGTGTTACTAAGACATTCTGTGCCCTGAAATTGGAAGTGGTTTTGAAAACTGGTCTCAACTATTAGATTCCGAACAACTAAGCTTCCACATTCAATGACAGTTATATGCAGCAAAGAAGTCTTTCTCATTGCCTGTTTTTCCATCCTTCTGTGTGCAAACACTATGTATCTTATTAGTATTTAGAGTGGCTTAAACTTCTAGTACCTTTCATTAGGGATGTTAATTCTTAAATACACTTTTAATGGCAAAAACCGCAATTACTTTTGCACCAACCTAAAACCTAGATGTTTCTGTCTACATAGTTAGATAGTGAGTGGAGGCAGTGCAAGAGATGTCAGTTTTGCAGCTTGCTTTTCTTCAGTTCCTCGCATCAGATTCTGTTCTCTGTTCTGATTCTCTTTTCAGACACCTGTTTCTCCTCGTTTTCTAGTTTCTGGTAGTATTACCTCAGAATCTAGAGCTAACCCCCAAGTGCTCCTTGGCTGAAAGCACTTTAATATCTAATGGATGATAACAGGATCTAACATGGAGTTGTGGGGAAATCATGGACACAGGATTTATTTATTTAATAAATATATTTATTGTCACTACATGGAGAGTACACCATACTCACTTCTGGATGAGTGGGGAAACTGCTGATATGAGGTCATTTCCCCACAATGACGCTTTTGTTATCATGTCAGGGTGGCTTTACTTCCACCATTAGTTGCTTCCTTTTTTTTTTTTTTTTTTTTTTGAGATGGAGTCTCACTCTGTTGCTCAGACTGGAGTGCATTTGTGTGATCTCGGCTCACTGCAACCTCTGCCTCCTGGGTTCAAGTGATTCTCATGCCTCAGCCTCCCAAATAGCTGGGACTACAGGCATGCACCACCAGGCCCGGCTAATTTTTGTATTTTTAGTAGAGACAGGGTTTCACCATGTTGGCCAGGCTGGCTCGTACTCCTGAACTTAAGGGATCTGCCTACCCTGGCTTCCCAAAGTGCTGGGATTACAGGCGTGAGCCACCGTGTTCAGCCTGCTTCCTTTTTTAAAACCAATTTTTTCCTATGCTGGTATTCAAGGAAATGTTAGTAAGCATACAGTAAAAGGTGCTCAAAGTGCACATAAACCTGGGACATGTTGGAGTTAAATGAAACTAAATAGTTTTCTTAGCTGCAGGCTGCCCAGAGCCTGCAATGTGTGAATGTGTGTCATAATTGTTCACAAAGGTCTCCATCATGTTAAGCATTTCCTAATTATTTGACCATAGAACTTCTTTTTTCATGGCAAGTCTACTAATAGCTCCTAGAACAGAGTTCCAACGATCATTATGTGATGAACACTGAAGGCCTTTTTCAAAAGCTTTGAAGGTTCTTGTCAAAAGTACATGCATTATCCAAGAGAGGAAATGCAATTGACCACCACTATCCCAGAATAAGTTGGCTGAAATTAGCTAATCTCACTTAGCAAGGCCTGAGCAACAGCTTCCTCTGTCTTGAGTTTGAATCCCTGTCTGTCATTTCTGCATGATCTATGCTAATTTTTGACCCCACTGGTCCTCTTTCTTGCCCTACAATTTATCCTCCCTAACTGACATGGATAGAGTGGGCATCAGAGATAATGTTTTCCAGGCTCCAGCAAGAGCCACCCTTTCAGCCCCCGGTCCCAACAACGAAACACTGTAAGAAGGTTTGTCTATGTCAGGCATTCTCTGGCTTACAAGGAGAAAAGATTTTCCTTCCTAACCTAACTGAACTTAATCCTGAACTTAATCCTGAAATATTCTCATCGCTTTTTCACCTCTGAAAAATGTGACCTTAATCAAACTTGACTGCTAAATATTGGACAGGGTGAGAGCCACAGAGAATCAAAAGGATACATGCTGAAAGGTAGTGTGTATGTGTATTAAACTTTCCTGAGCAATTTCAAAGAGGTAGTAGTTGTGTGAAGGGTAGAATATTTGTACCATGATTTGGATTTTGTAGAAATCTTTTCAGTCAGCAATGAAGGCAAACTGGTCATAGAAGTCCTACCCACCCTTCTATCTCAACCAACTTCGAAGGCATGGAGACAGGTAATTAAGACATCACCTGGGGCTCTACTTGTCAGATCCCCAAATGAACTTTCACAATTAAGTTCTTTAAGATCATTTGGGTATTATGCCTTATGTTTATTTAGCTCTTTAGAGTTTGTCAAATACTTTCACATAACTTATCCAAACTGATTTAAAAAATTATTTGTATTTTACTTTTTAAATTAATTAATTCATTTTGGTCTGGTAATGTCACAAAAAATTATTTTTAGAACGATTTTAGGTTTACATAAAAATTGGCCTGAAAGTGAAGAGGATTCCTACTTACCTATACTTTCTTCTCCCTGCAGTTTGTTTTACTATTAATATCTGGCATTACTGAGGTATATTTGTTACAATTGATCAATCAGTATGTATACATTATTATTAAATGAAGTCCACAGTTTACATCAGGGCTCATCTTTGTGTTGTGCAGTCTGTGGGCCTTGACAGATGTAAAATGTCATGTATCCACCATTAGAATATCATAGAGAATAGTTTCACTGCCCTAAAAATATGATGTGTTCCACCTTTTCATCCTCGAGTCCCTGGCAATCATTGGTCTATTTCCTGTCTGTATAGTTTGCCTTTTCCAAAATGTCGTGTAGTTGGCCAAATTGACTTTAATCTTCATGACAACTCTGTAGCTAGGCAAGTTTTGTTATCTCATCATAGATGAAAGAAGTTCAGTGAGATGAAGTGACTTATCTAAGGACTCACGATCGAGGGTGCCCAAGCCAGGACTAGGACCAGCTAAAAGCATGAACACCAGCCGATCTCAGAAAGGGGTTAATTGCTGAAGACATAGACTATTAGCTTACAGGAGCCCTCTCAGCCCAAGCACTTTAATTTCTTAGTAGCTACAAGGAGGAAGATTGCACATCTTCAAAGGAAACTAGATGCATGATATTGGTGAGATGAGACTTGGAGGTGACTTCACAGATGATGGGTTTAATGCCCCATAATTATGAAGGAAGGCCAGTCTCTGCCAGTCTGACTCAGAGGGCTTAATGAGTCATCCTATTTGTCCTCTCTGCTGCTATTTATGGGCTTCCCAGTCGCTGATATTTGTTGGTTAAATGCTCACACAACCAGTCTTGCCTAAAGCAGTATCATTTATAGGGTGTTGAGAATAAACGGTGACAGGAGTGGGATAGTCATTTTAAAGAATATTTAGTAGCTGATTCTTTTTTAAAGCTCTCCTTGCTTAAAATATAAATATTCTGAAAGAAAACAAAAGCCAAGATCCTTTTTGTAGAGAGTTGGAGAATGCTAGGACTTTCTGGGAGTGCTGGCTTTTGCACGGGCATGGGTAAACATTAGTGAAGTTATTGCTGAGAACAGCTCGGGACGGGAGGGGAATGAAAAGAGAAGACAGTGTGGAGACAATGAGAGAAAAGGACTGAAATGTAGTCACCTGAGCAACTTAAGATCCGTTTGTCATTAGAAAGAGACTAGAACAGCAACATCACCCTCATAAAGTGTAGTCATCTGGGCTGGGCACTGTGGCTCATGTCTGTAATCCCAGCACTTTGGGGGGCCAAGGTGGGCAGATCATTAGGTCCGGAGTTTGAGACCAGCCTGGCCAACATGGTGAAACCCCATCTCTACTAAAAATACAAAAATTAGCTGGGTGTGGTAGCACTCGCCTATAATCCCAGCTACTTGGGGGGCTGAGGCAGGAGAATTGCTTGAACCCAGGAGTCAGAGGCTGCAGTGAGCTGAGATCACGCCACTGCACTGCAGCCTGGGTGACAGAGCAAGACTGTCTCAAAAAATAAAAATAAAAATAGCGTAGTCATCTGAGTCCATGTAGTAGACTAATTGCTTACTCCAAAGGAGTGATTGAAGAAAAATTAATGAAGAGGCTATTTACAAAGGTGCAAGCAGAATTAGGGGGGCATTCTGGAGCCAGTAACTGCAGAGAGCCATGACCATCCTCAGGCCTAAGGAGGCAAGGGAAGGGAGCACTGACTGGACCCTAGAGAGACTTGTAGTTTAGCAGAGGCTGTCTGACTTAACTGGGACCTTTGGTAGAGGAAAGCAGCCACTGCCAATCTACAGGGGGTGAGCTGGAGAATAAATAACACACTCTTTTCTTTCATCCTCTTAATTTCTGCTGATACTTTCCATTGGCCAAACCCTAAAATGAAACAGAGACCAAGGAAACCCATATGATACAATAATCCATGAAGGTCAGCCTCCCAGGCCAAAGAGTCAGCAGAGCAGAGGAGGGTGGAGAGGGCTCTGGAGGGCCACACACCAAAAACCTTCAGCTCCAAGGAAGAGGATCACGTTAATGCCCTAGGGATAGACAGTACCAGAAGATTGTGTTGAAATCTGCTTTCTTAAGTCTTTATTCATATTAAAGTCACTATTAATTAATTAAAATATTATAATGACATATATTGAGTGTGCAGCTTCAACTTTATATATCCCTTGGTGTCTGAAAATTCTGAAATAACTGTTTTGGAAGGGTCCATCTCCCTCAAGTCCCTATGGAAAATCACTCCTAAGAGGCAAGACAAGGGTAGCTGTGTTAAAGTTGAATGTGTGTGGAAAGCTTAGTTAAAAAGCCATTGCATAGTTATAATAATAAAGAGGGGGTCGCAGTTTGCACCTACACATATTAATATTTTCCCACTTTATACTTAGATTTAGCTTAAGTTTATCCATTTATTCATTCAACAAACACATACTATGCTCCTGCTTTGTGATTGTAAAAGGATCTACAAAATCTGTCTCTAATAACCCTCCCTGACTCCTGGCCCCTGGCCCCCAGCCACCACTGGCAGGACTGATGGTAGGTGCTGAGGCAAAGGAAAAGCTTCTCTGAGGCAGTGACATTTGAGCACAGGAGGAAGGAGTCAGCGCTGCAGATCTTGGGGACGGGCTGAGGAAATAGCTTGCTCAAGGATCTGAGCTTTGCGTGAAGGCGGAAGGTGCTAGGGGAGGCAATGATATGGTGGTCCGAGGCCTGTTCATGGAGGGCCTTCCAGGCCACAGTAAGACATTTGGATTTTATTCTGAGGGTGCTGTATAGTAAATAGAAGGTTCTGAGCAGGAAAGTGAGATGACAGAATTTATCTTTCTAAAAATAAATTCCAGCTACTATGTGGAGATTGATTCCAGGGAAATGGAAGCAAGGGAACTGATTAGGAGGCGATTTCAGTGGCTGTGACAAGGGATGACGGTGGTCAGTAGAGGTGCTGAAAAGTGGTTGGGCATGGATACACTCTATGTGGATATTCATATTGTCCTTTTAGTTAAAGATGACAATTTTCTAAAGGAAGATTTTCTTTTGTGGATGGGGTTGAGGGAACTCACACCAGTTAAAATGAATTGAATTGCTGTTGTCTAACTTAGCCTGCCTCAAATTCACTCAGGAGACTTATTTAAAAAGGAAGATTTCCCAGAGAGATTTATTTAAGGGAAAGCAGAATTGGCATTCTTCTTTCGACCTAGAGCACCTTGACAAGCTGTTGCCAGGACACGCAAGTGGGATGGTGTCTCTTGTGCAACTGATAAGAGGAAGTGACCCTTGGATTGAAGGAAGTAGAAAGATTAAATCAGAAAGAATCAAGGTTCAGAGTCTGCAAAGCCACAAGCCCTCTGTATGGGCCAGCAAACCCCTGGGCCTGAGAGGCATCAGTAATTGTCACCCGAGTTGGATTGAACTGAAATAAAGAAGTAAAGATCCTATATAATCTATTGAAATCTTTAAAAGGGTTGCAAGATATGCATTACTAATCTATATATTATCTTAAAAACAAACAAGACTTGACTCTGAAGACAGCGCTAGATCTCCCAGCACAATGTTTGAGCTCTGCCAATGGTCAGACTGCCTCCTCAAGTGTGTCCCTGACCCCCATGTCTCCAGACTGGGAGACACTTCCCATCAGGGGCCAACAGACACCTCATACAGGAAAGCTCTGGCTGGCATCTGGTGGGTGCCCCTCTGGGATGAAGCTTCCAGAGGAAGGAACAGGCAGCAATCTTTGCTGCTCTGTAGCCTCCACTGGTGATACCCAGGCAAACAGGGTCTGGAGTGGAACTCCAGCAAACTCCAGCAGACCTGCAGCAGAGGGGCCTGACTGTTAGAAGGAAAACTAACAAACAGGAAGGAATAGTATCAACATCAACAAAAAGGATGTCCACTCAGAAACCCCATCTGAAGGTCACCAACATCAAACACCAAAGGGAGATAAATCCATGAAGATGGGGTGAAACCAGCGTGAAAAGTCTGAAAATTCCAAAAACCAGAATGCCTCTTCTCCTCCAAAGGATCACAACTCCTCACCAGCAAGGGAACAAAACTGTACAGAGAATGAGTTTGACAAATTGACAGAAGTAGGCTTCAGAAGGTGGGTAATAACAAACTCCTCTGAGCTAAAGGAGCATGTTCTAACCCAAGGCAAGGAAGCTAAGAACGTTGAAAAAATGTTAGATGAATTGCTAACTAGAATAACCACTTTAGAGAAGAACATAAATGACCTGATGGAGCTGAAAAACCCAGCACGAGAACTTTGTGAAGCATATACAAGTATCAATAGCTAAATCAACCAAGCAGAAAAAAAGGATATCAGAGATTGAAGATCAAATTAATGAAATAAAGTGTGAAGACAAGATTAGAGAAAAAGAATGAAAAGGAATGAATGAAGCCTCCAAGAAATATGGGACTATGTGAAAGACAAAACCTGTGTTTGATTGGTGTATCTGAAAGTGATGGGGAGAATGGAACCAAGTTGGAAGACACTCTGCAGGGTATGATCCAGGAGAACTTCCCTAGCCTAGCAAGGCAGGCCAACATTCAAATTCAGGAAATACAGAGAACACCACAAAGATATTCATTGAGAAGAGCAACCCCGAGACACATAATCATCAGGTTCACCAAGGTTGAAATGAAGGAAAAAATGTTAAGGGCAGCCAGAGAGAAAGGTCAAGTTACCCACAAAGGGAAGCCCATCAGACTAACAGCAGATCTCCCTGCAGAAACCCTACAAGCCAGAAGAGAATGGGGGCCAATATTCAACATTCTTAAAGAAAAGAATTTTGAACTCAGAATTTCATATCCAGCTAAACTAAGCTTCATAAGTGAAGGAGAAATAAAATCCTTTACAGACAAGCAAATGCTGAGAGGTTTTGTCACCACCAGGCCTGCCTTACAAGAGCACCTGAAGGAAGCACTAAACATGGAAAGGAACAACCAGTACCAACCATTGCAAAAACATGCCAAATTATAAAGACCATCAACGCTATGAAGAAACTGCATCAACTAACGGGCAAAATAACCAGCTAGCATCAATGACAGGATCAAATTCACACATAACAATATTAACCTTAAATGTAAATGGGCTAAATGCCCCAATTGAAAGACACAGAGTGGCAAATGGGATAGAGTCAAGACCCACTGGTGTGCTGTATTCAGGAGACCCACCTCATTTGCAAAGATACACATAGGCTCAAAATAAAGGGATGGAAGAATATTCACCAAGCAAATGGAAAGCAAAAAAAGCAGAGGTTGCCATCCTAGTCTCTGATAAAACAGACTTTAAACCAGTAAAGATAAAAAGAGACACAGAAGGGCATTACATAATGGTAAAGAGATCAATGCAACAAGAAGAGCTGCCTATCCTAAATATATATGCACCCAAAACAGGAGCACACAGACTCATAAAGCAAGTTCTTGGAGACCTACAAAGAGACTTAGACTCCCACACAATAATAGTGGGAGACTTTAACACCACACTGTCAACATTAGACAGATCAATGAGACAGAAAATTAACAAGGATATTCAGGACTTGAACTCAGCTCTGGACCAAGCAGACCTAATAGACATCTACAGAACTCTCCACCCCAAATTGATAGAATATACATTCTTCTCAGCACCTCATCACACTTATTCTAAAATTGACCACATAATTGGAAGCAAAACACTTCTCAGCAAATGGAAAAGAATGGAAATCATAACAAACAGTCTCTCAGACCACAGTGCAATCAAATTAAAACTCAGGATTAAGAAACTCACTCAAAACCACACAACTACATGGAAACTGAACAACCTGCTGCTGAATGACTACTGGGTAAATAACAAAATGGAGGCAGAAATAAATAAGTTCTTTGAAACCAATGAGAACAAAGACACAATGTACCAGAATCTCTGGGACACAGCTGAAACCGTGTTTAGAGGGAAATTTATAGCACTAAATGCCCGCAAGAGAAAGGAAAAAAGATCTAAAATTGACACCTTAACATCACAATGGAGAGAACTAGCAGAACTGAAGGAGATAGAGACACAAAAAACCCTTCAAAAAATCAGCGAATCCAGGAGCTGGTTTTTTGAAAAGATAAACAAAATTGATGGACCGCTAGCCAGACTAATAAAGAAGAAAAGAGAGAAGAATCAAATAGATGCAATAAAAAATGATAAAGGGGATATCACCACTGATCCCACAGAAATACAAACTACCATCAGAGAATACTCTAAACACCTCTATGCAAAGAAACTAGAAAATCTAGAAGAAATGGATAAATTCCCGGATACATACACCCTCCCAAGTCTAAACCAGGAAGAAGTCAAATCCCTGAATAGACCAATAACAAGTTCTGAAATTGAGGCAGTTATTAATCATCTACCAACCAAAAAAAGTCCAGGACCAGACGGATTCACAGCTGAATTCTACCAGAGGTAAAAGGAGGAGCTGGTACCATTCCTTCTGAAACTATTCCAAACAATAGAAAAAGAGGGAATCCTCCTTAACTCATTTTATGAGGCCAGCATCATCCTGATACCAACACCTGACAGAGACAAAACAACAGCAAAAAAATTTCAAACCAATATCCTTGATGAACATTGATATAAAAATCCTCAATAAAATACTGCTAAACCAAATCCAGCAGCACGTCAAAAAGCTTATCCACCACGATCAAGTTGGCTTCATCCCTGGGATGCAAGGCTAGTTCAACATATGCAAATTAATAAACATAATCCATCACATAAACAGAACCAATGAGAAAAACCACATGATTATCTCAATAGATGTAGAAAAGTCCTTCGATAAAATTCACCACCCCTTAAAAATTTCTTTAAACTAGGTATTGATGGAACGTATCTCAAAATAATAAGAGCTATTTATGACAAACTCATAGCCAATATCATACTGAATGGGCAAAAACTGGAAACATTCCCTTTGAAAACTGGCACATGACAAGGATACCCTCTCTCACCACTCCTATTCAACATAGTATTGGAAGTTCTGGCCAGGGCAATCAGGCAAGAGAAAGAAATAAACGTATTCAAATAGGAAGAAAGGAAGTCAAATTGTCTCTGTTTGCAGATGACATGATTGTATATTTAGAAAACCCCATCATCTCAGCCCAAAATCTCCTTATGCAACTTCAGCAAAGTCTCAGGATACAAAATCAATGTGCAAAAATCACAAGCTTTCCTATACACCAATAATAGACAAACAGAGAGCCAAATCATTAGTAAACTCCCATTCACAACTGCCACAAAGAGAATAAAATACCTAGGAATCCAACTCACAAGGGATGTGAAGGACTTCTTCAAGTAGAACTACAAATCACTGCTCAAGGAAATAAGAGGGGACACAAACAAATGGAAAAACATTCCATGCTCATGGACAGGAAGAATCAATATCATGAAAATGGCCATACTGCCCAAAGTAATTTATAGATTCAATGCTATCTCCATCAAGCTACCATTGACTTTCTTCACAGAATTGGAAAAAAATTACTTTAAATTTCATATGGAACCAATAAAGAGCCTGCATAGCCAAGACAATCCTAAGCAAAAAGAACAAAGCTGGAGGCATCATGCTACCTGACTTCAAACTATACTACAAGGCTACGGTAACCAAAACAGCATGATACTGGTACCAAAACAGAGATGTAGACCAATGGAACAGAACAGAGGCCTCAGAAATAACACCACACATCTACAACTATCGGATCTTTGACAAACCTGACAGAAACAAGAAATGGGGAAAGGATTCCCTATTTAATAAATGGTATTGGGAAAACTGGCCAGCCATATGCAGAAAACTGAAACTGGACCCCTTCCTTACATCTTATACAAAAATTAACTCAAGATGGATTAAAGACTTAAACGTAAGACCTAAAACCATAAAAACCCTGGAAGAAAACCTAGGCAATACCATTCAGGACATAGGCATGGGCAAGGACTTCATGACTAAACACCAAAGCAATGGCAACAAAAGCCAAAATTGACAAATGGGATCTAATTAAACTAAAGAGCTCCTGCACAGCCAAAGAAACTATCATCAGACTGATCAGGCAACCTACAGAGTGGGAGAAAACTTTTGTAATCTATCCATGTGACAAAGGGCTAAGATCCAGAATCTACAAAGAACTTAAACAAATTTACATGAAAAAAAAAACCCCATCAAAAAGTGGTCCAAGGATATGAACAGACACTTCTCAAAAGAAGACATTTATGCAGCCAACAAACATATAAAAAAAAACTCATCATCACTCGTCATTAGAGAAATATAAATCAAAACCACAATGAGATACCATCTCATGCCAGTTAGAATGGAAATTATTAAAAAGTCGGGAAACAACAGATGCTGGAGAGATTGTGGAGAAATAGGAGCGTTTTTACACTGCTGGTGGGAGTGTAAATTAGTTCAATCATTGTGGAAGACAGTGTGGTGATTCCTCAAGGATGTAGAACCAGAAATACTCATTTGACCCAGCAATCCAATTCTGGGTATATACCCAAAGGATTATAAATCATTCTACTATAAAGACACATGCACACATATGTTAATTACAGCACTGTTCACAATAGCAAAGACTTGGAACCAACCCAAATGCCCATCAGTGATAGACTGGATAAAGAAAGTGTGGCACATATACACCATGGAATACCATACAGCTATAAAAAAGGATGAGTTCATGTCCTTTGCAGGGACATGGATGAGGCTGGCAACCATCATTCTCAGCAAACTAACACAAGAACAGAAAATCAAACACCACATGTTCTCACTCATAAGTGGGAGTTGAACAATGAGAACACATGGACATAGGGAGGGGAACATCACACACTGGGGCCTGTTGTGGGGTGGGTGGCTAGGGGAGGGATAGCATTAGGAGAAATACCTAATGTAGATGATGGGTTGATGGGTGCAGCAAACCACCAAGGCATGTGTATGCCTATGTAACAAGCCTGCATGTTCTGCACATGTACCCCAGAACTTAAAGTATAATAATAAAAAAGGGCTTCCTCAGAAGATCCTGATTCTCCAAGACCTAGACATCTGCATTTTTGAACTCAGACTGAGAATTACCATTTAAGTATTTAGCACCACCCCCTAGTGGTGGTTACTTGAAATTGCAGATGTAACAAATTTAAAATATAGTTCTTTCAATTCTTCCTGTGTATTTGTTGCACGCAAAGTAACAATCTTTCGCATCTATTTTAGAGCTAGTTAAATATAGCTAGTTTTAGAGGAATAGCCACATAGGGGTAAAAACTCCTTATTCTCCAGTGATTATCTGGAAAGAACTCTCAAGTATTAAGATAAAAAAATAGAAAGTTCATAAGTAGCAATTAATTAGCTACTACTTATTGTCAGAGAGCAGTTAAAGCTTCCAACTCATAGCCAGGCTGATTATTAAAGAGCTATACGATTAGAGTAATTGAAACTGTGCAGGTGAAATGGAAAGTTAGTGGCCTCCAAAAGTCATGAAAAACCAACACTGAACTTACACTAACTATGGAAGAATAGCAGTACGATCCCAAGGGATGTGTATTTCTTTGAACCATTGTTTTAACTGGCTAGAGGAAGTTTGTGTTTAGAATTTTATTAGCTTATCATTTTGGGTTGGAAATTTTTGTTCTATAGCCGCAATGCAGACCAGCCTGCAATGCCACCACCGTTTCTATCCTTGCTTGTCTGCTTTGGTAGCTTTTTCCCTTGGATTTTCCAGAGGGTAGAACAGAGGGCAGCCCGGTGTTAGGGTCCTGATAATGGGAGGGAAAATGTTCCAAATATTCTAAATGGGGCAACTGCTTCTACACTTGGGTCAGCTGGAAAACTCTTCCAGCTTCATAGTGTATTTGTTAGCTTGCTTGCTTTCTGTTTGTCATTCTCAGATTCTCCACAAATATTCATCCTGCGTTTCTAACCCCCATGTTTTCTCTCGCTCAACACAGGCTCATATTTGAACCAGAAGGTCATCTAGTACAAATTTCTCACATGCTTGATGAGGAGCCTGAGGTGTGAGTAGGGTGGCGGCTCTCAGGTTACAGAAAGGGGTGGCTGTCCAGTGGAGCTGTGTCCCAGCACTGCTCATGGTGGCCCAGTAATACTTGCAAGCCAGTGTTCTTTCTGTGACCATCCAACTCCCAACTTCTGCTTTTCATTTCCTTCCTCTATCCCTATAAACATCCCCTACACCCAGAAACGCGCCCCGCTATGCGCGCGCACACACACACACACACACACACTCTCACACTCTCTTTCTCTCTCTCTCTCTCTCTCAGTTTTCTTCTTTCTGCAAATCCCCTTCCCTTCCCGCCTTGGCAAGCTGCCCAAAGTATGGAAAATTAGGCAAGTTGAACCTTTAAAAAATCCTTTATTTTAGAATAAACCCAAAGGAAACCTCAGCTGTCCAACTTTCACTAACTAAATTATGCAATGTTTCCTTCTGTTCCTTCATCTTGATTTATTTTTGTGGGTTAAGCCTTTGGCGGGAGGGAAAAAAGGTTTATTTGTTACACTCCAGAGGAGAAAGAACTTGAAGGAGGAAATAGAAAACAAAAGGAAAGGTGAGCCGAAGGATTAAATAATGAATCAAGGGAACACGAAATACAAATCTGGACATGCCCACATGTACTTTTCCATTTAGAAACAGACCCAAGAAACAAGTGGTGCGTTTACCCATTTTTTCGAGACTAAAGCCCTTGCTTAGTAGCCCCCAAAGTTAGCGTTAGCCTGCCCTCTAGTGGTGCCTGAAAACGTGTGCTAGACTGTGGTGCCCAATGCAGAGCTTTGCTTGTCCCAGAGATAGACGCTTGAAAACCTCAAGATTAGAAGGAACGCTTCAGCAGCTTTCCAGTAAATACAGTAGGTGGAGACACACACTGGAAAACTGCAACCTAGGCAACATTGCTTTCGTTTGACTCTTAGAAGATTGCTAGGCACCCAGAGTTATTGAAACTCGGGTTGACCATAATTTGTCATGCTTAATATTTCCTGCTTTTAAAAAATTGTTAAAAATGTTAATATATGGAGATTTTAAGCACATACAGTTTATAAATCCGTTGGCGCTTCATGCCATTAATTATCTTAAATACCCACCAAAAGCAGAAATTTGGGTGATGGTATGGAGGTGCAAAGGTTAATAAGACACAGACCCCGTCCTTAAAACTTACTCTTTGTTTGGAAGAGAAGATCTATTTGAATGTAATTACAATACATGGCAGTGGTATAACAAAGAGACAGTTTAAATATATATATATATGTTTAAATATATATATATGTATACACACACACACATACACACACACACAAAACTGTGCTAGGTATGCCCACATCTTACTTAATATTTACCACAACTATGTCTTTTTACATAAGAAGAAAGGGAGGTTCAGAAAGATTAAGTAACTTATCTTAGTTCAGATAGCAAAGAAATAGCAAAATTAGAATTCAGGTATTTTGATTTTACTTTCATTTCAATTAACTTCAACAGAGCTTTATTGAGAATCTACCATGTACCAGGCAGTATGTTACATGCTGAACATGCAAATATAGGAAATACCACTGGCCTCACGGTTCTAGTCTTGTAGGGGACTGGGCTATGCAGAAACAAGCTGTATTGTGATATATGCAATAATGCAAGTTTGTACATATTACCTTCTGAGCAAAGCAGCAAAGACTGTTCTTTTTCCATAAGTTGTTGACTTTCTGTCATGTGACCCTGGTAAGTAACCATGATCGAACTGATCAAGAATCTGTAACTTGGCCAAAGGTAACCACAAAGTTGTGCAAAACTACAGGATACATAGAGTAAATATTTTGGGGGTTTCATTATTACAGATGACGTTGAGGAGAGAAAAGTTTTACATTTTTACAATCTTAGGTTTACCAATGGGCTCTGGGAGGTCTAATAGCAGAATTCTGCCCAATAATGGAGGCAACTCACTGACCCAACCAGTGAGAGCACAGGTAGTTTCCACTGTGAGAAACTCAACTACAGAACCAGAGTAGAATTAGAAAGAAACAAAAGTGGAGGTAACAGCTGAACTAGTGAGAAGCGGAAGCACAGAGAGGTGAAGGAGAGAAGTGAAACTGTGAGTATGGCACCGTCGGGAGTCAGGGGCCAAAGGTCCCTCTTCTCAAGGGGGCATTACCATTACTGACTCAAAGGGGAGCCCTTTCTGACATCCCAGGGCTCTGGGAGGCTGGACTACAACCTGCCTAGTGTCATACCTGTGCTTCCTTATTGCCTTAAGTATCTTTCCAATCACCCACATCACCAGAGGTCACCCGAGACTACTTGATCTTTGCAACAGAAAGTGTAACTCCTGCAGCACCAAAGTGGTGCGGAGGAGAGTGAGGAAGTGTGGTTGGAAGGGTGGACGCAGCAGGGGCTTTACCAGGAGGCAATGCCAAAGCAGAGTTCTGAGCTACAATGAGGGGTTTGCAAGGAAGACAGAGGGGTTTGCAAGGAAGGAGCTGCAACGAGGAGTTTGCAAAGAAGACAGAGGAAGGTACCTCAATAATTCTGTGTTTATTCCAGTACTGGACATAACCCATGGCAAACCTTAATTTCCAGGATCTCCTTTGTGTAATGACGCCAGAAATCCTTTCTTCAGGAACCCTGGCTTTGAGAGAGTGACATAAGAAAGGAGAATTTTCTCTTTTATGGAGGCTGTAAGTCCTGAAGCTTGATGTGCTGACCCTATTGTGTGGCCTTAACTATTGGCATATTCTTCTCAAGTGGGATATGGGGATGCAGCACTGGGGCCAGGGGATTGTGCAAAACTAAGGATACATACAGAAAAATCTTTATGGGGTGTCATCATTACAGGTGATGTGAAGAGAGAAAAGTTTTAACTTTTTACAATCTTGAAAGGTGTTGTCCTGTATGATCAGTATAAACCTACTTTTTTGTGTTGGGTTAATTTTTTTCCCACTCATTTGCATAAAATCCAGGGTTCTCTATGATCCCAGCATAAAATCATATTTAAAGAAACACACTCTTTTCTTTATCCATTCATCTTTTAATGAGCATTTGGGTTGGTTTCAGCTCTTGGCTATTGTGAATAGTGCTGCTATGAACACCCATGTACAAATATCTCTTCAAGATACTGCTTTCAATTCTTTTTTGGATATATGCCCAGAAGTGGGATTGCTGGATGTATTAGTCCATTCTCACATTCCTATAAAGAACTACTTGAGACTGGGTAATTTATGAAGAAAGTGGTTTAATTGACTCACAGTTTCTGCAGGCTGTACAGGAAACATGACTGGGAGGCCTCAGGAAACTTACAATCACAGCAGAAGGTGAAGGGGAAGCAGGCATATCTTCACATGGTGGCAGGAGAGAGAGACAGAGTGAAGGAGGACGTGCTACACACTTTTAAAAACCAGATCTCATGAGAACTCTGTCATGAGACAGTACTAGAGGGATGATGCAAAACCATTAGAAACCACCCCCATGATCAAATCACCTCCTGCCAGGCCCCACCTTCAACACGTGGGGATTACAATTCCACATAAGATTTGGGTGGGGACACAGAGCCAAACCATATCACTAGATTATATGGTAATCCTAGCTTTAATTTTTTGAGGAACCTCCATATTGTTTTCCATAATGGCAGGATCATTTTGCATTCCACCAACAGTGCGCAAGCGCTCTAATTTCTCCACATTGGTGCTAACCCTTGCTATTTTCTGTTTTCTTTTTAAATAGTGGCCATCATAATGGGTGTGAGGTGACATGTAGATTGATTTTAAAGTACAAACCCCCTTTGAAATGGTTAGGGGATCTCTGAACTTTCATGCCTTCTGGTAAACTTTGATTTTATCAACCAGCTGAAATCATTCACTGAAGTATATGTTATTTTGATCTAGGCAAGTTGTTAGGATCCTGGAAAGAGATCTTAGATTTCTTTAAACTTGGTAAATGTAAAACTGGAAGCCCCAAGAGTGGGGGCTACCTGAGAAGTCCCACATCAGGTACTTCTCTCTCAGTTGTTTTGACCCTGAGGACATTTTTTATTGAATGAAAACAAACATTTTCATCAGAATTATTCCAACATTTCTGGAAATATTATCAAGAAATTATTTTCTAGAAGCAGATGTCTTGAATTAATGTAATTCTTTGATCAAATTTCTTCCTGTGCCATTAAATAATTTTCAGTATTTTTATTTTACTGAAATAATTTAGACTTTATTCAGTGATCCCATTTTATGTCCTTATTAAATCTTTCCAACTTTTCCAATCAGCAATTTTGAGGTTTCTTTTGTAGTCATTTTCTACCAAACCTAATTTTCCTGGGCTAGATTTTGCAGGTATAATTTTTGACAAGAAGATTTGATTCTTTTGTCAATTTTTAAAGTCAATTACAAATTTTTCTGTGTAAAGCTTTCACCTTTGTCAGTTTTATTTTGTGTTATTTCTATAAAGTGCAATTTTAAAAGAGTTCACTTTTGTAGTTTTGTGACTTACCAACACAATGAGATTCTTCAGTCAGTTTTTTGTCAATATCAAAGTTAACATATATCATTTTAGTTATTATCAGTTTGATCCTGTGTAGATTCTTTTTACTACATCAATTTTTTTTTCTAGTGACCCGTTGAAAATATACTTGATGTAAGAATATCAAGGTCATAACATCATGTTTTCATCCAAAGCTACTCTGTTTAAATATATTTAAAAAGTAGAATCGACCTGTCTTTTTAGAAGCATGGGTTTCACAGGTAAATCCTTAATCTAGAAGTGAGAAGTTTTGGGTGTTTGTCTTTGTTCTGCGCTCATCACCCCTGTGTCTACAGTCTGATAGTCCTCATCTAAAAGTGAAGTGATTGAAGTGTGTGATTTCTAAATCCCCTTGCAACTCTGACTTAAATTTCTATCTGTAAGAATCTATTCCTATCTGCAGATTGAGATAATTGATCATTGCTTTGCTTCATATTTGATTCACTCCTCTCCCCTGTCAATCAGTGCCTCCTGACAACCAGCCTGTCTGTCTGCACTTGCTCAGACCTGGGTAGGAGCCTCTGATGTTCCCTACACAGATTTGCATGTTGTTCTTAGAGTCTTGGCTTCTGATCTGCTCCAGAGTGCCACTGCTCTCAGGCTTTCTGAGCTCAACCCATATCCTTTCTGATTGAGCACCAACCAGCTGGGCTCAGAGCAGCCTGCCTCCACCCTACCTTCATCTGCCTGGAAGCTATGAGGTTATCAGGGACCATGCTGAGCCTTGTCTTTCCCTATCCCCACTCCTCAGCCTAACTCCTATCACCTCTCTTTGTGGGTTAGGCATGAAGGGACAATCTTGGGGTTATGTGGATATAGTTTAGGGTAGACCAATCTTAAAGGCAGCAGAATTAGGACAGAGCCCAAGGCCATTGTAGGCAGGAAGGGGAGATAGGATAGACCACATCATTTAAGGAATCATTTCAGGATCCCAGGAGGAATGTGTTGGGCCATTTTCATTAGGACAATTGGAGGGAGGTTTAGTGAAGGGACTGTTTACAAAGGATGAGCAGTGTTTATGGAGTCCATAAAGGACAGTGTAGCACCACTGAGTTCAGTTACAACTCCTCACCAGAAATGATATGAGGAGGGATCAGTTACTGGAACCTGGGTGGAGAGAATCACATAGAGATGACTTCAAGACAATACTTCAGGGATCAAGCCAGAGGCATAAATATCCCAGCCTCCAATCCTTCTCCCTCCCTCTTATCTCCTATTAACGACCTCTAATTGGCAGAACCCAACTCGAGGTCAAAAGGCAAGGGAGTCCATTGATGAAACTCATACAGTTCAGTGTCCCCAGCAAGAGAGTAGGATGAGAAGCGTGGAGAGTGACCTCAGCAGTGAGGAGGAGAAGATAACAGGCACAGGCTGCTCCTCTAGCTTGTTCATGTACATCCCAGTAAAATCAAGTGGAGAAGATCATCCAGAGAAGACTGGGAGGAAAAGGGTTAGCATGCTTGCATCACCTTGGGTGAGGAATGAGTTAAATGCAATGACCTTTGTGAATTTCAGCTGATGTCATTGTATAAGTCATGTATTTCCCTGGCAGCTGCTGTCTAAGACATGGTCTTCATCTTGAATTGGTTCTGGGTCAACAGAAGCCTAGGCTGGGTTGATTAGCTCATTTCACTCTTCCCTGAGAGGCCTCTGAGGAGCTGGCCACACTGGGAGCTTTAGGAGGGTAGGATCAATGCCTTTGGATATCTGGGTGGGGTAGAGGGAGTTTTAAGTATAGAGAAAGGGGGAGGGGAGAGAGTGTTGAAAGGGTGCTGATGGCACATCTGGACAAGGGGCAGACCTGGGCCTACTTAAGATGGCATTGCATTGGGCTCAGGGTTTATAGAGCATAGAATATGCTTTACATGGAATGATGCCACCTCCACTGCCTGAGATGCACTGTATAGACTGAGATGCTGCTGGAACTGTGGTGGGGGTGGGCAAGAGGGGTGGGTGGGGAGGCAGTGGGCATAATTTCCCTTCAGAGTCCTGTAGCACAGAGTTCTGCCACAGAACACCACTGTTCTGCTTTAAACACCATTGCAAATGGTTAGCATTCACCTTAGCTGAATTTGTAGAGAGGGAGAGGAAAGAGGGAAAAGAGGAGAAAAAGAGAGAATGTGTTTGTCCAGCTCAATGCATATGGATGAGTTGGTTCTGGTGCTCCGATTTAATCAAATGATTCATATTTGTGGATGGGTGGGTGGGATGCCCCTTGGGCAGCAGAAGCAGAGTAGGCTGTGGGCTGAGCAAATACTTAGAAGCATGTCTGTTATAATCATGTTTTGCTTCTGGTCAGTGGCACAATATATATTTAACACATTCTCTTGGGAATATTAAAATCCAATATAATATAAGCCAGTGGCAAGTAGTCTTTCTTTTATTATATCCATTGGGCAACAGGTTGGTCAGCAGAGGGAAGAGAGATCAGAAAGCAGAAAGCTGGATGGAGGAATGACCTCTTCTCACTAACTCCAAAGTGTTGCATCTACCTTGACCAGAATCCATGGCTTCTAAAAGAATTCATTGGAAGAAAGAAACAGGGAGGTGAAAAGAAAGGAGAGAATGGAGACGAGATAAATATAAGCAAGAAAAGTGAGTTTTTCTAGAAATAATTTTATTGTCAAATAATTCTGCAAGGGAACAAAGTCTTCTGAGAAGCATGAAGCATAATCTTTCTCCTTTCTGTTTTTTTCTATTCCCTATTAAAAAACCTGTTAATTTTATATTAAAAACAAAATACGTTTCTTTTTTTTAGTGCTCTATAATTGTATAAGAATGTGTATCACTTCCTCCCCATAATTTTGAGAATATTTCTGAAGACAGTGACATATTCTGACTCTTTAAGAACAAAACAATTCAATTTTAAAATCACTGAGTGACAGCAATCAAAGTTCTGAAGTGATGCAGTCCACCTCAGCACTCGTTCAAAATGTCATTAGAAAACCAACATATAGCGGGTTGTTATGGCAACTGGAATACCAGAGTTTATAACATCACTGTAATTAATGTTACCCAAACGTTATTAGTCTTTCAACATCACTCACATTCTCTGAAGGAACGGCAGTTCTGGTTCTCTTAGGATTTTTCAATAATGTAATCCATTGCAGCTTTTCTTCACGTTTTATTTTTAAATAGATCTTACTCTGACTTTGCTTTAGTGAAATTAGTTATTGTTTCTCCGTCTTTACTTGTTCTATTTTGGCTGCTATTTTTTTTTTTTATAAAACTTGAAGTAAAATGGAAAAAGGGGATTACAGCTAAAAAACAGAATAAAGTCTAGAGATGGAAAGATTTATATATTTAAGTATGGAGAATCTCAGAAAAATATTAAAATATTTTGCATACAGCTTTGTAGTATTAACTCACATTTGCATAGCACTTTATAATTTAAGAAGCAGTTTTACATATGTTATTAACATAACATTATTTAACATAACAACCCTAAGAAGACAAGTAATAATTTTTGAGTGCCTACTACGTGACAGGTAATATGATCTGCATACATAAATCTTTTAGTTCTCACCGCAATCTGCAAGATAGATGTTGTGGTTTAAAAATATGTCTCCATGGTTCAACAACAAATCAACAAATTACCTGATTTAAAAACAGGCAAATGACTTGAATAGACATTTTCCCAAAGATGATGTACTGATGGCCAATGAGCATATGAAAAGACACTAAATATCACTAATTATTAGATAAATGCAAATCAAAAACCACAATGAGATATCACCTGAAATCAATTTAGTGGCTACTATGAAGAAACAGAAAATAATAAATAGTGGCAAAGATGAAATGTTAAAATGCCAGATACACCAAATCATGCAAACACAACATCAAAACACAGCTTGGTGGAGATGGAGTGACAGATGGGGAGGGGGAGAATGTGGAAAGGCTGGAAAACAGTCCCAAACGGACACACGTCTCCATGTGACACTTTTTTTCTTTTTTTAGGCAGGGTCTTGCTCTGTTGCCCAGGCTGGAGTGCAGTGGTGTGATCTCGGCTCACTGCAACATCCACCTCCCGGGTTCAAGCGATTCTCCTGCCTCAGCCTCCCAAGTAGCTGGGACTACAGGCATGTGCCCCCATGCCAGGCTAATTTTTGTATTTTTAGTAGACATGGGGTTTCCCCATGTTGGTCAGTCTGGTCTCGAACTCCTATCCTCAAGTGATCCGCCCGCCTCTGCCTTCCAAAGTGCTGGGATTACAGGCGCCCACCACCACGCCCAGCTAAGTTTTGTATTTTTAGCAGAGACAGGGTTTTACCAGGTTGGCCAGGCTGGTCTCAGACTCCTGACCTCAAGCGATCCACCAGCCTGAGCCTCTCAAAATGCTGGGATTACAGTGTGAGCCAGGGCTCCCGGCCAGAACACATTTCCTTTTAATGGAAACAGTAATTCTCTGTGGCTGCCCAGCCAGCCCACATTCCTCCACCAGGCCACCACGGCCTCTGAGGAAGCTGGACTGTGCAGCACACGCGGAGGTCATTGCTTACTTAGATGGCAGTGAAGCATCCACGCGGGGGAAGCATCACTCCTCCCTAGACCTGGCAGCATACTCCCCAGTTCCTTTTTCTTGCTGAAATATTTCTCCGAGAGTGTTTTTGGGGTTGACTCTCAAGGGGGCTGATAGGACTGAGGATGGCTTCCTGCATGCCCATGTTTCATGGCGGTGAGCAGGATGCAGCCCTGGGTTCCAGGGTCCTTTCCTCTCGCATCTGAAGCTGTCACTCCCTTTCTTCTTGCATCCGTTGTCTGTGCTGCGATTCTAATGTCAGCACCACTCCCTTTCCTGTGCGGGTTACCTGCTTTTTCTCTTTGGAAGTTTTTAGCAATTTTGACTCAAAATGTAGATGCTTTTCTTTGAAATTACACATAACATTTTAACTTTAAAATGTAATTAACGCTCTGCAGGCCCTTTCAGTTTGAGGATGTGCATCTTTTCTTAATTGGGGAAAGTTCCTAATCATTTTTCAGATACCTCCTCTTATCTATTCATTTTTCCTCTTCTAAGCACTGAATATTTTTCCTCCCTCACCTCTGCCTCCTCAACCCCTTCAGATCCTTCTAGAAGAGCTCAGAGCCTGACCGGTCTCACTCGTTCATTTTCTAGTCTCCAACCTTCCCACCAAGTTCATCACTTAAGCACCTGCGTGTTCCAGTCCAGTATCCCCGGCTGCGTCTTCTGCATAATTGCCGATTCCAGCCGCGCTCTCCCTGCGTCCTGAGGGTATGTGACGGATTTACCGGTCTTATCCGCTCATCTGCTCCCTCCTCCAAGGAAAAACCTTGGGGTTTTTCCCTCCCGGAGTTCACTCCCCTCACTGTCTCGTTTCCTCAGGCCGCTGTCTGTTCCCTGGGTGTGGTCAGCTGCCTTCGTCTTAGGCCCCAGTTGACACCTTCCTGGTGGGTTTCAGGGAGGCAGGCAGGGGCTCCTCAGGGCAGAGCCTCTGGCAGGATGACTGGGGCCCTCTTTGCTCATCCCCGGTGGCTGCTATGGTCTGCAGCGAACGCCCCTGTCCTTCTAGCTGGTGCTGTCTGTCCAGGGCTGCCCTGTGCTGTAATTGGCTGTCCTTGGGCTGGGGAGGAAGGCTGCCCAGGGGCCACCAGCCAGCCTGCCCAGGTGTCGTGGCCCTCACTCCAGGAGGCTCCTGAGGTGCTCTGGCCTTGCCTAGATTCCTGGGGCTGGTATGGGTGGGATCTTCTACAGGAAAGCAGGGCTGGCAGATGGCAGCTCCAGGTGGGCCCTGGAGCAGAGAGCTGCAGTCTGGCCCGGGTTGTGCTGTGTGGCCTCCTCCACTCAGACTCTGGTTCCCCTCCTGTCCCAGACTCCACCACGTTTGCCCAGCCTCCACAAGGCTCTCAGGGGTCCTCTTAGGTTCTGGGCTCCATCAACTGTCATCCCTTTGATGGCATCTCCAAGGTTTGGATTCATGGGAAGGAGCCAGCAGCCTGTATTAATTAATCCCCTCATAAAGGAACCAAAAGCCAAATTTACAAACAAAAATCATAACATTAGATGCTGTCAGGGGCAGAGGAAATGGAGACGTGGAAACGCTGCTGGTGGGCGTGTGAACTGTCACACCCTCCCGAGGACCTCCTGGCAACTCGTTCCAAATGTCTGGAGAGTGGACCCCGGCATTCTATGACGAGGTGGCATCTGCCCTCTAAATACAACTAGACACCCTGGAAAAAATTTAACAGACATAAGAGGACTCTAGGAAGTGGAGAGGAAGAAAGGCTGTCCAGGAACCTCAGGACTTTGGGGGTGATGCTGTACCAGGCCCTGAGTTTTCTTTTTCTCTCTCATCTCCTGGATGGGCCCAGAGAACCCTGCAACCTGTAACTGCCAAAACCTGCAGGGGGAAAAAAGAAAAGAAAAAGAGCCTATTTTCTCTGGTGAAAGGACTGAGAAGGGCATCTCACTGGAGACCCAGCGAGGAGATTCCTACTGATCCATGTCACAGCAGCTCCGCTCAGGCCTGGCCCTCAGCATCACACCCAGGCCACAACAGGCTCTGCTGACCTTGGCGCAGAGACCACACCCAGAACCCGGCGTTTCCTTAACCTACCCCCGCCGCACAGGGCAACCCCAGCAACATGCGCAGGGATTGAACCAGAGCCCCAGCAGATCCAGAAGAACAAACCAGACCAGAATAGCACTGGGAGGGCTTTGAAAACTAAATTGTCATTGACTCTACATTTCCCCTAAAGCAGGCTGGGGCTGCTTTAGGTACCAATTAAGGGTACCATGGACTGAACTGGAATGTTCAAATAGGATAAAAAGTTTCTTTACATAATAACCGAAATCTCCAGAACATATTTGAAATTATTTGTCATATCAGGAAACATAAAAAGCAACTTGAAGCCTGGTGAGGGGGCTCCCACCTGTAATCCCAGCACTTTGGAAGGTCAATCAGGAGGATGGCTTGAGCCCAGGAGTTGAGATCAGCCTGGGCAACACAGCATGACCCCGTCTCTACAAACAATTTAAAAATTAGCCAGCTGTGGTGGCACACACCTGTGGTGCCAGCTACTTAGGAGGCTGAAGCAGGAGGACCACTTGAGCCCTACAGTTTGAGGCTGCAGTGAGCCGAGATCGTGTTACTGCACACCAGTCTGAGCATCAAAGTAAGACTCTGTCTCAAAAACATAACAGAGCAAAACAAAAAACAACTTAAATAGGAAAATAAGATTAATCAAGATAAATCAGATGTTAGAACTTTAAAGCAGCCATCATAAAAGTGCTTCAGAAAACAATGGCGAATTTTCTTGAAACAAGAACAAAATGAAAATCATACAACTGAAAAATACAATAACTAAATGAAAAAATGGGCAGTTGGGTTCAATAGCAGAGTGGACACGACAGAGAACAGAGTCTGTTGATTCAAGGACAATTAATAGAGCTGGCCCAGAGGAACGATGGAGAGATAGGAGACTGAGAAATGAACGCCTCCTCGGGGATGGGTGGGACAGTGACAAAAGGCCCAGCGTTCCTGTCACCAGAGTCCCAGGAGGAGAGGAAGGAATGTGTGGTGAAAAAGTATTCAAAGGCACAGTGGTTGAAGATGTCCCAAATTTGGTGAAAGAAATAAACCTGCAGATTCAAGAATCTGAGCAAACCCCAAATAGGATAAACACATCATAACGGAACTTCAGGAAAGGAAAGACGAAGAAAAAAATCTTTTAAACCACCAGAGAAAAACGATGCATTAAGGGACACTGGTTCTGAGGATGGTGGGCTTCTCTAAAACCACAAGGCAGAGGGGGCGACACACCATCGCCAGGTGCTGAGAAAAACTGTCTGCCCAGAACCCTATTCAGTGAATGTATCCTTCAGGGATGAGGGGGAAATAAAGATATTCTAAGAGGAAGGACAACTAGGATAATTTGTTACCAGAAAACCTACCCTTAATAAATGGCTGAAGGAAGCTCTCCTAACAAAAAGGAAATAAGGAAATCAGAAATTGCAACAAAAGAAGGGGTAATCATATGGTAAGTATAATAGACTATGATGAGTTTCTTAAATTGTATTTTATGGTTGAAGCAAAAAATAATAACATCATCTGCTGCGGTGCTCTACATCTGAACAGGAAATATTTATGATAATTACATGTTTAAGTGGGGGAGGAAAAGGGGAAGTAAATAAAAGTAAGCTTTTGATATTTCTCATGAAGTGGTGAAACATTGATGCCAGCAGGCTGTGATAAGTTACATGTGTATATTATAATCAATCCTAGAGCAGCCACTTAGAAAACGATACAAAGCAATGCACCCAAAAGTATAAATAATTCAAAATGAAATGCTAAAAACTGTTTAAGTAATCCATGACAAGTGAAACGAAACAGGATAAAGGAAACATAAGAAACATGCAGAAAGCAAATAAAAATGGCACATTTGAATCCTAAATATGATTTCTGTGTGGTAAAGAATTTGGCCTAGCCCAAAGAAGAGGTCTAGCCTTTGTCCTGGCTCCTGGAAAGTAGTCCTGAAGACCATGTGACAGGAGGGTCTTTGCTATTCATGGTGGGCCCCTCAGACTATACCTGAAGTTTATGCTACCAGCTGGCTCATGGTGGGCCCTCCCAGGAATGTGCCGTCAGCCCCAGATTCCAGGAAAGGGAGAGGTGAAGATAGAGTTCCAACCAGTCTCCAACAGATCAGTCAATTATGGCTGCACAATGCAGTTCCAGGAAACACTCTGGACACCAAGGCTTGGGTGAGATTCCTAGGTTGGCAGTGCTTCATGGTATTGTCACACGTGGATGCTGGGAGAGTAATGCACCTGAGGACAACAGAGGCTTCACAGACCCTCCTAGCCCTGCCCTCTGTGCTGGTTCTGATTTGTATCCTTTCCCTGCAGTAAACAGTAACCATGTGTATAGCAGTTTTCAATGAGTTCTGTGAGTTCTTCCAGCAAATGATTGAAACTTAGGGTGCTTTGGAAACCTCTAAAACTTGCTGTTGGTGTCAGGAATGAGGGAAATTTTAGGAACCATGCCCTCAGACTTTGCAGCTTGGTTAAATCTGGGAAAAACACAGAAATAGCAGATTAATGCAAAAATATGACCCATTATATGATGTCCATAAGATATTCAGTTCTAATACCATGGCATAGGTATTTAATAGATTCAAAGTGAAAGAACAGAAAAAAAATTTCATGCAAACAAACAGGAACTTTTAAAAAAGCAGGAGTTGCTATAATAATATCAGATAGAGTTCATGGCAAAAAGAATTTCTAGGACAAAAGAGGAATATTACATAATAACAAAAGAGCAAGAGTATATCTTGATCCTAAATATATGTGCACCAAACAACACAGCTTCAAAACACATGAAGCAAAACCTGATAGAGCTTAAAAAAGAAATAGAAAAATCCATAATTATAGTTGGGATATGTCGACATCTCACTTTCAGAATTTGTAAAATCACTAGACAAAAATCATCAGCAAGAATATAGGATAAATAAACAATATTATTAGCCAATAGGGTATAATTAACATTTATGGAAAACTCTATCCATCAACAGCAAACTATGCGTTATTTTCAAGCTCTTATAGAACAGACTCTAGATCTTAAAACAAACCTTAACAAATTTTTAAAAACTGAAATCATACAAAGAGTGTCCTCTGACCACAATGGAATCAAACTGGAAATAAATTGCAGAAAGACAAGAGAAAAATCTGCAAACACTTGGAAATTAAGCAGTAAACATTTATATACAATGTGGACAAGAAGAAATCTCAAAGGGAATTTTTAAAAAGCAAGTAACACAATGAAAATATGGCATATCAAAATTTGTGGATGCGGCTGGGTGCAATGGCTTACTCCTGTAATCCCAGCACTTTGGGAGGCTGTGGTGGGTGGATCGCTTTTTGAGCCCAGGAGTTCAAGACTAGCCTGGGCAACATGGTGAAATCCCTATCTCTGCAAAAAATTAGCCAGGTGTGGTGGCATGCACCTGTAGTCCCAGTTACTTGGGAGGCTGAGATAGGGAGGATTGCTTGAGCCCGGAAGGTTGAGGCTGCAGCGAGTGGAGATTGTGCTACTGCACTCCAGCTTCAGTGACAGAATGAGACCCTGTCTTAAAAAACAATTGAGGGATTCAGCTATAGCAGAGCTGAGAGAGAAATTTATAGCACTAAATCCTTATATTAGTAATATGGAAAGTTCTCAAACCAGTAGTCAAAGAACTAAAAGAGGAATAGCAAAACAAAGTTAAGGAAAATAGGACGGAAAGTGAAGAGCAGAAATTGATGAAATTAAAAACAGGAAAGCAATGCAGAACATTAAGGAAATAAAAAACAAGTTCTTCAAAAAATTAATAAAACTGATAATCCTCTAGGATGATCAACAAAGATAAAAGGAGATAACACACACATCACCAATATCAGGAATGAAACAAGAAATATCACAAAAGAGGCTGCATCTATGAAAAATGCTATAAAAATTTTATGCTCATACATTTGACAGCCTAGGAAAAAATGAATCAATTCCTTGAAAATCACAAATTACCACAACTCAGAAAAGATGAAATATATAAAAGCCTGAATAGTCCTATAATCATTATATAAATTGGATTTGTAACTAAAAAGCTCCTGAACACAATATATCCAGACCCAATAGTTTCACTGAAGAATTTACCAAATATTTAAAGAAGAATCAACACCAGTTTTACACAGTCTCTTCCAGAAAATAGAAGAGGCAGGACTATGATATCATTATTTTGATATCAAAACAGAACAAAGACAGCACAAAGGAAGGAAGGAAGGGAGGGAGGAAGGAGGCAGGGACAGAGGAAAGAACCCTGCAGGCTGATTTTGCTCATAAGCTTAGATGGAAAAATCCTCAAGACAGTGTTAGCAAATCAAATTTAGTAATGCATAAAAAGAGTAGTAGACCACAATCAAGAGGAATTTCACTCAAGTTATGCAAGACTGTTTTAATATTTGAAAAGCCAATCCACATATTCTGCCTTGTAAACTGAAGAAGAAAAATCATATGATCTTATCAATTGACATAGGAAAAGGTTTTGACAAAATTCAAAACCCATTCATGATATAAACTCTTAGAAAACTTGGAATAGAGGGTAATTTCCTCCAACTTCATAAAGAGCATTTACAAAAATCTACAGTTAACATCACACTTAATGGTGAAAGAATGAATGCTTTCCCCTTAAGAGCAGGAACAAGGCAAGAATGTTCCCTTTCACCATTTTAATTCAAGATAGTACTAGAAGTTCTAACCAGTGTAATAAGACCAGAAAAAGAAATAAAAAGTTGCAGATTGAAAAGAAAGAAAGAAAACCATCACTACTTGCACGTGGCATAATCATCTACATAAACAGTCCCACAGAATAAAAAAAAAAATCCTTGATATAAAGAGTGAGAATATCAAGGCTGCAACACACAAGAATAACACACATACACAAATTGCATCTCTCTATGGTAACAATAAAAAAGTGGAAATCAAAATAAAAACTGCAATACCATTTACAACTGCTCAAAATACATGAAGTATTAATATGTAGGAATAAATCTAATAAAACATATACAGGAGAATATAGTGCAAATTACAAAATTCTGCTGAAAGAAATCAAATATCTACATAAATGGAGAGTCATGCCATATTCAGGGATGGGAAGTCTCAACATAGAGGTCAGCTTCCTTCAAATTGCAGGTTTAATACAATTCTAAATCTTG
Source organism: Homo sapiens (assembly GCF_000001405.40). Classification (NCBI taxonomy): domain Eukaryota; kingdom Metazoa; phylum Chordata; class Mammalia; order Primates; family Hominidae; genus Homo; species Homo sapiens. Next base: position 33,672,038 of record NC_000016.10, read on the forward strand.
GCATTGTTTTTTGTATACATATGCAAACTTATTGTAAACTTTATATTAAAAGGAAGTGGCCCTAGGTTAGCTGAAACAATTCTGAAAAAGAATAATTAAATGGAAGAAATCACTGTACCAATTATTAAAGCTTACTCTACAACTACAGTAATCTGAGAACTCAGTATGGTGCTGGTGGAGGGAGAGACATATTAATTACTGGTGCAGGACAGAGATCCCACCCCAGAAATATGCTTAATTAATTTTTGAGAAAGATGCAACAGCAGTTTAGTAGAGGAGTGATAGCCCTTTCAACAAGTGCTGCAGGAACAATCAGACATCCATAGGCAAGGAGATGAGGCTTGGCCTGACCTTCACATTTTATACAAAACATAACACAAGGATCATGGGCTTAAATGTCAAACAGTAATATTTTCAGGAAAAAAAAATAGAAGAAAATCTTCAGGACCAGAGACTAGGCAGAGCCCTTAGACTTGACATCAAAATACAATTCATAAAAGAAAAAATTGATAAATTGGACCTCATCAAAATTAATTTTTTTTGGCTCTGCAAAAGATGCAATTGGGATGATGGAAAGATAAGTTACAGAATGAGAGAAAATATTTGCAAATCACATATCTGACAAAGAACTTGTGTCAAGAATAAAGAACACTCAGAACTCAACATAAAATAAATAAGTAATCAAATTAAAAATGCACAAATGACATGAACAGATATTTGACCAAAGAAAATATTCTTTGTACATGAAAGGATGGTCAGCAACATTAGCCATTAGGAAAGTTGAAATTAAAACCACAATGAGACATCAGTACATATTAGAATGGCTTTTTAAAAAGTGATTAGCACTAGGCTGGGTGCAGTAGCTCACGCTCGTAATCCCAGAATTTTGGGAGGCCGACGCGAGTGGATCATTTGAGATCAGAAGTTCGAGACCAGCATGGCCAACAGGGTGAAACCCCATCACCCCTAGTGACCCACTAGCAAAAGTTTTGCTTCTTGTCCCCACCACCTTATGCTCTGCTGGGCTAGAGGTCTTAGTTCCAGAGGGAGGAAAGCTGCCGCCAAGAGACACAGGGATGATCCATTGCGCTGGAAGTTTAGGCTGCCATCTGTTGGCACTAAGCTCCTCATGCCTCTGGATCAACAGGTAAAGAAGGAGTTAACTACGTTGGTGGGGGTGGCTGGTCCAGATCACCAAGGAGAAACTGCCCTGCTGCTTCACAATGGACTGAGGAAGAGCATGTCTGAGGTACAGGAGGGCCCTCATGGCATGCGCTGTGATTAAGATCAATGGAAAAGCACAACAGCCCAATCTAGGCAGGATTAATAATGGTCCAGAACCTTCATGAATGAACGTTCCCCCACCAGGTTAAAAACCACAACCAGCGGAGGCTTCCTGAAGGCAAAGGGAATACAGACTGGGGAGTGGAAGAAGGTAGTTATAGGACCATGTGACCAGCTACAGAAACCAGGACTGCAATTGTCATGAATGTTTCCTCCTTATTTGCTGAGAGAGAAAGAGAGAGAGTGTTTAAAGCTTTGGAAGAAAACATAGGAAGAAATCTTCATTAATTGAGGTTAGGGAAATTGTTCTTAGACATGATGCCAAATGCATGTAAAAGCAAAAATCCATCAATTAGACTTGATCAAAATAAAAAATATAGCTTTGCAAAAGACACTGTTAAAAGACACTGAAAAGACAGCTATAGGCTGGGAGAGAATATCTACAAACCACATATCCAACAAAGAAAGTAGTCCGACATATATAAAGAACTCTTAAAATCAATAGTTAGAAAACCATCCAAACAAAAGTGGGTAAAAGACTTGGACCCTCACCAAAGAGGATGCTCTATGTGGAAGACAGCAAGCCTATGAGAGATCATCAACACTAATCATTAGGGAAATGCAAATCAAAACCATAGTGAGGTGCCACTGGAAAGCACTTTGACAGTTCTGTTAAACCACATGGCCCAGCAGTCCCATAATGATTTTTCCTGGAGTAAGGAAAATTTGTGTTCACATGAAAACCTCTGTAGAAATGTTTATGGCAACTCTATGCATAATCGCCTAAATCTGGACACAACCACACATCCTCCCATGGATGAAGAGGTAACTACCTGTGTCTCCCTGTGCAGGCTAACACCATTCCACAATTGAAAGGAACATGCCACTGACACACAGTGCATTGGGGTGGATCTCAAAAACATGATGCTTAGTGAAAGCAGCCAGTTACAAAGAGCCCATGCTGCGTATCTCCACTCACACGACCTTCCCAAGACAACAGTGTGACAGGGATAGAAGGCAAATCAGCAGTCAGCAGGTTGGGTGGGAAGGGCTGGACTCCAGCAAGAGGGGTGCAGTTCCTCGGCATCCTGACTATGGAACCTTGTACGTGTGAAAATTCTCAGACCTAAACACCTCTTTTAAATGGGACCAGATGGGGAAATAAAACTATCATTTTTTGGTCATCTGTTTCATATCAGTCACCACAGGTACAGTTGTGATCCTTGAACAACACAAGTCTGAACTACATGGGTCCACCTACATACAGATTTTTTCTTAAAAAAATTTTTTTTTAAATTAAATCTTCTTAAATAGACATGGGGTTGGCCAGGCATAATGGCTCATGCCTGTAATCCCAGCACTTTGGGAGGCCAAGATGGGCAGATCACGAGGTCAGCAGATTGAGAACATCTTGGCCAACATAGTGAAACCTCATCTCTACTAAAAATACAAAAAAAAAAAAAAATCTGGGTGTGGTGGCACGCACCTGTGGTCCCAGCTACTCAGAAGGCTGAGGCAGGAGAATCACTTGAACCCAGGAGGTGGAGGTTGCAGTGAGCCGAGATCATGCCACTGTACTCCAGTCTGAGCAACAAGAGCGAAACTCCGTCTCAAAAAAAAAAAAAAAAAAAAAGACACGGGGTCTCGCTATGTTGCTCAGACTGGTCTCGAACTCCAGGACTCAAGTAACCCTCCCAACCTTGGACTCCCAAATTGCTAGGATCACAGGCATGAACCACCACACCTGGCCCACTTTTTTTTCAATAAATATATTGGAAAAATGTATTGGAAAATTTCATATCAGCCATGCCAGCAGACGTGAATCCTTGCTCTTCTGGCCAAATACTTTTTTACCTGGTCTTGGAAATGCAGCTTTTGGACAGATGTAGTAGCTCATGCTTGTAATCCCAGCACTTTGGGAGGCTGAGGCAGGAGGATCACTGGAGCCTAGGAGATGGAGGTTGCAGTAAGCATTGCAACCATTTGAAGAAACTTGCAGATGAACCTTGTAGCCTAGAAATATTGAAAAAGTTAAGAAAAAGGTATGTCATGAATGCATAAAATACTAGCATATTTTTATCATTTACCAACATAAAACATACATAAATCAATTATAAACAGTTAAAATTTATCAAAAGTTATGCACACAAACACAGTATATGGTGCCAGTCAAGAGAAATGTAAACAAATGTAAAGATGCAGTATTAAGTCATAATTGCATAAATTAATGGGAGCCCACCGTACTACTGTAACAATTCTGTCACCCCTCCCGCTACTATTGCAGTGCGCTCAGGTGTCCAGGGTCCACTTAAAATGCCATGTGACACTAGCCATCTCCACGTGAGCACTTGTCTCTCCTGTAGATTGTGTATCACAGTGAAAAGTAATCTCTTGTGGTTCTCATGTATTTTTCATGTTTAGTGCAATACCATAAACCTGAAGAAGACAACGAGACGTGTATGAAATGCCACTAGTGATGCTGGAAGTGCTGCCAAGAAGCAGAGAAAAGTCTTGACAGTACAAGAAAAAGGTGGATTGATTGATATGTACTGTAGACTGAGGTCTGCAGCTGTGGTTGCCCACCATTTCAAGATAAATTAATCCAGCCTAAGAACCATTGTAAAAAAAGAAAAGGAAATTCGCAGTGTCATCACTGCAGGCATGCTAGCAGACATGAAACTTTGCTCTTTTTGCCAAATACCTTTTTATCTAGTCTTGAAAATATAGCTTTTGGCTGGATGTAGTAGCTCATGCCTTTAATCCCAGCACTTTGGTAGACCGAGTCAGGAGGATCACTTGAGCCCAGGAGGTGGAGGCTGCAGTAAGCCAAGATCACACAACTGCACTCCAGCCTGGAAGCGAGGCTCTGTCAGGGGGGGTGGGGGGGGAAGAAGATGAAAGAAGGAAAGAAGGACAGAGAAATAGAGAAAATGCAGCTTTTATGTGGGTGCAGGATATCTATAAGAAAAGCATATCTATAGACTCTAATATGATTCAAGAAAAACTGATGTCATTATATGACAACCTAAAATGAAAGACTGGTGGAGGATGGTGACTTAAAATTATGAGATCTACAAATTTGGAGAGGCTAAAGTACAGTGGCACAATCATGACTAACTGCAGCCTCAACCTCCCGGGCTCAGGCAATCTCCCACCTCAGCCTCCCAAGTAGCTGGAACTACAGGTGTGTGCCACCATGGCTGGCTAATTTTCAAACTTGTTTTTGTAGAGACAGGGGTCCCACTATCTTGCCCAGCTGGTCTCGAACTCTTGAGCTCAAGCAATCCTCCCACCTCGACCTTCTAAAGTGTTGAGATTACAGTCATGAGCCACTGTGCCAGGCCAAGAGCCTTATTTTCTTTCTTTCTTTCTTTTTTTTTGTCTGACAGAGTCTAGCTCTATCATCCAGGCTGGAGTGCAATGGTGCGATCTCAGTTCACTGCAACCTTTGCCTCCCAGGTTCAAGCAATTCTCCTGCCTCAGCCACCAGATTAGCTGGGCAGACAGGCACATGCCACTACACCTGGTTAATTTTTGTATTTTTTTTCTAGGTAGAGATGGGGTTTCTCCATGTTGGCCAGGCTGGGCTCAAACTCCTGGTCTCAAGTGATCCACCCAACTCAGCCTCTCAAAGTGCTGGGATTACAGGTGTGAGCCACTGGGCCAGCCCAAAAGCCTTATTTCTTAGAAAGGTTGCAGCCTGCAGGCTGGCCATCTTGACAGGCTGGGAAGTGTAGCCTCCAGCAAAGACCAAAAGCAGGCACTTCCAGGGACAGAAAGATGAGACAGGAAGTTATGCTGAAAGGGTTGGCTAAATGTACATATTCAACAGGTTATAGAAGGCTCTATGAATATTCATGAAGGGGGTAAGACACACCTATTTCACACATTACATATGTCCCATGTTCATTTTGGAGTGGAGGCAACATTTAAATGCATTAAAATTGGGCCCTATATGTCAAAAGGTGAAGCAGAAGGTTCTAAGGCCCTCAGTGCCCAGCCTTCCTACTGGAGAAAACTGTGTCCAGATTTACAACAGGGCCAATCAAGGAAATCATGAAAGAGAGTGTGCCTGTGGCAAAAAAGGTGGGGAATGTAGGCTTTCAGGATATGGATCTTGGAGAAATTCAAGAGTGAATAGACATCACACCAGAGGAATTAACAGAAGACCACTTGATGGAGATGAGTGTTTTTGAATCAGTGCCAGATTATGAGGAAGAGGATGTAGATGCAGTGCCAGAAAATAAGTTGACATTCGACAATCTGGCAGAGGGGTTCTGATTATTCAAGACTACTTGTGACTTCTTCTACCACATGGACCTTTCTATGGTACGGGCACCAAAACTAAAGCAAATGGTGGAAGAAGGATTGGTAACATAAAGAAACATATTTAGAGACATGAAAAAGCAAAAATGTCAGACAGAAATAATGATGAATTTCTCAGCGTCTGTGTATCTCCTGACTTCCTTCCCATCTCCCCCACCTTTTCTGCCTCTGCCATCCCTGAGATGACAGGACCAACCTCTTCTCTTCTTCAGCCTACTCAATGTGAAGACGATATGGATGAAAACCTTTATGATGATCCACTTCCATTTAGTGATAGTGAATACATTCTCTTCCTTATGATTTTATTAGTACTTTTTCTTTTCTGTAGCTTACTGCATTGTAAGAATACAGTATACAATACAAATCACATACAAAATATGTGTTGAGTGTTTATGTTATTGGTAAGGCTTCTGGCCAATAGTAGGCTATTAACAAAAGTTGTGGTGAGTTGAAAGTTATATGTGGATTTTTTTTTTTTTTTTTGAGACAGAGTCTTGCTCTGTCCTGCAGGCTGGAGTGCAGTGGTGAGATCTCGGCTCACTGCAACCTCCACCTCCTGGGTCCAAGCAATTCTCCTGCCTCAGCCTCCTGAGTAGCTGGGACTACAGGTGCGCACCACCACACCTGACTAACTTTTGTATTTTTAGTAGAGCCGGGGTTTCACCATGTTGATCAGGCTGGTCTCAAACTCTTGACCTCATGATCTGCCCACCTCAGCTTCCCAAAGTGCTGGGATTACAAGCGTAAGCAGCCACACCTGGCCTATATGTGGATTTTTGACTGTGTGGGAAGGTCAGCACCCCATCCCCTTCATGGGAACTGTAGTCTCATTAAATCCTCACATGTTGCAAGATTGGTTTATTATCCCCATCTTACAGATAAGAAACTTAAAACCCAAGAGATTGTGTACATTGCCCAGAGTCACATCACTGGTGAGTGGCAGAAACTGGAGCCCCCACCCAGACCATCCCTGACCTGAGCACAGGTTGCCAAGTGTGCGTGCAGCAGTCAGAGACACTGGGAGATGGTGACTGCCCTCCATATTGAGGCCACTTATATATCTGGCTTCTGTGAAACAGCCTTGCTTAGCTCCACCACTCAGTTTTGGTCAAATGAACCACAGCAGGATCATGTGGACTTTCTGAGCACTGGTTTGCATGTATGAGTTGGACTTGGTGATCTCTTTGAGGTGTGTGGACATACTAAGCTAGTGGAAAAAGTGCTGAACAGACTGGGACCGGTGGCTCACGCCTGTAATCCCAGCCCTTTGGGAGGCCAAGGCAGGAGGATCTCTTGAGGCCAGCCTGGGCAACATAGTGAGACCTTGTCTCTACAAAAAAAAATTAAAAAATTTTAAAATGCTGAACAAAAACCCACCTGTGTTCAATCTTGGCTCCTCCCTGGATAATGTACCCACTCCCAAGTGTAGGTGTTGGTAACTCTTGGCAGTACATCTTAAGCCCAGGTAGCACATCAATTGGAGTTCCAGACAGTTCCCCAGCTGCCGCCTCAGATGTCTCTACCTGGCTGTCCCACAGGTGCCCATCACTCCACCCGGCATCCCAGCCAGACACCTGGGGGCCCTGGGGTACTCCCCGAAAACCCCTTGTTCCTCACAACCCCCAGACCCACTACCCCTCCAATGTTACCTCTCAGAGCTCTAGCACCCACCACTTCTCCCTCTCTGTGCCTCCTCCCCCTGAACTTCCTGCAAACTATCTCCACCCAGTAGCAAAGGAGCTTTTTGAAAAATGGAAATCTGACCATGCTGTCCCAGTTAAATGTTCTCCCAGGGCTTCCTGGTGTCTTGGGATGAAGATAGCATCTTAAGGCGGCCTCATCCCCAGCCTCTCTATTTTCCTCCCCAGCTCCTAGGACTCTCTGCTGCTGTCCTGGCTCCAGCCACGCTGGCTTGCAGGGGTCATGCTGCCCTGTGTCACAGGCCTTTCCACATAACATTCCTGTGCTTGACACACTCTTCTGCTTCCCCAACTCCCAGCCTTTGTCGAGTTAACCAACTTCTGGTCATGGCTCAACCATCACTTGCTTCCCTAAGGAAGCCTTCTCCAACTTCCTACACCATGTCTAGAGCTGTGCAGTCCTCTACGGGACCACTGCCACATGGGGCCATTGAGCCCTTGAAATGTGCAACTGCTGCCGAGAACTGGACATTTTTTATTTTAATTAATTTGAATTTCAAACAAGTCACTAGGTTCAGTTACATTTGAAACAAGGGGATATACATCTATTTTTTCAACTGTGAATACTGTGAAATCTAAATATAGATTATTTCCCACAAAATTTAGATCTCAATTGAGAGGTGTTATAAGAGTACACACCGGGCCGGGCACAGTGGCTCATGCCTGTGGTCCCAGCACTTTGGGAGGTCGAGGTAGGCGGATCACCTGAGGTCAGGGGTTTGAGACCAGCCTGGCCAACATGAAGAAACCCTGTCTCTACTAAAACTACAAAAAAATTAACCGGGCGTGGTGGCAGGCACCTGTAATCCCAGCTACTCCAGAGGCTGAGGCAGGAGAATCGCTTGAACCTGGGAGGCAGGTTTCAGTGAGCTGAGATCGTGCCATTGCACTCCAGCCCGGGCAAAAAGAGCGAAACTCTGTCTCAAAAAACAAAACAAAACAAAACACTACACCAAATTTCAAAGACTTAGCACAAAACAGGAATGTCAAGTAGTTCAATAATCATTTTTATACTGATTCCATGTTATGATGGTATTTTAGGTACACTGGCTTTATTTATTAGTAGACAGGGTCTCGCTCTGTCGCCCAGGCTGGAGACCTACTGAATTCAGGTCATCCTCCCGCCTCAGCCTTCCGAGTTGCTGGGACCACAGGTGCGTGCCACCACTCCCGGCTTTTTTTTTTTTTTTCTTTTGTAGAGATAGGGTCTTGCCATGTTGCCCAGGGTGCTCTGGAACTTCTGGGCTCAATCGGATCTTCCTGCCTAGGCCTCCCAAGTAGCTGGGATTACAGGTGTGAGCCACCGCACCCAGCCGGTATACTGGCTTTAAATGATAAAAATGTTCTGAACATTCACCTTCCAGTGTTGGCGCACGGGGTGTGGCGCGGAGTGACCAGCCCTGCCCGCTCCTTTCAGCAGCAGGTGAAGCGGCTGCAGCGCGTTCTTTAACTTTCCCAGAAAGACCTACAGTTTGTAAAGCGCGCGATCTCATGCATGTCCCAGCCAGCCCAGCAGCTGGGGGGTGCAGGGCCACGTCCAGTCTGGGACGCTGCAGGGGCTTCGCTCCTGGGTCCCACCTCCTGTGCATCCCAGGGCGCAGCGCGACAGTCTGAGGTGCTGCACGCCGTGGGGAGCCGCGCTGGGGGCGCCTCGGAAGGACGCGGTTCTCCAGCCCTTTCCGTGCCTAAACAGGACCGAGGCTGAGTTTCTTCACGTGGGTGGAAACTAAAGCGGGGTTGGGGACTGGGCGCCGGCCACGGGTGCGGTTCCAGCAGCGGGAGCGGGTCCCGGGGCCGGGGGTGGGGGGGGGGGGCTCAGGCACAGCAGGGGGCGAGGGCGCAGCGCCGGGAGTGCAGATCCCAGGGGCCCTCACCGCAGTAGGTGATGAAGGTGTGCAGCAGCGCCACAAAGCGTTCCACAGGGCACACATACAGCAAAGCAGCACGCTGTGAGCAGTAAAGATATGCAAGTTTGTCAATTAAACTTTCATAAAGCTGGGGAAAACAGAAGAAAAGGAACCACAACAACAAAAAATAAAGCCGAGAAACATTTAAGAGATTTATTAGTTTGTTTTAAAATAACAGAAGCAAGCCCATTACATGGTAACATAAGTCGCATATTTTTGTGAGAAATGTTTTCCAAAGCAAAAAAAAAAAAAAAAACTGTGGGAAAGTGGCGGTGCTTCAGTTGTGCGAGCTGTCACGTCCTAACACAGCTGCATCCTCAGCCCGCTGTCCCCCGGCAAGACGCTCCCACTTCCAGTGAAAAGAGATCAATAACGTCTCCTTATTGTCATGAAACATTCTTGACTCAACCTCACTCAGCTGCTGACAGGGTCGTGAAAATCCCAGGGGTCCCTGGACGGCACAATTGAGTGCCACTGGTTTTTTGGAGAAAAGTTTGGAGGAGTACTGGGGAGTTTGGAGAGGGTCCAGGGAAGGCCGCACCGACCAGTGGTCTCAGGGCCAGCATCAGAAGGAGCAGCAAGGAGGTAGAGGCAGGGAGAGGGAGGTAGGAGCTGCCGCATTCCAGGCACAGGGAACTGCAAGTGTTGAGGACCCCAGGCAAGTGCACTGAGGAATGAAAGGCCGCTGTGGCCAGAGCTGGAGGCAGCAGAAGAGAGGCCCTAGAGGAGGGCAGGGGCCACAGCAGCAGTGAGGCCAGACAAGGGCCGCGGCCTAGAAGCAAAGGGAAGCCATGGAAGGAGCCTCGGAAAGTGACATCAAGTTTGCATGTTTAAAAGCCACGCTCAAGAAGTGCCGTCAGTCATTAGAGACAGGTATCAGCCAAATAATCACATAAATACTTTTAAAAAACTAAACAATAATTTGGTAATTTCTTGGCTATGACACTAAAAGCACAGGCAACAAATGAAAAAATAAATTGGACTTTATCAAAATTAAAAAACCTTTGCGCATCAAAGGACACTATCAGAGTGAAAAGACACCCCAAAGAATGAGAGAAAATATTTGTGAATGGTTTATCTGATAAGGGTTTAATATCCAGAATATAAAAAGAACTTCTACAATTCAATAACAACAAAAAATCTGATTCAAAGGACTTGAATAGACATTTCTCCAAAGAAGGTCTATAGATGGCCAATAAGCACACAGAAAGATGCTCAACATCACTAGTCATTACCGACATGCAGATCACAAGGAGATGCAACTTCACACTAGGATGCCTGTTTTTTAAGAAACCAATCAACCAACCAACAAAAAAACAGAGTAATGAGGGTGGTCTAGGCTATGGAGAAATTGAAACCCTTGTACGTATTGCTAGAAGGAATGTAAGGAATCCACAGCAGCTGTGGATACAGTGTGGCAGTTCCTCACACAATTAAACACAGAATGACATTTGACCCAGCAATTCCACTTTTACACACAGAACTGAAACAGAGACTCACACAGATATTTACACACCAATGTTCAAGCAACATTATTCCCAATAGCCCATACGTCCATCAGCAGATGAATGGATAAGCAACATGTGGTAAAGACATTCACTGGGAATATTATTCAGCCTTAAAAGGGAAGGAAATTCTGACACATGCTGCAACTGGACACACCTTGAAGACAGTATGCTAAGTGAAATAAACAAGACACAAAAAGACAAATATTGTATGATTCCGTTTGCAAATGTATCTAGAGTAGTCACTCAGAGACAGAAAACAGAATGGTGATTGCAGGGGCTGGGGGAAGGAGGGAATGAGGAGATGTTGTTTAATGGGTACAAAGTTTCAGTTTGGGATGATGGAAAGGCTCTGAAGATGGCTGCAACAGCACTGTGAAGGTAATTAATGCCACCGACTCATACAATTAAAAATTGATAAAATAAGTTTTATTATGCATATTTTATCACCAAACAAAAATTGGAAAAAACCAAAACACACAAAAAACAAGCCCACCCCTCCCCCACAAAAAAGTTACAGGACAGGCCACCTGGTCTAAATGTATGACACATCCTTCTCTCTCTACATGCCAGTTGGCAACCTTATTTTAGAATGTCCAAACTTTGCTTAAGAAAAGACTTAAAAGATTCCTCCAAATACCCACCCAACCAAAGTTTATCTGATTTTCAATAATAAGGTACCATCCCCAAATATGAAATTCTAAGTCTCATAATAAAACACCTTTGGCGGCCGGGCGCGGTGGCTCACGCCTGTAATCCCAGCACTTTGGGAGGCCGAGGCGGGCGGATCACGAGGTCAGGAGATCGAGACCATCCCGGCTAAAACGGTGAAACCCCGTCTCTACTAAAAATACAAAAAATTAGCCGGGCATAGTGGCGGGCGCCTGTAGTCCCAGCTACTTGGGAGGCTGAGGCAGGAGAATGGCGTGAACCCGGGAGGCGGAGCTTGCAGTGAGCCGAGATCCCGCCACTGCACTCCAGCCTGGGCGACAGAGCGAGACTCCGTCTCAAAAAAAAAAAAAAAAAAAAAAAACACCTTTGGCATTTAAATGTCCAACATCTTAACCTTTTGTCTTGTTAGAGGATTATAAAAATGTACAATACTTTAAAACCATGAAATAAACTAGGTAAAACTAAGAAGACACAAATAAAATACAATGTCCTTGCTGAAGACTCTGAATAATGGCTTTAAGAAATACCTGAGTCTGGCAAAATACTAGACACTAGAAGTCAGTACCAAGGGCAATTAAATCGATGCTCTTTTCCCGTCAGCGGGGTAAGCTCTGAAGCCTCCAGAGAGCTGAATCAGACCCGGTGGCTTTCCTGTTTGCTCAAACATTTATTTCTGAAATGGCAGCCATGTCACCAAATGATAATACTTAAAGCAAGTTCACAGGTTTTGTTAAAAAAAGAAAACAATCTAGTACATCCACAAATAGGAAACCAAACACACCTGAACACATCTATGATTAAATAAGAATATTTAATGGCATGGAAAGATACGTACACTATAGGTTCAATATGTTTTCAAAACATACCCAGCACCTATGGCTGCCTGTGCATAGTAAAAAGATAGAAAGGTACAACAGAATAATTTTTACAATTTACAAAGTTTAATGCAATTGAGAAAGGTTTCTATAAAAATTGTTAAAATAGTTCAGAGGGCAAATGCTTACTTTGCATAGCAATGCTTCGGTTACCTGGAATGCCCTCCCTTCTTTCTTCCAAGCAATTTTATGCCGCACGATGCTCAGTGGCTCTACTCCAAGTGCCAACAAGGTGAACAACCCAGTTCCTGCTCTCACGGAACTCACATTCTGGTGGAATTTATTTTTGCAACATACTTGTGACAATATCAAATTAATAAGCCATTAGTATTGAAAAGTAATTTACACACTCTCCAGTCTGGTCCTTATTTTGATATATGTCTTCCTATGAGATGGATGCAAACTCACAGCAAAAACTATGTGTATACATATAGCCACATGCTGCACGACGTTCAGTCAAGGATGGACCACATATACGGCAGTGGTTCCACAATATTGTATTTTTGCTATGCCTTTTCTATATTTCGATACACAAATATTTACCACTGTGTTACAACTGCCTACAGTAGTCAGTACAGTCACATGCTGCCCAGGTTTGTAGCCTAGGAGCAATAGGCCATACCATAGAGCCCAGGTGCACAGTAGGCTGTACCATCTAGGTTTGCGTGTCACTCTATGATGTTTACACAATGAAAAAATTGCCTAAATGATACATTTCTCAGAATATATCCCCATCCTTAACTGATGCGTGACTGTATTTTACTAACCTGGCCAGGTGGAACCTTCACCAATAAAAATTCTACATAGAAAATGCTATTTATTGTTTCTTTCAGACATTAGAGATTCCTTTAGTTTTAAATAATCTTGATATACAAACTTTTTATTTCCCTTGTTCTCCAAATATGATAAACCAAGATTTTTAATATTAACAGGTATGACTTCTGCCTACATACATTGTCTTTGGAAAAGGCAATTATCTGCAACTGTAATTAAACATTCTTTTATTTCCCCCATTGCTAAACAATTTCACTCTTCTGGCTAAAATATAAAACCATACAATTATAAATACTTATTTGCAAGGCTTCTCTTTGAACAAATTTGCTTTTTGTATAAGACACTTGCTGATCACCTTGTAAGCTACTTAAAACATGGTATGACTTAGAGTGCCTTGTATATTTTAGTTGAATTATAGTTTTGCATTTTAAAATATATCAATTATGCTATATAACAAATTAGTTTTAAATTATAATTGTTATGGGCTTACTATGTGTCAGTCCCCAGGCCTATCAGCATACTGGATGATCAAATTCACAATAGCTCTTGAGGAATAGAGGAAAATGTACACCCAGAGTTGCTCAGAGAGGTCTGGGCATGTTCCAATTGTCACTTCCCAAGTGGACCCAGCCCTGACAGGATCTTCACATCCTCTTCCCTTCTTATGGAGATACAAAGCTGAGCACCTGTCTGCTGACAACTTTAGGTTTTTAGAGAGCCTCTCAGACTAGGGCCAACTGCTCATAATCCTGCCGACCCTCTTTGGCCCCTATGATGTTGTAAAGGCAATGTGGTACTCCTATCAGCAGCGCACATACTATAACTGGTACAACACAGAGGTCACCATGGGCCCCATGCACAGATGACACAAATTCATGAAGTGTTCTACATACATACATATATATATATAAGTTTTTTTTTTTTGAAACAGGGTCTTGCCCTGTCACCCAGGCCGGAGTGCAGTGGTGCTATCATGGCTCACTGCAGCCTCAACCTCCCGAACTCAAGTGATCCTCCTACCTCAGCCTCCCAAGCAGCTGGAACTACAGGTATGCACCACCACACCAGGTGAATTTTTTATTTTTTGTAGAGATGAGGTTTTGCCATGTTGCCCAAGTTGGTCTCAAATTCCTGGGCTCAAGGGATCCTCCTGCCTTAGCATCCCAAAGTGCTGGGATTACAGGCGTGAGTCACTGTGCCCAGCTGCGTTCCATATTTCTACACACCCATGCATACCTGGAGGAGTATACTTGGGGAAAGTAAAGCTGAGGAAAGGTGAATAAAATCAGTGGGCTGTATTGATGTCAACATCCTGATTGTGATATGTGTGAAACATTACCACTGAAAGAAATTGGGCAAAATATACAACTATATGTGAATCTATGATTACATCGTATAGGATTAGATTCCCCATAACTATATCAACATACAATCATAAAATACATATATCGCCTATGTAATAGTATGATTACATCAATATAATGTTTAATTTAAAAAAAGGCAATGTAGCTAGGCAGGTATAACGCATGAGCATAATATGGGAAGCCTATCTCACTGATACATACAATTTCCTTGGTCTCTGCACATGAGACAACAATCTCCTAAGTCTAAAGCTTTAAAAAAGTACTTACTGTTACCTTGTCACTATACTAATGTGCAGAACATATGACATAAGATAGAAAATGTCCACGAGGGCCAGTGATCAAAGGAACCCATAGATCCCAGGTGCAGAGTAGGCTGTACCATCTAGGTTTGTGTGTCACTCAAACAAAAAACACAATAAAAACACTACACACTCTTCTCTAAAATTTTGCATGAGAGCTGAGGGTTCAAGTGAATATTTCTTTCTCTTCTGGAAGACTCCTCATGAAGGTGGTAGCATAAATAATTATCCACAAAGAATTGTCAGGCATTCATCCCTAATGAAAACTACTAAGCCAAAACTAACAAAAAAAAATTTAATGGTATTTTTGCAGGACAAAATAATTAAACTGAGGCAGGCAGAGGAAAGTAAGAGAATCCACACAACCACAGCTTACATCACTTTAAATCTCGACAGCCCCAAGTGATGAGAATGAACCCGGTCCAAGTAGTCCAGGCTTCTCTGTTCCTCTTGCAGGCACAGTTTGTGTAGAGACATCTCTTGAGTTCTTGCCCACTGACTTGTCATTCACAGGCATTCAAACTGTGATGTTTGAAACTGTCCACCTCTGCAGATCCAGGGACAGTCCCTCCAGTCCAAAGGCTCACTGAAACTGGCCCTCAGCCCCCTTCAAACTGGACTTCTGGTTTCTTCTTTCCTTCTGCCCCTGAATTTGGAAGAGCTTCTTCCTGAGGTCCTTCTGCCACTTCAGCTTCTCCTCCTCCTCCTTCTGCTTGGCTCTGAAGTGCTCTTTATTGTGCAGGTGCCGCTGCTCCTTGGCCTTCTTCATCTTCTGACTGTGCACCATACTCAGAGCATCCAGCAGTGTGAGGATCTGACAAGGACAAAAGCCGGTGAGTATCAGAATGCTCTCAGCCACCACACACTCACATCCTAAGCACTAAGACTAGAGGCAACCCACGATCCAAATGAATATTAACCGCATGAAAATGCATCCTGCGCTAGGAAGTCATTGTTGGCATGGAGACACAAGTGTGATCGCATTTTACCTTTACTACCTCTGTTCATCATTCTGTGGACACTGTGTGCAGCTAACCAAGACAGAAGGGTTCCCCAGTCATGTGCCTGTTATACCCCATCAAAAGAACAGGGCAGAGCAGGACCAGGCAAAGGAAGGGAAATTGACTCCAGCTCTTCCTCTGACTTTAGTTCCAGTGCCCTGAATAACTGAGACTGCAGTAGAAACAGGAAGTGTGCTACTGAGAGTGTTCTTTTCCTATCTAAATGCAGCGTGCAGTACGGCATGGGCGACAGTACCTTTCTTTCATGAGGCTCACGCATGACGGCCAGTCTCCGCCTGTCCTTTGCTTGGGTCTTGGGTTTGTTTTTTATTTTTTCTTTTTTCTTTTTTTTTGAGACAGAGTTTCGCACTGTCGCACAGGCTGGAGTGCAGTGGCCCGATCTCAGTTCACTGCAAGCTCTGCCTCCCAGGTTCACGCCATTTTCCTGCCTCGGCCTCCCAAGTAGCTGGGACTACAGGCGCCCACCACAACACCTGGCTAATTTTTTGTACTTTTAGTAGAGACAGGGTTTCACCATGTTAGCCAGGATGGTCTCGATCTCCTGACCTCGTGATCCGCCCGCCTCAGCCTCCCAAAGTGCTGGGATTACAGGCGTGAGCCACCGCGCCTGGCCTTGGGCTTGTTCTTAAATGGCAGGGCCTTCTGCAAGGCTTTTGGAATGTGCAGTGAATTAAAATGTTTCTTTTGCCTCAGGATTGGCTGAAAAGAAAAATAAAGACTGTGACATATTCAAATTATGATCAATGTGCATTTAAAACTTCTGCATAAAATCTTCTCATTGGGTTGACTTTTCCACAAGATCAGTAACACCAGAGTCTGCTGGCCCTGAGAAATCAGGACTCAATCATCCGCCAAGTATGAACTGCCTCAGTGGACACCCAAATTCTCACTAAACAGTAAACAGAGGTACAGAGAGCTTATACTTACAACTCTCCCCCCGAAACCCACTGTGCCTATTTCTATGGTATGGAACTATGAGGTCTCAACAGAACAGATGAACAGATCCCAGTTTCTTTTCATGGAAATTTCAGGCCTTGTCTTTGGGCCACTAAGGTGCTTAGTTCTCAGACTAACAAAAATAATCTAGCTTTTTGTCTTGACTACCAACCACTCTGGATTTTTTTTTTTTTTGAGATGGAGTCTCGCCCTGTCACCCAGGCTAGAGTGCAGTGGTGCGATCTTGACTCACACAACCTCCACCTCCCAGGTTCAAGCAATTCTCCTGTCTCAGCCTCCCAAGTATCTGGGACTACAGGCACACACCACCACGCCCGGCTAATTTTTGTATTTTCGGTAGAGATGGGGTTTCACCATGTTGGTCATGCTGGTCTTGAACTCCTGACCTCAGGTGATCCACCTGCCTTGGCCTCCCAAAGTGCTAGGATTACAGGCATGAGCCACCATGCCCGGCCCACTCTGGATTTAAGGACAGTTCTTCCTCCAATCAGCAGCCAAAGAGTCCTGATTCCTGATTCTAATTAAGAAGTTTAAGTTGGTATTCTATTTCTGATGGAAGGATGGCTAAAAGAAGGGAGACTCAAACAACAGATGAAGGCAAAATACTCTGTACTGAATTTTCAACATAATCTTAAATTCTATGTTTAATTGAGATGACCTAAATTCTTTTTTTTTTTTTTTTTTTTTTTTTTGATATGGAGTCTTGCTCTGTCGCCCAGGCTAAAGTGCAGTGGCATGATCTCGGCTCACTGCAACCTCCGCCTCCCGGGTTCACACCATTCTCCTGCCTCAGCCTCCCAAGTAGCAGGGACTACAGATGCCCGCCACCACACCTGGCTAATTTTTTGTATTTTTAGCAGAAATGGAGATGACCCAAATTCTTAACTGCCTCATAAATACTGTTAATATATTGAAAGTTTTGCCCTAAGCTTTTTATTAAAGTCAACTATATAGAAAAAGTTTCTCCTGTCTTGAAATATATTATTAAAGACATCATCCCTAATAATATTCCATATTCTCTGTTTAGGAACCCCAGTTGTTTTCAAATTCAAGAATTCAGAGAAATCTACTTGTTACAAAAGAGTAGAATGGATAATGGGCACCACATCCAGAAGTGTATTTTAATAAAAATTCATGTAAGATGGTTCAAAATTTCATTAACTACTTTATATAAAAAGAAATGCCTGGGAGACTTCTGTTTCTAGCAGAGTGGCAGAGTGATGCCTTGAACAACCCTCTTATTACAAAACTGAATACTCCACATGAAAACAAATCTTTTCAAATGCATTGTTAAGCTGTGAAGAGAAAAACAAAAGTTCTAAGAAACCAAAATCTAAATGAAAACACAAGTCCAGGCAGGCACTGAAAACTTAAAAAAAAAAAAAAAAACTCAAGAGGCCAATTGTTGGCAAGCATGTGGAACAGCAGGAACTCTTTAAGCTGCTGCTGGTGGTGGAGGCCAAGCCACTGTGCTCCCAGAACACGACACAGAACCCTCCACACTGAAGCAGAGCACAGGTGCCCTGGAGTCTCCACCCCACCCAGGGATCCCCCAGCAGAAGTGTGTGTGCCCCTGCATACCTGCAAGTCCCATATCCAGACCTAGTGTTCAGGGCCGTGGGATAACAGCCAAAAATAGGAAATCACTTTACTCATCAATGGAAAAATGGTGACACAGTCATATAATGGAACTCAACAATGACAATAAATCAGTATCTGCCATAGACAAGAACACAGATGTATTCTGTAATACTGAACCAAAGAAGCCAGGCTAAATAGAATATGCTGTATTTTATAGAAGTCAAAACCAGGTAGAACAAATCTACATCAGGAACTGGGAAAGTAGCTATTTTGTGGGTTGGGGCAGCAGTGCCTGGGAGAGGCCACAGGTCAAGGCTACTGCTTGGTCCAGGGCGTGGCAGCCTGGTGTGCTATAGTTCATCTAGATGCACACTTATGATTTGGGCACTCTTCTGTATGGACATTAACATTTCAATAAAAAGCTTATTAAAACATTAAAGCTTTCAGAAAAATCCACATTGCTTCAGTAGAAATTAGCACATTAACATTTAAAAAAATACATGTATACGGTGGGGGAAAAAATAGTTCAAAAGAGTACCCAGTGAAAAGTTTAAGAGGGAGTGACGCCAGCAAGGGGCTGATCAATAGCCCCTTGCACTCATCCCCTGACAAAGACAGCCAAAGCAGCAAACAACTATATTTTGATGAAAGTCACTAAAAGAGAGCCCCAGAGTGCATCAAGGAGTAGCAGAAATCCAGTAGAGCACAGAAAACCAGGATGGTCACATAAAGGAGGGAAGGAAACATCTGGCCCCCACCACCCATTCCCCCAGAGGGATCAGCCTGAAGCAGAGGGGATGTCTCCCTGCAGGGATAAGGAAGCAAGAGGGGCCCAGTAGCCCCAGCACTCCCCTCAGAGAAGGAACTGACATTGTGCCCCACCCCCATGGACCAGCTGCTGCTGCAACGTGCCCTCCTGGACCTGGACCACTTCGGGAGCATGTCCCACCCAGGGTGAGCAGCCACCGCACCCTTCTTCCATCCTCAGGCTTTGTTGCTCTATATCACACCCACCTAGTGGCCCACCACCCCCGAGCCACTGTTACACTGTCTTAGGCCATTTAGTGTGGCTGTAACAGAATACTTGAGACTCGGGGTAACTTATTTTATAAAAAAGGTTTATTTGGCTCACCCTGCTTGTGTCTGAAAAGTCCGAGATCGGGCAGCACAACTGGCGAGGGTCTTGTGCTGCTTCATCTCATGGGGAAAGTGGAAGGCGAAACAGGTGTATGCAAGGGGCTCACATGGCAAGAGAGGAAACACGAGAGTCTAGGAAGCCGAACTCACTCTGATAACAATCCACTCCTGGTAACTAATCCAGTCCCATGAAAAGGCATTAATCTATTCATAAAGGATCTGCCCTGTGACCCAAATACCTCCCACTAGGCCCCACCTCCCACACCACCACATTTGGAATCAAATTTCAAATGGATGAAATTTCAAATGGCTGGTGGGAACAAATGATGTCCACATCACAGCATACACCGCACCTGCGGGGCCACACTGCTGTGCCCCTCCCCTCCCAGCTGCCATTGTGCCCTGCCCCTTGGAGCCTGAGCTGACTTGGTGCCCTGCTTTCCAGGGAATCAGTGCCTTGGCCAGTCTGAGCAGTCACACCCCCCACTGCACGAGAGCTGAAGCACTGCCCTGCTTCACAGGGAATCAGTGTCTTGGCTGAGCTGAGCAGCCACACCTGCCAGGGATGAGCCAACATGGCACCCCCATATCCCGGGAAAACAGCATTGGCTGAACTGGGGTACCTTGCCCTTCAGGACAAACAACTGTAGAACCCTGCTTCCTTGGAACTGGACTAGCCCTGGAGAATCTGAGTTGCCCAGGCACCTGCCTCCCCAGGGAGAGAAGTAGTTGCTGCACTGGTCCCTGCCCCTGAGGGCCCAAGCCACAGTCGTGCTCCACCATTCTGGGGTCCTTGTTGATGCTGCGCCTGGTCTCACAGAGACTGAGGTGCTGCTGTGTCCCATCACTGCAGGGTCCAGCGTCACTATCATGTCACTCCCATGTCCAGAGTCACTCCCATCCCCTGGAGTTTACTTCTTAAACTCTTCGCAAAAACAGAGCAAGAGGAAATAATTCCAAACACATTTTACCAGGCCAGTATCACCTTAATACCTAAGCCAAACCAAAACACACACACACACACACACACACACACACACACACCAAACAAACAAAAACTACAGGTCAACTTCTCCAATAAATTAAACACTGATGCAAACATCCTAAAAAATTTTTAGCAAATAGAATTCAACAACACATCGAAAACATTATACATCGTGTTCAAGTGGGATTTACCCCTGGCATGCAAGGCTGGTTAAAACTATGTAAATCAATCAATGTGATATATCACATTAACAAAATGAAAGATAAAACGACATGGTCACCTCAATTGATGCAGTAAAAGCATTTAACAAAGTTTAGCAACCTTTCTTGATAAAACCTCTTAATAGTTTATGTATAGAAGGAAAGTTCCTCAACATA
Organism: Homo sapiens; assembly: GCF_000001405.40. NCBI lineage: Eukaryota > Metazoa > Chordata > Mammalia > Primates > Hominidae > Homo > Homo sapiens. Next base: position 33,692,803 of record NC_000016.10, read on the forward strand.
ATAAAGACCATTTATGAAAAACCCAGTCTAATCATAGTTAGTGGGGAACAACTAAAGCTTTTCCACTAAGATTGAGTACAAGATAGGGATGGCCAGCCTCATCACTTTTATTCAGTAGAGTACTTGCAAGAGCAATCAGATGAGAAAAAAAAGGCAACTAAATTAAAGAAGTAAAATTATCTCTATTTGCAGATGACAAGATCCTTTACGTAAAAAACTCCAAAGATTCCACAAAAAACTGTGAGAACTACTAAATCAATTTAGTTAAGCTGCAAGGTATAAACTCAACATATAAAAATCAGTTGCATTTCTATATACAAATAACCTAGCTGACGAAGCAATCAAGAAAATAATCTCATTTATGATAGCATCAAAGAAAAACAAAAACTTAGGAATAAATTTAACCAAGAAGGTGAGAGATGTGTACACTTGAAAACCATAAAACATTGATGAAAGAAATTTAGACATGAACAAATGGAAAGACATCCTATGTTTATGGATCAGAAGAATTAATATTGTTAAAATGTTCACACTACCCAAAGCAAATATACAGATTTAACACAATCCTCATCAAAGTTCTGATGGTATTCTTCACAGAACAGAATAAAACAATCCTGGCCAGGCACAGTGGCTCCCAAAGTAATTCCAGCACTTTGGGAGACTGCAGGTGGGCGGATCACAAGGTCAGGAGTTGGAGACCAGCCTGGCCAACATAGTGAAACCCTGTCTCTACTAAAACTACAAAAATTGGCCGGGCATAGTGGCATATGCCTGTAGTCCCAGCTACCTGGGAGGCTGAGGCAGAAGAATTGCTTGAATCCAGGAGGCAGAGGTTTCAGTGAGCCGAGATTATGCCACTGCACTCCAGCTTGGGCAACAGAGTGAGACTTTGCCTCAAAAAAAAAAAAAAAAAGAAAAGAAAAGAAAAGAAAAAACAATCCTGAAACTCATATGGAACCACAAAAAACCCCAAACAGCCAACAGATTACTGTGAAAGAAAAAGTTGGAGGCATCACACCTCTTGATTTAAAATTGTATTACAAAGCTATAGTAATCAAAACAGTATGGTGCTGGCATAAAAACAAAAAAATAGACAAATGGAACAGAACAGAGACCTTTGAAATAAATCCAAACATATACTGTCAACTAATTTTTGACAAGGGCAAACAAGACAACACAATGGTAAAAAAGATAGTCTCTTCAATAATAGGATTTTCACATGCAAAAGAATAAAATTGGACCCTGATCATACACCATACACAAAAATCAACTCAAAACAGATACAAGACCAAAGACCCAAATAAGACCTGAAACCATAAAACTCCTAGAAGAAAACATAGGGGGAAAGCCTCTTGACATTGGCCTTAGCAATAATTTTTTGGATATTGCACCACAAGCCAGGCTACAAATGTAAACATAAACAAGAAGGACTGCATCAAACTAAAAAGCTTCTGCACAGCAAAGGCACAACCAACAAAATGAAAGGGGAACCTACAGACTGGAAGAAATATTTGCAAACCACATATCTGATAAAGTGTTAATATCCAAAAATCAGTAAAGAACTCTTACAACTTAATAGCAGAAAAACAACCCAGTTGAAAAATGGGCCAAATAGGAAATGACCAATAGGAAATGGGGAGATGTACATTAAAATAATACAAAGTAGCAGACATGTAGGATGAACAAGTTAGAGATCTAGTGTACATCATGAGGTCTACAGTTAATAAAAATATATTGTCTTTGGGATTTTTGTTAAATAAGTAGATTTTAGCTGTTCCTGTCACACAAACAAAAATCTAACTATGTGAGATGGTAGCTATGTTAATTTGCTTCACTATAGTAACCAGTTTACTATCTATATGTATCCTTTAAGATCACATTGTCAACCTCAAATATATAAAATAAAATTTATTTTAAAAAAGAAAAGTTTGTCTTCAATCCAGAAAGAACCACTATTACCATTTTTTGGTGTTCCATTCCAAAATATCCCACAAATATACAATTGTTCAATCAAATTTAACGTTAGACTTTATACTTGAATATTCAAAGTACGTAAGAAATTATAGAAAAGTGTCTGTGTGACTCCCTGTCTGTAGAGCACAGGCTTCATCTCCACTAACACACACACGACCAGTACCTTATACAGAGAGTCCTTATTTGCCTTTAGTCTGACACCATAGGCGAGCCTGAGTTGGCCCGTGGTCCACATTCCTGACCAGGTGTCTTTCTCACCCACTGGTTTCAACAAAGATGTTACTGGGTTATAGAAGGCTGGGATGGAAACAGGATACCAAGTTCGCATGAAGACAATATCTGAAAAGAGGTAATTTACTTTAACATTTTCAAAAGAAGATTCATATCCATATTGCGAAGAAACAAAAGAACAAAACCTTCACTCCAAACTTCTCTACCTGGCTGCAAAGTATTTGAAGGGAAAGCTCGCTAAGGAAACTATTCTCATAGATCACAGAACTGTTACTGGGTGTGGCCAGGGTACTGCAGACACAAAGCGAATGGGCACACCGCATAAGACTGGGAGATCTAAGGCTGGAGCTGCTCAACTCTCTGGAGACCTGACTCCAGCCTCTCGTCATACTGGCTAGAAGTCAAGCATGAATGGTAATACCCTGCCCTGAACACTACTTAAGACACTCACCGCTCATCAGCAGCTTATCCTCAAAGCTGGCCCGGAAAGCTCCTTCTGGAGCACAGAGTGCTTTCTTGATCTGCCCCCTTATCCCACTGACAGTTCAAATCACAGCACCTTCAAATTTGGCCACTTCCAAGGCAGAATTAAATATTCCCTACAGGTATAGCAAGATAAAAACACACACACACACAAAATCGTATACTTTATGCTTTACTTCTTACTTCAAACATACATCCTTGATTAAAGAACAAAAACAACTCACTGAAGGGTGATAAAATAATCAAAATGTATTTGCCCCTGAAAGTGGAATTACTACCTCAAAAAGAATACAACTCTTTCATTTTCCCCAAAATAATCATGTGAGTTCATGGGCATGCTCATCACTGCTGTCTGTGTGGAAGAGAAGATCGAAGAGGGATTTACTGGACTGAACTGGCCTAGGAAGCCTTTGCTGGCATCTCTCAGACTGGACTGCAGCCCAGATCCTTTTACTTAGATGCATGCACTTAGAACACGAAAACAGTAAGATAAACGCCGGTGGTATTATTACTTTATATTCCAAGAACATTTTAAGACTTCCTAACTCTGTGTTTTCAATAGAAACATCCTCACTAATGAAATTGTCAATAAATGTGCTCAAACCACCCTCCCCAAATACTGAAAAACAGTACATCCGTTTCTCTGTACCCTTGCCAAGTTGTTTGCAAATGCTTTGTCAATTTTTCTACTGAGTTAGACAAACTTGTGATTTTTTTCCCTTTCTTAACACAAATTTAAAAAGTAGGAAACAAAACCTAGTGGATAAAATGACATATTTTCAATATGAGTTCTGTGGCAGTCTCACATGGAAGTCAGGAGTAACAGCCTCAATTCCTAAATAGCTGTTTACCTCTGCTTTTTTGAGCATATTTAAGTAATACAGAATATAAAGGAGCAAACAAAATATGAAGTTTATAAAAGATTTCAAACACTTTTCTAAAAATATGAGGCCCATATTTTAGACGTATTTCATTCCTTTTCTCAAACAATATGGACATTTATAAATTTGAGAATATATAGATATACAGACCTTAATAAATGAAGTGTTCTTGAAAATTTTATATGGAAAACCAGTTAGCTTTAATTTCTTCACAATTTTTATGGATTTATCCAGATCAAGGACAACTCCTGTGGCAGCTATCCGAAAATCAGGCTAACAGGAACCCCAAAATTTGAAAATAGGAAAAATATTAGCAAGAGAAAAACTTCAATTCTATTTGACACAATAAATTACCAAAGTGAATTTTACTTACAATTAGCTAAGAAAAACAAGAGAGACCATCTGAACTTGCAACCCAGTGGTTTGACAAAAGCAATCCAAAACTTTAAAGTTGGTAAGCCAAACTAACAAGAGTGACTTGAGGCCGGGCACAGTGGCTCATACCTGTAATCCCAGCACTTTGGGAGGCCAAGGCAGGTGGATCACCTGAGGTCAGAAGGTTGAAACCAGTCTGGCCAACATGGCTAAATCCCGTCTCTACTAAAAATACAAAAATTAGCTCAGCATGATGGTGCATACCTGTAATTCCAGCTACTCGGGAGGCTGAGGCAGGAGAACCACTTAAACCCAGGAGGCAGAGGTTGCAGCGAGCCAAGATCGTGCCACTGCACTCCAGCCTGGACGACAGAGTGTGACTCTCTCAAAAAAAAAAAAAAAAAAAAAAAGGCTACTTGAGTACTTTCCTGAGAGTGATTTCAGAGGAATGTAATTTTACTATAATGATTTATTTGGAACGAAATGGAAAAGAAAAATACAGTTGCAATGTTTAGGAAACTAAAATTTGGACCTCCAGGGAAGATTCCATCTGCTCATTATTCTGCTTCCTTCTCTGTTAAATGGGACCAGTAAACCCTGCCCTGCCTGACTGGTCAAATGAAAATGGAGTGAACAGACTGCTACCCCAGCACAGCTGCAGGGAGTCTTGTATCTGGGTGGTCTCTGATGGCTCCTCACAACCTCATATAGTGCTTAGCACATGGTGAGCACTGCTTAAGTACCTCCTTAGATGAATAAATGCAAAAGATGCACAAAAATAGGAAATGTACCATCATAATTCTTCCACCTCCCCTCCTCTAATCCCACACCCTACTGAAAAGGATGTACAAAGATTAAAAGCAAAGGGAAATTTACTTTATATTAATAAAAATGTGTAATTTTCAACTTAAAGTCTGATGTACATAATAACCCATATTCAGGATATATTTCTCAAACCAATCTGTAAAAGAAATCATCCAAGATAGTTACCATTATGCCACTGACAGACTGTATTGCCAAGAAACCAGTTCCCTGTGGAGTGACAGGGTCTTAAAGGAAAAGGAAAAAAAGAAATATAGCAAACCACAAATTTTAGATTCTAGTTTAACATACTGGATATGGACATTTAGATTTGGATATAGATTTACATATATACTCCAAACCACCTCCCTGCTCCCAGAAAAGAGAAAAATCTTAGAAGTGGAATTTTATGAAAGGAAAAGCACAAAGCTAAAATAACACAGCCTGTAAGGTTTAATCTCGGCAATAGGCAAGTTATTGTAATCATATTTTACCCCAAAAGGCTGCTCCGCAATGCATGTGCTGTGGGGTATACTTTAGAAGCCTTTGTCTTCCATTATGGTCTTCGATATAATAGAGCGGGATGGTCTGAAACCTCCTCCACCCTACAGAAAATATGATTGGATCTCGGGACTTGAGGATTTTCTTATACCAGCGATGTTTCTTCAGATGCATCTGAGGGGGATGAGAGTGTAAGATGATTGATGGAGGGGAAATCCACAGAGCCTTAGGCACCAAATATGCAGCAAAGGGACCCACCTGCACGTCTCCAACATTTCCCTCACTGTTGCCCAAGCCACCCAGGATAATGGGGTAATGGGGGTCAAAGTTCTGCACAAATTCACAGGGAACATTTTCAATCTCAACGCGGACGTACACCCCAGGCCGAAAACCCTCATATGGAACTCTGGCTTCATCATCTTGATCTTCAAATTCTGTGCGATTCAGCTGTACATGACAGGGGGGGAAAAAAACCTGTATGCTGTTATCTGTAATAAACATAGGATTAACATGAACAAATGAGCAATTTCTAAGTAAAGGAACTGTGGACAGAATTATGTAGGCTTTATCCTATTAAAAATACTACACATTTGGCCGGGTACAGTGGCTCATGCCTGTAATCCCAGCACTTTGGGAGGCTGAGGCGGGCAGATCACATGAGGTCAGGAGTTTGAAACCAGCCTCGCCAACATGGTGAAACCCCATATCTACTAAAAATACCAAAATCAGCTGGGTGTGGTAGTGCGTGCCTGTAGTCCCAGCTACTCAGGAGGCAGAGGTGAGAGAATCGCTTGAACCTGGGAGACGGAGGTTGCAGTGAGTCAAGATCATGCCACTGCACTCCAGCCTGGGCAATAGAGCGAGATTCCATCTCAAAAAACAAAAAAACAAAAAAAACCTACACATTTTACCTCTACAGTCTGTTCAGAATATGTCTCAACCGTTTTCTTCTCTCCTGCTACAAGGCACGGCAAATGTAGATAACTGTGGAGCCCTGCGTGCTTGAACACTGGAAACATCCCCAGTCCACACCTTCTTTCCTTCCTCTCCAAATAATTCTTTCACACTTTTCCCTTGTCTTCAAACACCCACCACCATCCTCACCTTCACTCAGCTGATGGCTGTTTCCTGATTCACTCCAAAACCAAAAGAACCTCTACGGTCAACCCTCTACCAGGGTTTCCTCCCATATCCAGCCTTATCAGAGCTCTGACCTGGCCCATAGAGGAGCTATGTGTGGCTATTTAAATTAAAATTAATTACTATTACATAATATTTAAAATGCAGTTCCTCAATCACACTAGTCACACTGGAAGTGGCCCATATCAACCTGCGGCCAGTGTTACAATATTGGGAAGCACAGACGTGCATCTCCATGATCACAGAAAGTTCTATGGGCAGCTCAGGCACAGATGATTTGTTCATGCCTCTACTCAGGGCCACACATCACTTGCTCACTAGACACCATCCACTCTTCCTGGACTTTATTCCAACAGCTCTTCCCTCTGTTCTCTCTCTTTTCTCAAAACCTTTTGATTCCACTTCTTCCACCAACAACTGCTTCATTTCTCTGCTTCTCTCTGCAGCAAAACCCCACAAAAGTTTTCTGCAGTTGCAGCCTCCAGTTCCTCTGCTCCCATTCTCCTACATCCATGAAAATTGGTGTTTGCCAAGATCGCTGAAGGCCTTCAGGCTGAAGGACTCCTCCAGTGGTCAACTCTGCCTTCACCGTAGTTAACACAGCAGGGGATCTGAACGGTGCTTCGCCTCCGTGTACAACTGGACTCCTGCATGCCTGCATGCTCACACTGCTTCTCCCTCTCCCTCCTAGGCACTGCTCAGGCCTCACGGCCGCAATCACCCCATCTCGCCCATGCCAGTCTTGCTCCTCCCAGTCACTCTGCACTCACTCCCCGGCCACCTCACAGCATTAAGTGGCATCTACATGCTGAGGGCTGTACATCTAAGTCCCTGGCCAGACCTGTCTCTCCAGACTTGACACTCCGCTTGTCTGCATGATACCCAGCCGAACCAAACATCATCTTCCCAAAACTACATCTGCAGAGGGTTTCCTATCTAACCTGCAACAACCCATCCTTCCAGGAACTTCCAGTCGCCATCCTCATTTCCTCTCACACACCCCACATTCAGTCCACCAGGAAATCCTACTGACCCAGCTTCCAAAGAAACTCTATCCAGGTTTGACTCTTTGTCTCATCTCCACTGCCAGCCCTCTGGTTTGTGCCACCAGACTGATCTCTACCAGACTGATCTCTTGGCAAAGTGATCTGATTACCTGAATGTCTCTCTTCTGCTCAAAACCCTCCAAGGACTCCCATTTCAGAGTGAAACATTCAGTCTTTTCCAATGGCTCACAAGGCTCTGGGTAGTTTTAAATTGTAAATGGTGTGAAGCAAAAACTTCAGTTAGGCTAGTCATGCCTTTCAAAGGTCAACACAGACTAGCAACCACTAAGTTAATGCTTAATCAGGAAACAGTACTTTGACTAGATGAAGACCTAGGATGAAACTCCATTTCACAAATCATATACCTAATCTGTTCCAGCTTACACAGGCACTCCTGGCCTCGCTAACAAGACGCAACTCAGATGCTCACCATCAACTGTACACATGTTTCTGTGTCTGTCTCCTTCAGAGTGAGATCACTGCCTCCAACAACCTGCTCAGCACCCCCAGGCTGGAGGGCCACACCATCTCCCTTATCTCCGCATCTGACCTTATACTCCACATGTCCTTCTGAACTCTGACCAGGATGAGTTTTCAGAGCACTTCCCCTGGGAGCTCTGGTGTGTCCATAAGCCACACGGGCCACTGATCACCTGCCACTCAAATCAGGGAGCAGCGATCAGAATAGGCAGCATTGGCTTGCACTGAAATGAACACACTGTCTCAGATCACTACATTGTAAAAGTCTCAAAAGTAGAGACCATGTTTCAGTCATTTCGGTTTCCTAATTCTTGTTACAAAATAGGTATGGATCTTTTTCTGGTGACCTTCTGACTGTAGAAACAATGAGCTCACTGCATGAATAAACACACTCACATGCATCTACCCAGGAGTCCAAATGAAAGGCACAGAAGCAGGATAGGAAGCAGGGACCCAAAGAAAGTCAGGGATTCCTGCACTATGTGATAGTCTTGACAAGGGGCTGAGAGGAACTGAGGTTTCTCACCTGTGCTTGTTTCTGCATTTCTCCTTTAAGATCATCAAAATATGTGCTTTCTCCTTCATCATATTCCTCATCAAACATCTCCTTCAATTTTCTCTTCTTATCCAAATGCTTTTTCTTGGCACTTTCTTCTTTGTCGGGGTCAATTTCTTCCTTGTTTCTCTATATCTTCATTCTTAAATTTCCAGAAGAAAAAATTTTGTGTATGTTTATGAAGGTCTTTTCTTTAAACATTAGATTTTTTAAAGTTCTATTTAAACAAAAATCTTAGCAAAAATCTGTTACCATTATCAATAAAATGAAACAAACCACAACACAACCTTTTTCTCTGAATAACATGGTACTGCTACAGGAAATTGTTACATCTGCATTACAATTAGCTGCTATTCCTTAAGCTGGCTGGGAACACAAACTAGAATAAAAATAACAGACATGTCCCTCACCCAGATGCTCCCAGAACCTGTTCTAAAGAAATATTAGGGAGAACAGGGACTTCATTCATTTAAATGACACTTAAATTTAAAAAGAGGAGAATGATGGCAATGGTTGAATGTAAGTCTGAGAAGCTAAGACTTCTGTGAGTGAAAAATCACAGTGGACTTGGCAAATGACTATGGCAAGAAATGGTAGTAACTGTCGTCCAAAACTTAACAAGTAAACAAGAAAGCTTCTCTTTGGTCCCCACATCCCCACCCTTTAGGAAGGAATCTATCCATCCAGTCTGCAATCTTCACACATCACAAGTAAGATTTGCATTTCTCAATGTGGGCCTCTCTCAGAACACAATGACCAAGAACAGCCAGCTACGACAAAGTCATACCTGAGTATCGGGGCCCGATTTTCCCTTGTGCACGTCCCCTGTTTCCAAGTCTTCAAAGTCACCATAGAGCTCCTCTGGGAAAAGAACACCCAAAGGCTGCTCTGTGAGCCAGGCATGCATGTGCTGCTGGCCCCACCCACAACAGGCCCACAATGCGCTCCACGTTCCAAGCCTCATTCTCACTGTTCCCGTCACTACACACACAGGCAAAACTTTACACTAGGGAATGCTTCGTAGAACAGTTAGTATTTCATCATCTGTTTAGGTAAACTAAATGGACCCAATCCACATTTCCGCACTTCATGTCAAAATCCCAATCTCAATTTTTCCAGTATAGATAATGGACACTCTTTTGTTTTTGTTTTTTAGGAGATGGAGTCTCACTCTGTCACTCAAGCTGGAGTGCAGTGGCATGAACTCAGCTCAATGCAACCTCTGCCTCCCAGGTTCAAGCAATTCTACTACCTCAGTCTCCCGAGTAGCTGGGATTATAGGCACCCGCCACCAGGCCTGGCTAATTTTTGTATTTTTAGTAGAGAGGGAATTTCACCATATTGGCCAGGCTGGTCTCGAACTCCTGACCTCGTGATCTGCCCTCCTCAGCCTCCCAAAGTGCTGGGATTACAGGCATGAGCCACTGCACCCGGCCAATGGACACTCTTTATGAAAGACACAGAGGTCTATCTGTGTCCCCCAAGCGAATAATTCAAAGAGTGAATGGAAAAGTCCCATGCTGATAACCAGCATATGTGAAAAGGAGTCTCAATGTAAGTTCAACACAACGCAATCATGTAACACACCTAGGGGAAATTTTAGATTATATAAAACATAGCATTTAGATTAACAGTAGAGCCCCAAACCACACCAAACCCATGGGAAGAGCTTATTCACTCATTCATTCCTTCATTTGTTTTTGGAGCTCTGGGCTCAATTATAGTTCCCACTCTTAGAAGAAATAGACAAGTAAGGCTGGGTGCAGTGGCTCACACCTGTAAACCCAGCACTTTGGGGGCCCGGGAGGCAGAGGTTGCAGTGAGCCATAATTGCATCACTGAACTCCAGCCTGGGTGACAGAGTGAGACCCTGTCTCAAAAAAAGGAAAACAAAAGAAAGAGGCAAGTTAAAACTCATTTGGGAGAGCAATGTTTAGAAGGCTATTAAAACATTTTCACATAAGGGCCAAAGAACCAGGTAGACGTTATAAAAGATAGGAAGCTCCTATTTGTAATAAAAGCAAAAAAAGATAAAATAGGAATAAACCTAACAAGAAGTGCACTGGAACTTTATTTTTTTAAAAAAGAAGAAAAGCTTTAATATGCTACCAAAGGACAAAAGGAATAGCATCACTACCAACACTCGTAAGTGCTCTCCACGCTAGGCACTGCGTTAAGTACTTTCCTTGCCTTAACCACATTCTTCAACCTAAGGAAGTAGGTGTTGTAAATATTATTTACTGAATAATGATATGTCCTCATTTGAAAAGAAAGACTCGACATCACAAATACGCCAATTCTCCCTTTAGCACAGTTACAACCCGAAACCACCACTAAGGATTTCTGGTCTAGAGAAGATAATACATTATACCCTCCTAAGAAATGTAACCCAAACTCTAGAAATAATAGACAGGAGATGATCAATGGAGAATTCCGAAAGGTGGACAGAAAAAGGCTGCTGAGGGACTCTAGGACTAGGGAATGCATAGTGGCCAGGTGTCTCCCTGGACCTCATCCAATAGGAAGGTGACCCAGGCCCAGAGTTTCCCAACTCCTAACGTAGCAATAGAAGGCAACCCAGGCAGACTCAGTCCCCGCAGATCAAAGGAGATCTTCCCCACAACAAGAAAACCAGCTCCACACACCAAGACAACCACCATTCCCCACCCATCTAGCTGCAGCAGGTGGCCCAGCCTGGGGCAGCTCCCCTGTTCCCTCAGGTGGGCAACAGCAGGGACTGGTGGGAGAATCCCAGTGATACATATAAGCCAAACAGACCAAAATAACACCATGAAGGCTCTGAAATTAAATTGCCATTGGAATCTCAGCCCACAAAATAGACCAAGACCTACAGACTAAACCTAAACAGGAAGACTGCCTGCAAAAATAAAAAAATTACATAGGCAGATGTTGGAACCATCTGACTCATCACTTATAACAGTCAGTATAAAAGTGCTTCAACAAGCAACTACAAATGCTATTGCAACAATCAAAGAACTGAAAACATCAGCAAAGAAACTGAAGAAGAATCAAATGGAAATTACAGAAATATGAAATACAGTAACAGAAATTTTAAAAAAATCTAACTGGATGGGCTCTATTGAGTAAAAGTGGAGACGACAGAGGAGACAATCAGAGAAGCTGAAACCTGATCAACAGAATTCACCCAGCCTAAACAATAGATAGGAAATAACCTGAAAACAAATGAACAGAGCTGCACGGACCTGTGAGACGATAACAAAAGACCCCACATTTATGTTATCTGAGTCCCACAGGAGACCAGAGCTGCGAAAGCATGCAAATAACTAATTCCTGACACTTCCCACATTTGGTGAAAGATATAAACTTACAGATTCAAGAAGCTGAGCAAACCTCAAAGTATACCAAAAGAAAGCAACACTGATTAAACTCTCAAAACTAAAAACAAAGACCAAAAATGGCAGAATGCCTGTAGGGACACGCCAACTCAAATGCCATGGAGGCCAGAAGGAAGTGGCACAACATTTTCAAGTGCTTAAAAAAAAACAACCAAACAAAAAACCAACCAAACAAAAAAACTGTTGGCTGCAAATTCTATATCCCATGAAACTACCCTTCAGAAATGAAGAGAGAAATAAAGACATTCTGAGAGGAAAAGAATATAGGAATTTGTCACCGGTCAATTTAGAAATGCTAAAAAGTGGCTACAGAAATATGTTGTGTCATTTCCACAATACAAAAAATTAAAACAAAAAAATCAAAATAAAAAAATGGCTACAGAAAGTTCTTATGCAGAAGGGATGAATATGGGACTATGGGAGGAGGGACAAAGGAAAGACCAGAAATGTGGATACATACGCGAGACAATCCACAGTTCTTAAAATCACATTTGACGACTGAAACAAAAACTATACCACCACCTAATACTCAAGCCAGTGATTTATACAAGTGGAAAAGGTAAAGAGACATAAATGCAAGGCAGGTTTCCACACTTTGAAGTGGTAAATACTGGTACCAGTAGACTACTATATTACAATGCACATATTGTTAACATCCAGAGCAAACACTTTAAGACTATACAAAGAGATACACGCAACAACATTATACAGAAATAGATCAAGATGGAGGGAAAGAAAAAGGAAACAACAAAGCAAATAATAAAAACATCAGACATAAGCAATTATGTAACAATAAGCACCTTAAATGTAAATGGTCTAAATAAACCAAAAGACAGATTGATGGAGAGCCTATAATAAACACATGGTCCAACTAAATACTCTTCATAAGAAACTTCAAACTCACTTAAGGTCCTAAGTAGGTTGAAAGTAAAAGAATGGAGAAAGATATCCTGTGAAATCGTTAATTTTTTAAGGAAGCAGGAGTGAATATATTAATATCTCATGAAGTAGACTTCAAGCAAAATAATTTACCAGAGCTGGAGAGGGTCTTGGCTGAATTTTAAGATCTAAAATTTCCTATGCTGTCTTGACATCTTTGAGCCTCACAGGGCCCCAAAGGCCTAGCCGTAGGTTTTCCTATTTCTACCAGACACCCCCTACCCCGCCACCCAACAGGAAAGGCTCCCCACCTGGCTAGTTCTTTTATCAGCCAGAACAGTTGCACCTCAGCCTAAAAAGTTTCACTTCACCTGTCTGCCAGCCCATGAATTTATTCAAACAAGCCAATTGCATGCCCCCTTGGGAACCATTGATCATTGTGTGCTCTTGTTACTACCAAGCCTGCCTGCTTCCTCAGCCCGCAGCCCTCACTCCGATACAGAGTGCGGTGCCCATCTGACCCTGTGTGGCATGCAGTGTCCTCCTCTGAGCTGTGGGTATATGTGACTAAAACACTGCTGTCAATCTCATCCATCCACGCCAGGCGTCGTGTTCAGCCATCTCCTACACTTTAGGGCAGGGACCCCTCCTTCACCAATGGGGTGAAAAGGAAGTGACCCTAACAACTGCTTAATGACAAAAGGATTAACCCACCAAGAAGACATCTACTTCAACATCCTCCTCTTAGCAACTGTTAAAACTAGGCAGAGGCCGGGCACAGTGGCTCATGCCTGTAATACCAGAACTCTGGGAGGCAAAGACAAAGGATAGCTTGAGGCCAGGAGTTCGAGCCTGGGCAACATAGCAAGGCCTCACCTCTCCAAAAAATTTTAAATTTAGCCAGGTGTGGCGGCACACACCTATAGTACCAGCTACTCAGGAGGTTAAGCCAGGGGAAGTACTTGAGCCTAGGAAGTCAAGGCTGCAGTGAGTCTTGTTCGTGCCACCGCACTCTAGTGTAAGTGACAGAATGAAACTAGGCAGAAAAGGAGCAAGGATTTACAAAAGATCTGAACAGTTCAACCAGCAAAATCTGACATCCGTATAACACCCCACTCCCCAACAGCAAAACACACACATTTTTAAAGCCAATAGAAATCTACCAAGATGAAGTACATTTGGGGCAATAAAAGAAATCACAGCAAATCTCGCTGTGCGGCCCTTGGCGCCAGCACCGTGCGCCTCTCTGCGCCTTGTTTTCTCACCACGGGGAAGCATTTGGGGGCCTCTTGAGGGACCCCCTAGATGCTTCTACTCAGAGCCCCCAAAGCCGGGGAGCCTCCACTCCTCTGTCTGCAGCCTCCCCTGTCGGTTCTCGCTACCCAGGGTTCAGTGGCCTGGGGGCTGACGGAGGGGGTCGCCTCTGCCAAGGCCCCTTCCGGCGCCTCCCTGGCTCATCCAGCCCACCTCCCTCCCACGCTGGCTTACGCAAAGTGCTCTGGTCACCAGGAGCCCTTCCTGACCAGTCCCGGCACCTCCTTGGCCTTCGCCCCACCTGGCCTCCCCTGGAGCCCTGACCTGGGTGACGGGCCTGCTGGGTCCAGAGCCCACCCCGCCCTGAACAACCCCGAGTCTCAGCCACCCTCAGTTCTTACCCTTTCACAGCTGGGGAGTGGAGCCTGGGCCTGCGCCGGCGCCGTGGGCCTCTCCGCGCCTGCGCCGCCGCCGTGGGCCTCTCCGCGCCTGCGCCGCCGCCCTGGGCCTCTCCGCCGCTATCTGCTTCTCCGCCGCGCCGGCGCTGGCGCTGTGTGCCTTTGCCAGGGCGAAGCTGCGTTCTCCTCAACACAGACCCGAAGAGCATCGTGAGCGCGGAGCTGAGTTCTACTCTGCACAGACTTCGGAGATACAGCGAAGGCAGAGCAGTGTTCTCCTCAGCACAAACCCGGACGGGCGGGCCGGTGGCACCGCGAGGGTGGAGCTGCGTTCTGCTCTGCACAGACCTTGGGGACACTGCCTCGCTTTGGGACAACTCGGGGCCACATCGAGGGTGAATAAAATCCTTCCTGTTTGCAGCCCTGTTTGCGGTTGGTGGCAGCGATGGACACTGCAGCCAGCCACAGCGTAGAAAGGCGTCGGGGTAAGTGCGCTATCCAGGCTGCACTGCGGGTGGCCTGGGACGGGTTGGGAGCCCTATCTCAGGCGTCACTGCCTGTCCTGGGTGGCTGTTTGGGTGTGCTATCTGGGGCTGTGATGCCTGCACCAGGGGGGGTGGTTTAGGGGCCCAAACCGGGGCTGCACTGCCTTTGGCGGGGAGCCGGTTGGGGGCACTATCCCAGACTGTATTGCTGGCAACAGTGAGGTGGGCTAAGTGTGCTATCCGGGGCTGCACTGTGCGGCTGTGGGGGGTTGGCGGTTTCGGGTTGAGGGCGCTATGGGGTGCTGTAATGCCCATGGTGCGGGGAGGCAAGGCAGTTTGGGTATGTTGGGTGTGGTATTGGGGGGGTCTACACTGCAGGTGGTAGAGGGCAGGGTGGGTTGGGGGCCATATCAGGGACTGCACTGATTGCTTTAGCTAGGATTTCTGGTACTATGTTAAACAACAGTGGTGACAGGGGGCATCCTTATCATGTTCCAGATCTTAGAGGAAAACCTTTCCATTTTTCCCCATTCCATATGATTCTAGCTGTGGGTGTCTTTCCTGTAGTTTTTATTATGTTGCGGTATGTTTCTTCTGTGCCCGTTTCTTTGAGGATTTATAGCATGAAGGGATGTTGAATTTCATCAAATGCCTTTTCAGTTTCAGTTGACGTGATCATACTGTTTTTGTCGTTTATTTGGTTGATATGTCGTATCACATTGTATGTTGAGTGACCCTTGCATCCCAGGGATACATCTCACTTGGTCATGATGAATTATCTTTTTAATGTATTACTGAATTTGATTCACTGGTATTTTGTTGAGGATTTTTGCATCAATGTTAGAGATACTGGCCTGTAGTTTCCTTCTTTGATGCCTTTGTCTGATTTTGGTATCACAGTAATAATGGTCTCATAGAATAAGTTTGGAAGTATTCCCTCCTGTTTTTCAAAATAGTTTGAGCAGGATTCGTACTAGGTCTTTAAATTGTTTGGTGTGAAGCCATCAGCAGTGAAGACATCAGTTCCTGGGCTTTTCTTTACTGGGAGACTTTTTCTGATGGCTTCAATCTCATTACTTGTTACCAATCTGTTCTGGTCTTGGATGTTTTCATTGTTTGACCTAAGTAGGTTGTATGCATCTAGGAATTTGCCAATTTCTACTAGGCTTTCCAATTTATTGGCATGTAATAGCCAGTTATGATCCTTTAAATTTCTGAAGTATTAGTTGTAATGTCTCCTTTTTTTAATCTATTGATTTTATTTATTTGAATCTTGTCTCTTTTCTTAGCCTGGTTAAAAGTTTGTCAATTTTGTTTAGCTTTCCAGAAAACCAGCTTTTCATTTAATCTTCTGTGTTTTTTCTTTCAATTTTATTTCTGCTACGATCTTATTTATTTTATTAATTTCAGTTTAGTTTGTTCTTACTTTACTAGTTCTTTAAGATGTATTGTTTATTTGAAGTTTTTCTTTTGTTTGGATGGTAGGCACTTATAGCTATAAATCTCTGCCTTTGTACTGCTTTCTGCCTAACAAGTTTTGGTATCCTGTGTTTTCATTACCCTTTGTTTCATGAAATTTTTGAATTTCTGTCTTAGTATCTTCATTGACCTGCTAGTCATTTATTCAGGAGAGTAGTGCTTAACTTCCATGTGATTGTATTGTTTCCAAAATTACTCTTCTTATTGATACCTAGTTTTATTCCTTTGTAGTCAAAGAAGATGGCCACGGAGACAGCAGCGTGGTCAGAGTGGTAGGAGCCGGCCATCAGCGAGAGCTGCTCCATGCCTGGCTGCTGGGTGCTAGAGCCTGCGGCCAGCTGGCTTGCCTCACTGTGGTTGGTGGTGGTGGTGACAGAGACTGCAGCACGACCAGAGTGGTAGGACAGGGGCCATACAGGGCTGCACCTTTCGCAGTGTGGGGTGGGTTGGGGGCACTATCCAGGGTGTCATTGCCTGCATTAGGGGTACTGGTTGGTAGCACTGTACAGGGCTGCACTGCCCACGGCAGAGAGGGTGGGTTATGGGTGCTTTCTGGGGCTACAATGCCCATGGAGGAGGACAGGTTAGGGCACTATCGGGTATACGCTACTGGCGGTATTGGGGGACCGAGGTGGGGGCACTATTGAGGGCAGGACTAGCTGTGGAGGGGGGGCGAGTTCGGTGCTATCAGGGGCTGCACTGCTGGCAGCGGTCAGGAGAGTTGGCATCCAAGGAAGGAGTGGTTCTCCTCTCCCTGACTCCACACTCCAGAGGGCGACCCACTCTTGGTCATATTGGAGTGCAGCAGGGCACCACACCATTTGCGTGGGAATCCTGAGCATGGCAGAGCCCCCACACCCACTGTGGTTCCTGGGCCTGTGCATTCTGGGTCTGTGCCTCAGAGGCTGCCAGGCACCCCTGGGGACACCACGGGAGACAGGGCCCTGTGTGTGGAGGCGTCCAGAACAGGAATTGGCACCTGGTTGTGGAGGGCTGGCTGGGTCTGAATTTTTCTGCTTCTCATGCTCCCCGAGGAGTGCAGCCCCAGTGGGCCCAATGGTTCCTGTGGAGTGGGGAGCTGGGTGCCGTGGTGTCTCCAGCACCCACCCCAGACCCCAGTTCCCAGCCAGCTTGGGCCAAAAGAAGAGGCTGGACTTTGGAGGGTGGGTGTGAGTGCCTTTGCTGAAACTGGCCCCTGCCACCCAGTGGCCAGCATGACAAGTTGAGGCTCTAACCCTTCCACCTCTCACATCTTCCTCTAGGCTTTTCTGGCTTTGCCCGCCCAGCTGCTCCGTGCCAGGAGGAGGAGGAGACACCTAGAGCCTGCAACACCACGGCTCGCCTCCCTGCAGGTGGGTGGCAGTGACGGAGACTGCAGTGCGCCAAAGCAGTAGGAGAGCGGCCACACTAGGAGGGCAGGCGGCTGCAGCCAGGGTTGGGGGTCAGGCTTACAGCGATGGACGGGCTGCAGCAGTGGCCAGGTGGTAGGAGCCTTGTAGGGAAGGCTGGTGCATTGGCAATGGGCCTGGCTTTTCCCTGCCCCTGCCATGGATTTGGCCCTGTACTGCCCTGCCTTGCCCTGTACCTGCTCTACTGTTACCTGGACTCTCGGCCCTGTCCTGCTCTGGTCCCATCCTGACTCTGTCTTGGCCCTGTGCTACCCTGTCCCTGCCCTGGTCTTACCCTGGCACTGGCCGTGCCCTGAACCTGCACTGGCCTGACCTTGGCTCTGGCCCTGGCTCTGGCCCTGCCCCTTGTCCTGACCCTGGTCCTCTCGTGGCACTGGCCCTGCCAATGGTCATGGTCCTGCTCTTGTTCTGGCCCTGACCTGGCCTTGGACATATCCTGGCCCTGCTTTGGCCCATCCCTGCCCTGGCCCCACCATGGGCCTGCCTTTTCTGCCCTCTCCTGGCACTGACCTTGCCCTGTCATGGCCCAGTGGTGCCATTGTCCTGCCTTACCCTGCGCTGGTTGTGCCTTGGCCCCGCTTGGTGCTGGCCGCTCCCTGGACCTGCCCTGACCCTGCCTTGGCTTTTGCCCTGCCCTCACTATGGCCTGGCCCTGGCCCTAGCCCTGGTCCTGCCATATCCCTGGCCCTACCCTTATCCAGGCCCTGCCCCTGTTGCTGCCCTGGCCCTGGCCTGGAACCTGGTCCTGTCAAGGACCTGCCCTGACTCTGCCATGGCCCTGGCCCTGCTCTGCCTTGTTCCTGGCCCTGACCCAGACCCAGACCCTTTCCTCTCTCTGCACTGGCCTTTCCCTGGCCCTGAGCTGGCAGTGGTCTGCCCCTGGTCTTGCCATCACCCTGCCCTGCTGTGCTCTGGATGTGTCATCCCCCTGCCCTGGCCCTACTCTGCCTTTGACCCTGCCCTGGCCTTACCTTGGCCCTCACCCTAGTCTTCATTAGGCCCTGCTCTGGAGCTGGCCCTAGCACAGACCTGGCCCTGATCCTGGCTCTGGTCTTTGTCCTGCCATAGCCCTGGCCCTGAAGTGGACTTGGAGGTGTCCTGGCCCCGGCATGACATGGCTCTGCATTGGCCTGTCCCTGCCCTGCCACTACCATCGCCTTTCCCTGCTCTGCCCTGTCCCAGTACTGACCTGGCCATGCTATTTCCCTGCCGTACCCTGCCTTGGCTGTGCCCTGGCTCGGTTCTGGCCCTGGCCCCGGCCCTGCCCTGGATATGCTCTGACATTGCCTCAGCCTTGGCACTAGCCTGGCTCTTTCTTGGCATCAGCCCTGCTGTCTCTGTGGACTGGCTCTTGTCCTGTCCTGCACTGGCCATACCATGCCCTGCCCTGCCCTGCCCTGACTCAGCCCTGGCTCAGCCCTGGCCCAGCCTTGGCCTTGGCATTGCCCCTGGTCCTGCCATATTTCTTGCCCTGTCCCTACCCTGGCCTTGGCCCTGACCCTTACCTTGCTCTGGCCCTGCCCTTACCCTAACACAGCCCCTGGCCCTGTCATGGCCCTGCCCTGGACCTGTCCTGGCCCTGGCCCTTCCCTGCTTGAGACCTTGCCCTGGTTCTCCTCTGGCCCTGACCCTGAAATGCCTGGCCCTTCCCTGGCCTTGCACTGCTCTGGCGCTTGCCCTGACTCTGGTCCTGTCACTGGCCTAGCCCCAGCCCTGTTGCTGGTCTTACCATGGCCCAGACCCTGCCTTGGCCCTGCCCTGACACTGTCCTGGACCCTGGCTGTGCCAAGAACGTGCACTGTCCTTGCCTTTGTTTTGCTCCTGCCCCAAACCTGGTCCTGCCCAGGCCCTGGCCCTGACCCTGACCTGGCTGTTCCCTGGCCCTGCCCAGGTCTTGGCACTGGCCTGGCCCTGCCCTGCCTTGGCCCTATGCTTTCCTGGCCCTTCCTTGACGGCCCTGGCCCTGCCTTGGCCCTAGCCTGGCTTTGACCCTGCCCTGGCCCTAGCCTGGCTTTGACCCTGCCCTGGCCCTACCTTGGCCTTCACCCTAGCCTTCCCTGGGCACTGTGTTGGACCTGGCCATAGCACAGACTTGGCTGTGGTCCTGGCCCTGCCATGGCCCTGTCCCAGACCCTAGCCCTGCCAGGTACCTGTCCTGGCCCTGTTCTGGGCCTGGCTTTGTCCCTGGTTCTCAGATGACCCTGACCCTGCTTCTGCCCTTGCCCTTGCCCTGGCACTGGCCTTGGACATGTCCGTGGTCCTAACCCTGGCCCTGCCCGGGAGCTGCCACTGTCTCGGCCCTGCCCTGGCTCTGGCCCTGCCCCAGCTCTGGCCCTGCCCTGGACCCAGCCATAGACCTGCCCTGGTTGGTCATGCCCTACCTTAACCCTGTGCTACCCTGGACCTGCTCCACCCTGCCCTCCCTTTGGCCCTGCCCTGAGCCCGCCTTGGCCCACACACTGGCCCTAGCACAGACCTGGTCCTATCTGTGGCCTTGGCCTGGCATTGACCCCTGCTCCTGACCCTGGTCCTGCCATGGCCCTGGCCCTGCCAATGACCCTGATGGCCCTGGCCCTGGCCCTGTCTTGGCCCTGGCCCTGAACTGGCCCTGCCCTGACCCTGGCCCTGAAGTGGATTTGCAGGTGTCTTGTCCCTGAGTTAACCTGGTCCTACCATGGCCCTGTCCCTCCCCTGGCTCTGTCCTGGTCTTGTGCTGACCCTGACCCAGACCTTGGCCCTTCCCCAGCCTTGTCCTAGACCTGGCCATGGCCCTGCCTCTGCCCTGGACCAGCGCTGGCACTGGCATGGACCCCCTGGCCCTGGCCCTTCGCTACTTAAGGCCATACCCTGGCCCAGCCCTGGTCCTGACCCTGTCCTGGCCCTAATTTGGCCTGGCTCTACCCTGGCATGCTATTCTGGTCCTAGCCCTGACCCTGTCCCTGTCCCTGTCCTGGCCCTAGCCCCGTTGCTGGTCCTGCCATGGTCCTTGTCCTGACATTGCCCTTTCCTGGTCCTGGCCCTGGCCCTATCCCAGCCCTGGTCTGGCCCTGGTCTGAACCCTGGCCCTGCAATGGACCTGCCTTGGTCCTGCCCAGACCCTGGTTCTGGCCCTACCTCTGCCCTGGCCATACCCTTGCCCTGGCCTGGACCCGGTCCTCGTCCTTGTCCTGCCCCAGCCGTGGCCCTGGCCCTGCCCTGCCTGTGCCCTGTTCTATCCTGGCCTGGCCTTGCCATGGCCTGGTCTTGCCATTGCCCTGCCCTAGCCTGCCCTGCTTGTGCCCTAGATCTGCCCTGGCCTTTGCCCCTGTCTTGGTTCCAGCCTTGACTCAGCCCTGGACCTTCCCTGACTTTGCCTCAGCCCTGGCACTACCCTGGCCTTGGCTTGGCATTTGCCCTACTCTCTCTATGGCCTGGCTCTGGTCCTGCCCTGCTCTTGTTCTGTCCTGGCACAGCCCTGGCCCTGGCCCTGCCATATCACTGGCTCTGGTCCTGCCCTTATGCAGGCCTGACCCTGCCCCTGCCTTGGCATTGGCCTGGACCTTGGCCGTACAGTGACCCTGCCATGACCCTTTCCTGGCCCTGGCCTGGAACTTGGCCCTGCCAAGGACTCGCCCTGGCTCTGTCATGGCCCTGGCCCTTTCCTGGATTTGGATGTGTCCTGTCCCTTATTTGCCCCAGCCCTTCCCTGGCTCTGCCATACCCCTTCTCTGGGGTAGGACCAGGGTCAGGACCAGGATAGGGCCATGGTAAGTCCTGAAGATGGGAAGGGCCGGGGCAGCGGCAGGACCAGGGAAGCGTCAGGGCCAGGGATGTGGTAGGACTAGGGGCAGAGCTGGCACTAGGGCTGAGCCAGGGCAGAGCAGGAGAGATTACATTAGGCTATTATGTAAAATGTTTATTTTAGATTTTTAAGATAACTATAGTAGTAGTAATAATGTCTGTACTATGTTGTTTGTAATAGTAATAATATTTGCAGTAAATAATCACTAAATTTTAACTAATACTATTTGTGCTTCCAGTAGTGTTCTACGAGTATAATTTTATCAATATGTAAATTTGTGAGGCATTGATTCTCACAATAATTCTATGTGCTAGGTACTTAAACCATCCCCATTTTCCAAATGTAGGAAACAGGCATAAAGAAGTTAAATACTTGGCCAGATTACTCCAGTAATCCCAGCACTTTGGGAGGCCAAGGCAGGCAGATGGCTTGAGCTCAGGAGTTTGGAACCAGCCTGGGCAACATTGTGAAACCCCATCTCTACTAAAAACGCACAAAAAGAACTGATTTAAGTTTCTTATAGGATTCTGGTTATAAAACACTGGTAAAATACACAGGGCATGGACAGGGCAGGGCCAGGGACAAGGTCAGGCCAGGAAGGGGCCAGGGCCAAGGCAGGGCCAGAGCTGGACTTGGAGGTGTCCTAGTCTGATTTGCCCTGCCCCAACGTTGATATCTTAAAACTTCATTAATTCATCTCTCTTTGCCCTTGGTTCAACATTGTGCTATACCAAAACTCATGTAAAACAATGATCTAATGTAATAAGAATGGCATTTTTCTTTCATGTAGATGCAAGGTAACTGGCATTTTTACAATCAACATATTTCCTTTGTCAATTTTTCATTCTGTATTGGAAGTAATTGATAGGTATTTCTGAAGGGATGAAGGTTTTTCTGTGTTCATTGTGATCCAAACTTTTTTTAGACCTAGTGGCATTTGTAAAACAATTTGTGCCAGCTGACCAAGGACCACTGTGGCAGAAAGCAGCAAACTTGCATAAGATGTCACTGCCTCATAAGTTGGCTTTGAAAACTAGGGGCTTACTCTATAGTCTTATGAATCAGAGACATTGATAGATGTAGTATAAGATTACAATCATATTTTCCTTTTGACGGTCACATTATAAAGCATGATGTATTGCAATTAATCTCAATTAGCTGATCACAATTAAAATTAATAATGTTGATTATTGCTGATGAACAATCATGACTCTTCTGTTCTCAAATGTGAAAGTAATTCTTGTAATTTTAATACAAATTTACATATTATTACTAATTGATTTAATCTCATTGGATTTGGTTCATGGATCCAATTTATTAAAATATCGATAATGGGATAATGATTTGTCTCCCCATTTCATTTACACTAAAAGCCACAATTCTTACAATGGTCTGCAAGCCCATCATGATTTGCCGCATGTTAACCGCCAAAATTCTTTTATATCTTCACCCTTGATCTTACCAGTGGTCCTGGCCACTTCACTGTCCTCTGGACATGCCAACATGCTGCTGTCTTATGACCAAGACTCTAGTTAATTTCTTGGCTTGGAAAGATAACCCTCCATATATCCATTGATCAGCTCATTCAGCTTCCTCAAGTCTTTACTGAAACCTCACATTCTCGATGAGACCTATTCAGTATTTCAAACTGCCTCCCAGCTGCAGCATTCCCAAACCCCTTAGTCTTCTGTGTATTTTTGAAAGGATTTATTGAGACATAATTTACATAGTGTAGAGTGCACACACTAATGTCTACAAGTCAATGGCTTTTAGTATATGCACAGATAAGTGGAGCCATCATCACAATGAATTTTAGAGCATTTTCATCACTTTAAAAAGAAACCCCACCTTCTTTAGCTGTTAACCTCCTATGCACCCATCCCCTACTCAATCCTAAGCAACCACAAAGCTGTTTTCTGTCTCTATAGATTTTCCTATTCTATTTTCATCTAAATAGAATCATACAATAGGTGGCCTTTTGTGCCTGGCTTCTTTCAGTTGGCATAATGCTATCAAGGTTCATATGCGTATTGGTACTTTATTTCTTTTTATAACTGTATAACATTCAATTTCATGGATATAACATTTTGTTTATCCAATAATATTTTATTGACATTCGAGTTGTGTTCACCTTTGGCTATTTTAAATACTGCTGCTAAAAATACTTGTGTACAATTTGTGTTTGAACACCTCTTTCCAATAATCTGGGTGTATACCTAGGAATAAATTTCTGGGTCATATGACAATTCTATGTTTAATATATTTAGAAGCCAACAAACTATTTTCCAAAGTGGCCAGTTTTAGCCATAGAGTATCTAATTGTGGTTTTGATTTGTAGTTGCCTGATGAGTGATGCTATTGAGTATCTTTTTATGGGATTATTGACCGTTCGTGTATCTTCTTGGGAAACACATCTATTCCTATCATTTATCAGTTTTGAGTTGGGATATTTGTTACTGAGTTAAAACAATTTTTCTATATTCAAGATACATATATATACAGACATATAGATACGTGTTTTTCAAATATCTTCTCACAGTTTTTGAGCTGCCTTTTGACTTGCTTGGTTGTCCTTTGAAACACCAATGTCTTTAATTTTTAAGAAATTTTAAATATCTAATTTTTATTATGTTGCTCATGTTTTTGGAGTTACAGCTATTTCTTTGCTAGATCCAAAATCCTGAAGATTTTCCCCTATGCTTTACTCTAGCTCTTGCATGTATGTCTTTAATTCATTTGAGTTAATATTTTTGTATGTTCTGGGGTAAGGGTTCGAATTGATTATTTTGCAAGTGGTGATCCACGTGTACGTTGTCAACCCAGTTTGTTCAAAGATTGTCTCTTCCTCATTGAATTGCACATGGCACCACTGTAAGAATCCATTGACTATAGATACATAGTTTTATATATGGACTCTCAATTCTCTTCCAACAATCTATATATTTTTCCTTCATCAGTATTGTCTTGTCTTGATTACTGATGCCTTGCAGTAAGGTTTGGAGCACGGGGGTGTGAATTATCCTAATATCTTTCTTTTTTCCAGACTATTTTGGCTATTTTGAGTCTCTTACAATTCCATGTGTATTTTAGAATCGGCTTGTCAGTTTCTAGACAGAAGTCTGTTGGGATACTTGCAGGGATTTCATCAAATCTGTAGTTCAAATTGTAAAGTACTACAATATTAAATCTTCCAATTCATGGCTGTAAGATATTTGCTAATTATTTAGATCTCCCTTAAACAATAATTTTTAATTTTCAGAGTAAACTCTTGTATCACATTTTCCAAATTAATTATTATTTTTTTTGTGATGCTATTGTAAATTGAAGTGTTTTCTTAATTTCATTTTGGGGTTTTCATTGTAGATGTGTGCAATTGATTTTTGTACATTTATCTTGTATGCTGTAATATTGCTGAATTAATTTACTAGTTCTATCATTCAGTGGATTCCTTAAAATTTTCTATATACAAGAATGTTATTTGCAAATAAAGTTTTATTTCCTCCTGTCCAATATGGGTGACTCTTACTTCTTTACTTGCTGATTTGCCCTGCATAAAATCTTTAGTACAGTGTTGACTAGAAGAGGTCAAAGTATATATCTTATTCTTATCTCTGACCATAGCGGGAAAGTATCCTTTCTTTCACCACTAAGTTGAATGTTTGCTGTTGGCTTTTCACAGGTGCCATGTATCAGGTGTAGAAAGTTCTCTATTCCTGGTTCATTGAGTTTTTATTTTTATTTTTAATCATTAAAGCATTTGGATTCTGTTAAATGTCTTTTCTGAATCTATCGAGATGATCATGCAATTCTTGTTTCTTATTCTATGGATAAGATGTATTACCTTAATGGATTTTGGGCTGTTAAACCAACCTGGGATTACTAGTATAAATTTCACTTTGTCATAGTGTATAATTCTTTTATATGTTGCTAGATCTGATTTGTTAGTATTTTTTAAGGAATTTTGCATTTATACTTATAATAGTTTTATTTTTCTATGCTATTTGGACTAACTTTTGTATCAAGGTAACACTGGCCCCACAGAATAAATTGGGAAGTGAATATTTCTCCTTTTAAAAAAAGTTAGTCGAGAATTAATATCAATTATCCGATACTAACAAATATTATTAATATTATAAATTATTAATTTCTCTAATTTTTATTTTCTTCCTTCTGCTTGCTTTAGGTTTAGTTTGCTATTTTTTCCAGTACCTTAATATGGAAGGTCATCTTCTCTCATCCTTTCCTTTGTCTTTTCATTTTCTAAATAGTGTCTTTTTAGCATCAGGTGAGCTCCCCAGGTTGGTAGTACTCCATGTTTATTGCTGTACAACAATGACAGGTAATATGTCCTGAAGACAATGGAAACTTAACATTCAAAATCCTCCTAGAGTCCACCTTATGTGATATGTCTCTTCCTTTGATTGGTCCTAATTTCTACCCTTTCTCTATTACAAACCATGAGTACAATGGCATTCAATGAGTTCTGTGAGTCTTTCTAGTAAATTCTTGAAACTGAGGGTGTTCTGGGGAAACCCCTAAACTGGCAGTTGGTGTCAAAAGTGAGAATCGTCTTATATGGCCTCTTCCTTTGAACTTTGCAGCTGGACCCAAACTCTGCACAATTTGGGCCAGAAGTCTCGTGTTGACTTTGCAGCCTAAAGTATCTTGTAGTTTGTCTAACCCTCAATAAATTTGCTTTCATCAAATATTGTATTTGTCACCCCAAAATTACCATCATGTTTTTTTTCTCCGAATAACTAACATTGGGAGAAAGAGTCAGCTGAATCTGTAACTCAACAGAAACAAGTGACCCATATACCATATAAGTGGCCATTTCATTTTACCTCCTTCCACCAAATCTTAGCAACCTCATCCATTGCCATGAGCCACTGTAGGCCTACCAGCTACAAACAAACAAGTATCTTTTAAAAACACTTCATACTGCCATTTGATAAATTTCCCAGCAAAGAGATGCCTACTTTAACTCTATGCAAGTGGCTCATATTCGCGAAGTCTGGAGATATTATTCATGTAGTGTGAGAAAATCATCCCAGCGATGCCAGCACATTCTCCTTCCCATGATCTGCTTAGTTTGCAAACATATTCAGGCCATGGGTGAGAGATTTGTATTTCACAGTACAACAATTTTATGGAGGGCATTGAAACTTACATTGAGCATTTTAGTACAGTCACACATCACTGAATGATAGGGATACGTTCTAAGAGATGCATCCATAGGCAATTTCTTCATTTTGCAAACATCACAGAGAATATTACAAACACCTAGATTGTACAGCCTACCACGTCTAGGTTATATGGTATAGCCTCTCTCTCCTAGGTTACAAACCTTTGTACTACATTACTGTACTGAATACTGCAGGCAGTAAGAACACAGTGATAAGAGTTTATGTATCTAAACATACTTAAACATAGAAAAGTATGTAAAAATATGTATTATAATCTCATGGGACCACTTTTGTATATGTAATCCATCTTTGAAATGTTATTATGCATGACATGACTGTATGACAAAAATAATACATTGTAAAAAATGTACACATGTATCAAACATATTAATATTATAAAAATAAAAATATTCAGTGTAAGAATTTGTAATGATCACAAAATGTTCACAGCTTATATTTTAGTACAGTTTCAAATGCCTAGTGCAATTACTATTTATTTCTGTGTGTATTTTAAACATGTATATAATAAATGTTTTTCAGGTTCAACAATATATATCAATCCTACTGGCTCTTATAAATATTAGTTAAAATCATTTAGTAAATTCATGTATACATATACACACGTGTATCAGTGAGTGTGTGTGCATGTATGTGTGTGTAAATGTAATTGTATGTGTGTGTAAATGTAATTGGATGCATCCTAATATTTACCCTTACCTACAAGATTTCCAAGATTCATTTATTATCTTTAGATGATGTATATTTAAAGATTTACCAAATAAAACTGTAATCATGGAAAATATCAGATGTTATTAAATTCACCTTGTGCACATAATTGTTTCTTTAAATTTATGTTTCTTGCAAAACTTGCAGTAATGCTCATGCACAAAATAATTTTCTAAATAAAAAATAAAAACATTTCTGTCATTCTTAATAATTATTTCTCCCCAATAATTAATGTGAATTAATTCTTAATTCTTAATCATAGAATAATGTTGCCCTTCAGAGTTCTGAAACTTTTGCATGTTGTATACATTTCACTAACTAGAACAACTTCTGAAATATTGGCATTAATTAATGTCACTCAGCAATTATTGATTTCAAAGAAATTAAATACCATTCATATTCTGAATCACAAGGGTACTTTGGCATCTAATTTAATCAAGCTCTTTGTATCATCATCTACACTTTAATTACTTAACAAACATTTCGCTGTGTGAGAAAGACTGAGGAGGTTATTGTGCTTTTTTAAGATGCAACTGTTGCTTAATCTAGATATAGGCAATGCTCCCTATAAGGGACAAAGAGAAAAATGAATGAGCAATAGAGATGTGACAGGCATGGAAAAAGACAATACATTTATAAAACAAATAGGGCCACAGATGATGAAAATGGGGATCAAATCTTGAGATACTGACTCAGTTTATAACCGCACTGTATAATAGAGCAAATCATTTGTTAATTTTTTACAAATGGATTTTAATTTAATTAAGATGAATACAGTGTTTTAAACAAGGCAGGTCATCTTAAAATAAATTAGTAGAATAAAGTGATAAAACCAAAGTAAAAATCATAAACATTTTATAAAGAATTTTTGTCATGTAATTTAATATTTTTGTTTATTTAAAATCACCCAAATCAAAATAATTTTATCTTCATTAATAAATAATCATCAGAAGTTTAACTAATTTTTACTTTATAATACTAGGTTTAAAAATTCTTAACTATATTTGTAATCATATATGCTTATATATAAAATAGGATATATATTTACATGTTCACAATATTATATTGTAATTGTTCCTATGGATGTGGTTTTTCAATGGAATTAATAAGTACTTTTAAAAAGTTTCCATTTCAATTATATATATGTTTGATTTTTCTTGGACAAAGCATACATATATTGATAGGTAATATGAAAATCTTCTAAAGACATTACAGGAACATGAAAATGTAATTAAATACTCACTAATTTGTAATGTTTTATGTAAGCGGAACACATTTAACTGAAAATTGCTTTTATATAATACTCAAACGAGACTAAAAACATTTTAACTAGCGGAGTAAGTCTCCAAATTGATAATCTGAACTATGTAAGAGGAGAAACTTCAGGCACTCAAATATTTGAAATGCTACAAAATATTTATATAAACTATTATTTAACAATTTCTGTTTGTAGAGTGCTATACAGTAATCAATATAAATGACATCTCAAGTCTTTCTATAGCTTTGACCACATTTACCTCCTAATTTTATGTATTAATATGTTGGAGCAGTGCATACAACTAGATTCCGATCTTCCTTTTTAATGAATAAAAATATGTCCTTTGAGACAGCATTAAAGAAAGAGCACCTTGTATAAATTCAATGCCAAGAGACAAGATATTCTTGATTCTGAAGTCTTGTTCTTTTATACAGCACTGTAATTAATAAGAAGAAGAAAAGCAGGACATAGATGTGGAGTCTATTTTAATAAAAAATTGTCTATAGATTTTGATGATAAAATTTAAAAATCTACTATATTTAGTTACAAAAAACTAGGTTGTGGGAATATATTTGGTTAATAAAACACCCCTACCAAATGCTGACAAGAAAAAAAGTTAGGTGCCACCTTTCTTCTCTGCAGATGGCCTGAGATGGGTTAATTTGAAAGAATGCTTCCAAACCTGAGGTGACCCCTGAGAACAGCATAATCCACTGCTGTCTCCCACATTCAGTTTCTCAGTTTGTGCTCTTTTAATTTTGGGGGGAGGGAAGCCAGTCCTTTCAACCGATCTTCAGCATGATGGCAGAGCCAATGAGTGTGGACAGGTGGCACGGTGTCTGACTTTGTTCCAGCAGCCACTTGGGCTTTCTCTGGGTCTTCTCTGCCCTAGGGATAGCACCACTATGGAAAACATGTCTTTGTGACATTCTCTATGCCAGGAACTCCCAACACATTTTCCTTGAAACTGATGAAATGAATAAAAATAAACCAAGAGGTGTGCTGTTTGTTTCTGTTTCCTCCTTTCTGCAGCCCTTCTTGATCATCTAATATTTTTAAATACATTGTCGATCACCAAAAGGAGCATAAGGGGTATATTGATTTGTAGCAGATGTATTAATAGCCCAGCCCCTATTCCTTACTTGTAGCTGCTGGGAAGAAAAGGAATCTTAACACTCTACAAGGTCTCATCTCCAGAACTTGCACCTGTTTCTAGCTGAGGACTTTCTCTAGCAGCACGGGAGCTTGTTACTGGGCATGAAGTGGGAAGAAAAGGTGAGGGTAACTAAGAAGAATCTCCCTGGATTCAGTGATGTAATTCTGAGGCATGTTCCTCATAGCTTCCCAGAGAATTAAGCCCAGATACCTAATAATAATGGCTACATCAGGGGTCTTGTTAGTTCTCGTTCTACACTGTCTACGGGTTATTACTATCAGTTTTCTGTCTTTTTTTTAGCAGTACGACGTGACATCTGTAAAATCTATATTTCCTCTCTTTCTCCTTCCAGCCTTAGTGAAACTGTGCTGTAGAATTAAAGCAAAATTATGTTGTGCCCCAGAGCCCCTTATGTCTTGAACTGCTCTCCATATTTCTTCTTCCCAATCTCAATGTGGGGAAGTAAGACCAATTTCAATGTAGTCTTACTGCGAAGATCATGTTCCAGACCAGCAGCATTAGTGTCACCCAAGAACTTACTACAAATGAAGAATCTCAGGCCTGCTCAATCAGAATGTGCAGCTTCAGCGAGCCCCCACCCCACACCCCACCCCCTACCCCCGCTGATTTATGCGGGGAAGAGAAGTTCTTCTCTATGTGGATTGAACATGACATTAAACGTGTTTTGCCAAATTACCTGTCCCAGATTTTTCTCCATCCTTTATTTGTGTGGCTATATTCGAAACAGAATCTTTCTCGTCACTTGTAGCCTGAATGGAATTTGAAAGAAAATAATAAATAAATAAATGAAGTATGTTTCAAAGACTATATATTTAAAAGTTCACAATGTAAATGAGAGTTTAATTACCTTCAAGGCTGGTGGTTTCTGAGAAGACACTGAAAAACAACAGGGATACATAATCACTCATATATAAATATGATAAAGTTATCCATACATTCACACAGTGTTAGCATCAAGCTGTAACCTTCTGCCTGTACTAGTGTAGGCTCTGATGTCTTCTACTTTGTGTCTTGGGACTGGAACATGACAGAAATACACTGATAAAAGGGAATACTGGCTCCATGAAATATACCCTTACAATTTCAAACATGATATGATTTGTCATATGTCGAAAACTAAAAACCGTGTCAATATCAATGTGGATATGTCGATGATGAGGACAAACATGACTTAAAATCAGAGGAGCAACTCATACACCTGAGAATCTATGTCAAAGCAGGTGCTACATGATCCCACATGTCTTTCACGCAAGAAATCAAAAGGATTTACACCATTATACTACAAACATTCATCATGCTCTTTAACTTGCCCAATAACTGAGAAGGCACACAATTACGATGACACTTCAGTTGAACGTACACTTCACATCACTTCAGTGGAAGTGTCCTAAATTGATCATCTTGGATATCTGTTTGCTGATACATTCATTATCTAGTAGATAACATTCATTATCTCTCACACCCATCTGGTGTAATAATGTGCCTAAGTTTCTTTTATCCACTAGTTTAGCCTCCTGAAAGTTTCTTCATCCACTCATGGCACCAAAGGATAATACATTAGCCTCAAGAAAAATATCATCAATTATCAATTTTGACATACTTCTACAAAGTAAAACTGCTACAAGCATTAGATATTAATAAGTTTTTCATTCAGAAATCACTCCAATGTTCATTGAAAATGATCACTTTAGGAGTTCGTTAGAATTCTACACAATTTTTGTTTCTAAAATAGTCTTGTTTGGGAATATCACACTATTCTCTATCGAAGTTTCATTAAATAGCTATTTTATCCAAGAGGTAGCTCCTTGAACAAGGAAGCCAATGTATTCATATTCAAGTTTGTCTCATTTCTATTACTAAAATCAACAAAACATGTATCTCTGATGCCTCCTAGTAACAAAGAAGAGTAATGAGTCATTGTGTTTTATCCCAATTCTAGCATTGTTTCCTGCTTCCAGTAGCTCCTGGAGCTGCCAAAATCAAATATTTTTTAGGCAAATATTCCAAATGCATCTGAAGTGAGTTCACTCAGGTTTCCTCAGCAGAAACCCCAAAATTATATAAATAACTTCTTTTCCCTCCTTCCTGCCTCACGATCCGTCTTCCTTGGGAAAATAATTGCTACATCAGGGGTCTCCTTAGTTCTCATTCTACAGTGTCTATGGGTTATTACAATCAGTTTTCTGTCTTTTTTTAGCAGTACGATGTGACGTCTGTAAAATCTATACTTCCTCTCTTTCTCCTTCCACTCTTAGTGAAACCATGCTGTAGAGTTAAAGCAAAATTATGCTTTTCCCTGAGCCCCTTATGTCTTGAACTGCTCTCCATATTTCTTCTTCCCAATTTCAACGTGGGGAAGTCTATAATCTTACTGCAAAGATCATGTTCCAGACAAGCAGCATTAACGTCACCCAAGAACTTATTACAGATGAAGAATCTCAGGCCTGCTGAATCAGAACGTGCAGCTTCGAGGAGCCACACCCCCGCCCCGGCTGATTTATTCGGGGAAGAGAAGTTCTTTTCTATTTTGACTGAACATGACATTAAATGTGTTTTGCAAAATTACCTGTCCCAGATTGTTGTCCATCCTTTATTTCTGTGGCTATATTCGAAACAGAATCTTTCTCGTCACTGGTAGCCTGAATGGGGTTTGAAGCAAAGTAATCGATACATGAAGTAGGTTTCATAGACTATACAGTTAATAGTTCAACATATAAATGAGACTTTAATTACCTTCTCAGCTGGTTGTTTCTGAGAAGACACTGAAAAGCAAAAGGGATAATCACTCATATGTACATATGATAAATTTATCCATACATTCATGCAGTGTTAGCATCAAGCTGGTATCTTCTTGCCTGTACTAGTGTAGGCTTTGATGTTTTCTACTTTTTGTCTGGAGACTGGAACACGACAGAAATACACTGAGAAAAAAGGAATACAGGCTTCACAAAATATACCCTTACAATTTCAAACATGGTATGATTTGTGATACGTCTAAAACTAAAATAAAACCGTGTCAGTATCAATGTGGATATGCCGAGTGATGAGGACAAATCAGAGGAGTAACTCACACACCTGAGAATCAATGTCAAAGCAGGTGGTACATGATCCCGCATGTCTTTCTTGCAAGAAATCAGAAGGATTTACACCATTATACTACAAACATTCGTCATGCTCTTTAACTTGCCCAATAACTGAGAAGGCACACAATTACGATGACACTTCAGTTGAACATACAGTTCACGTCTCTTCAGTGGAAGTGTCCTAAATTGATCACCTTGGATATCTGTTTGCTGATACCTAGCAGATAATATTCATTATCTCTCACACCCATGTGGTGTAATAATTTGCTTAAGTTTCTTGTATCCACTAGTTTGGCATTCTGAAAGTTTCTTCATCCACTCATGGCACCAAAGGATAATATATCAGCCTCAAGAAAAATATCAATTATCAATTTTGGCATACTTCTACAAAGTAAAACTGCTACAAGCATTAGATATTAATGAGTTTTACATTCAGAAATCACTCCAATATTCATTGAAGATGATCACTTTAGGAGTTAATTAGAATTCAACATAATTTTTGTTTCTAAAATAGCCTTCTTCGGAGTATCATGTTATTCTCCAAAGAAGTTTCATTAAACAGCTATTTTATCCAAGAGGTAGCTCCTTGAACAAGGAAGCCAATCTATTCATATTCAAGTTTATCTCATTTTTTTAACTAAAATCAACAAAACATGTATCTCTGATGCCTAATAGTAACAAAAAAGAGTAATGAGTCAGTGTGCTTTATCCCAATTCTAGCATTGTTTCCCACTTCCAGTAGTTCCTGGAGCTGCCAAAATCAAATATTTTTTATGCAAATATTCCAAATGCATCTAAAGTGAGTTCACTCAGGTTTCCTCAGCAGAAACCCCAAAATTATGTAAATGACTTCCTCTTTTCCCACCTTCCTGCCTCATAATCCGTCTTCCTTGGGAAAATAATGCCGTAAACCCGGGAGGTGGAGTTTGCAGTGAGCCGAGATCCCGCCACTGCACTCAAGCCTGGGTGACAGAGCGAGACTCCGTCTCAAAAAACAAAAGAAAAGAAAAGGAAAGAAAAGAAAAGAAAATGTATCATTCACTTCTTGCAGGAAGTGCTCTCAATCATTAGTTTAGATATCTACTTGGAGAAAAATTGTTTCTAAAAATACTCATGTTATCCACAGTCATGAAGACTTCTGATATTTTCAACTTCTGGATTCTCAACTTAAGTTCTCTTGCCATCTTTTCATTCACTTATGCAAAAAAAGTATGCATTACACATCAAATAACTAATGAGTACTCAGATTTTCATTTACAAAATGTAACCAAAAATCTCTGAATCATCATTGACTTTTTTTTCAAAATGATCAACTTTCTTTTTTTTTTTTTTTTTTTTGACATGGAGTCTTGCTCTGTTGCCTAGGCTGGAGTGCAGTGCGCACAATCTCGGCTCACAGCAACCTCCGCCACCGGGGTTCAAGTGATTCTCCTGCCTCAGGCTCCCTAGTAGCTGGGACTATAGGCACACGCCACCATGCCTGGCTAATTTTTTGTATTTTTAGTAGAGATGGTGTTTCACCATGTTAGCCAGGATGGTCTCCATCTCCTGACCTTGTGATCCTCCCACCTCAGCCTCCCAAAGTGCTGGGATTACAGCCGTGAGCCACCGTGCTTGGCTTAATCAACTTTTACATGTCAAAATATTTGCCATGATTATGGACAGTTACACTTTTAGTACTCAAGAAATAAATTTCTCGTTTGTTTTTTTCTAGTCAGTTTGATATGCAATAGCATAGCAGCCTCTGAGGTACTTTTATACAATGGCTATTTCATCAAAAACAGCACTGTTTTTAAAGAAAACTGCCAATGTTTTGATATCCAAGTGCATCCCAGTTCACTAACAAACATGAATGAAGCACATATCATTGATGTGTAACCCCTATAGAGAGAAGAAATGAGTTCCTGTGGTTTCCTGTCGTTCTTCTATCCTCTGCTTCCAGTAAGCTCCAAAGCAGCAATAATTTAGTCTTCTCTTTGAGTGGGAATATACTGAGTCTACATAAAGTGAATTCCCTCGAGTTTCCTCATCAGAAACCTCCGAATTACCTAGCCAGCTGCTTTCTTAATTTACACCATCCCACCTCACATTTTTTTTTGCAAATATACTAATGTCCATTTCTCAACAATGAATATTATATTTTGATCTGCAAGTTTAAGTGTTCACCAAAGTTTTAAGAAAAAGAATGTTTAAATTACATTATATTTACTATTAAAATTTAATAAATTATATTTACAATTTAATTAAAATTAGGCTTATAATTTAATGTAATTTAACAATTAATTTTAAATTTATTTTAAATTATATTTAAATTAGTTATATTTATTTTCAAAAATTATATTATTAAAGCATAGAAAATTATTCAGCTATATTCACTGCCTCACCACCTTTGTTTTTTTGTACACAAAAAATAACATTATCATTATTTGATTGCTCTCATGAAGCACTTTTTATAATACCAATACCATTTGCTTTTTGTCCAGTTGCTGGTAGTGCTTTTCATTCCTATTTAAAAAAAAAAAAAGAAATCTTCAGAAAATGTTATATTTACTACTCAGTCAGTAATTCAAGAAACATTTTCTGTGTCTATAAATTCATAAGGTCTATACTGGAAAATCTGATAATATGAATAAAATACTAATTTTATTTATTTATCAAGTGAAAAAAGAAATTTATAAAAACAAACAAAAGCAGAAAGACACAATTCATTATTTCTACAATTCAAGTCAATAAAAACAGTGATAGCACAAAGGTAATAACACTTATTTCTACTTGGGAAGCTTCTGAGACACTGCAAATTCAGGGTTCTATTTTTAAAATAGACAAGTGAAGAGTAAGAGTGTGAAGTGTTTCTAGTGAGGGCAGCATGTGCAAAAAAATAAAGCATGAAACAGCATAGCCAATAAGAAATACCACAATAACGTGGTAAAACTTGGACACAGACCGAGAAAGTGGAGTGGAGAGATAAAATGGGAGAAACAGGCCAAACCGCAAAATAAGTGTTATGCTAGAATGTAAATGTTTCTTTCGTGTAATGAGGGTCCAGCCATAAGCAGATGAGTTAGATAAAAGTAAACATGTTTAAGAAAGGTCACCCTGAAAGACATATATAGATAGATAAACATGGGGAGAAGAGAGAAACAAAAACAAACATTCCGAAAGTATAGGGCAGACAGTGTATTACAGTAATAAGATATGAGAAATGGTTAAAGGTAGAAAATACAAAATTTGGTGAGTCACTGGATTGGCAATGTGAGGGAAACCTGGAGTGCAGTTTTTCTGCTTCAATGTTTCATTGCTACTTTCTTGGTGTTATTTACTAAAATTGGGAAGCCAGATGACAGAGTAGATTACAAAGAGTCAGGAAAGAATCTGGAAGGCAGTTTGAGACCTATTAAACTGGAGGCACAAAGGGGACTTAGAAGACTGATCTGGGTAAATACATTTGGAGTAGAAATAGATGACCTTACTCAAAAAAAAACCATACATTGTTGAGAAGGTCAACATTTGTAAAATATACTAAACTGGTAGGATTCAATAATTTAAACCTATGAAGAACCCTGAAGTTTTGAAAATAAAAAGAAAACAAAACATGGGATTCAAAATTTCAATTATATATTTCTATACTGGATTAAAAGATATAAAATATATTTTCTTAATGTATGCAGATATTTATTTCTGGAATATTATGGTCATCTGCATTTTTGAACTTAATGAAAACAGTTATCTAAACCAGTAATTCAAGGTATCCTAAGAAAGCTCATTTTTAAAAAATCATCTTAAAAGTTTAACTTGCACAAATGTTTATTCTATTATAGAATTATAAGGCATTTTAAGTGCTACTAAAATATAAGAGAGAAATGTAAAACCTATTTTAAAGTTCATATGGTTTTCTGATTCTCCTGTAAATTATATACTAATAGCTCTAATTGCCTACTTATGCCATAAAGATAATAGTTAAAAATCAGAGAAAGGATCAAGTAAAATAATCATATGACTATGCAAGCTGAAGATTTACATGTCTTCAAATACACTATGCCTGTCAATCAGGACCCAATACTGACATGAAGAGAGAAGAAATTTATTTTAAACATCAAGTCAAAAGGATTCCTGAGTTTTAGAGCTGAATCAATTTATATGCAAGGTATAACAACTATAAATACTAAAGTTAATAATGCTTCCAGAGAATAATACAAAATGTCCCAACTGTAGGAGATAGTTTTAAAAGTAAAAAGTAATATTCCAGAGATAATTCTGTGTACTCTGTTGGCAATATTTCTTTCCTTACAATTCTATCAAAATAGGTACTTTGTTTAGAAAACAATCATGAGTGTTGATTGCATTCATCACATGTATGTTCTTAAGTACAGACGTTATCAGCACAAGGTAAGTCAGACTAGCTCCAGAAATAAGTAATAATTTATTTCTTTAAGAGGGTTCCAGGTTAAAAATATATTTTTTCTCATTCAATGAATATAAATTAGAAACCTCATTTAAAATTAACCAGAAATGGCTAGGCGTGGTGGCTCACACCTGTAATCCCAGCACTTTGGGAGGCCGAGGCAGGCAGATCACGAGGTCAGGAGATCGAGACCATCCTGGCTAACACAGTGAAACCCCGTCTCTACTAAAAATATTTTAAAAAATTAGCCGGGCGTGATGGCGGGTGCCTATAGTCCCAGCTACTCGTGAGGCTGAGGCAGGAGAATGGCATGAACCCGGGAGGTGGACCTTGCAGTGAGCCGAGATCATCCACCGCCCTCCAGCCTGGGCGACAGAGCGAGACTCCCTCTCAAAAAAAAAAAAATTAACCAGAAATTTTAATTTTTATTAATTTATGTATTAATTAATTTTTATTATTTTTTATTATTTAATTACTTATTTATTTTCTCTCTTATTATCAAAAAAAGGCTAAAACAGCTGCCAAGATTATGTAAAAGTGAAATAAATTAGTTAAGCAACTTAGGAATATACCAAATATTACTTTAAAAAACTTTTAACAAGAGTCAAAAATTAATGATTCATTCAAAATCTGATATAGCCTAAAACACATTTTACTTTGCATTATCTATGAACACGGCATTCACTAGATAAAATATGAGACACCACTTTACTGAAATTTTAAAAAGTGAGGATTAAATTTTCTTTCCATTTAGAATTTTTAAATTAATAAATAGATGCATATATTTTCAGTGTACGTGTGATGATTTGATCCATCTATATAATCTAATGAGGGTAACAGAGAGACACATTACCTTAAATATGTATGTTTTATTTAAACTAGAAATATTCAAGTTATTCTCTCCTGGCTGTTTTTAAATGTAAAACAGAATGTTAAATATAGTCACCCATAAATTTTCTTCCAATCCTTTATTAAAATCACCCGTAAGTCACTCAGAAGAATCTGAGCATTTTTTTAATTACTTGGCTTTCTTTTCCTAATCTATATTTAAAATAATTCTATAATATGATATGGAGACATTCTACTGTCATTTAAATTCACCGTTTTTGAGGTGTTTTATACTAATCTTTGTCATCTTGACACTCTTATTCAACTCTGTATTCTTACTTCTTTCCCCTCCTCACCTTTGTATTTGTGGAGCTGTTCTTTCAGGTTGCTTTCTACTTCTTTCCTTCCCTAATGGCAAACCTAACAATCATTTACTCCCACGACCTTTTAGGAATCCTAGTCCCATGCGTATATTTCCCTTGTTGTTACACTTCTTTTCTATTATTACCTGGAGAACTTCCATTCCTTTATAGGATCCTTGTCATCGTTATAAAGACAGGGAGATGGCAAGTGAATAAAGCATGGGAAAAATATTTTCCAAATAAAACAATTTACCATTGTAAAACTAGAGATCATTAACAGATAAGAGTGAGTTGGTGAACAGGACTGGACTCTGATTATTCTATGTTGGCTTTTAACCATATCTTCATTTACCTTATCAACATTTTGGTCTTCAAACAAGGTTTCATTTTCTGTTTTTTCAATGCCACATGCAGCATCTACTACAGTAAAAACAAAGTCAAGAGTAGATGAAATGCATGTAATTAAGAATCAATAAATAAGAACCGGGTGTGGGGGCTCACAACTTTTGATCCCAGCACTTTGGGGGGCCGACGCAGGCAGATCATACGAGGTCAGGTGTTCAAGACCAGCCTGGCCAACATGGTGAAATTCCATCTCTACCAAAAGTACAAAAATAGCCAGGTGTGGTGGTGCACACCTGTAATCCCAGCTACTCGGGAGGCTGAGGCAGGAGAATCACTTGAACCCAGGAGGTGGAAGTTGCAGTGAGCCAAGATCATGCCACTGCACTCCAGCCTGGGCAACAGTGAGTAACACTCTGTCTACAAAAAATAAGAAAGAAAAAGAAAAAAAAAAGAATCAGTAGATAATACAATAGTCAGGTTTCAAATAGCTTACACTTTTCTGCAGATTGTTGAGAAATAGTCCTCTGTTCTTAAAGTATGGTTCTGAAATGCTCTAGAAGAAAGACAATAGGTTTAAGAATAACATGCAGCAAGTTAAAATAATGATAATTGCCACCATTACTACACGATCTAACACAAAAAGGATAGACTTTGAAGTCACTCATATGTAGATCCAAACCTCAAGTCTGCCATTTACTTATTTACATATTCACATGAGATGATGATTATGATTGGTGATACAGATATTCTCAAAATGTTACTCCTTTCAACCTCAGTTGATTATTATACAAATACTATGATATCTATCAGTTTCTTTTATTAACCACAACAAACTGGGACAAAAATTTACTCATATGTAATTTAGAGTAATACTGAACAAAACTAACAATAAAAAGTCAATTAATCACTTTAGTTTTCAAAATATTTATGCATGATATATATTTGTGTGAATTACTTTCTGTGGGAAAAAATGTGAGAATGTAGTTTTTAGTAGTACTATATTTAAATGGGCTATCATCGCAATCGGTATAAGTTGCTTCTATTCTGTGTGTCAAAAGCTAAAAGCAAATTATTGTATAACTTCAGCTCCTTCCAAAAAAGACAGAACAAAGCAACCATCCACCTTATGGAGCAATGATTCACGAATGAAGGCCACACATAGCTACTAAATAGAAAGCTGTAACTAAGTATCCTGACAACAGAAACAGAGGTGAAACAAAAGAATAGACACTAAAGACATGTGGTCTGCAAGGAAGAAGTTAGACTGAGGTAAATCATTCTTAAACAAAGGGGAAGGAGGGAGAAACAAACAAAAAAAGAGACATGACCAGTCAATCAAATATGAGCTTAAAAGAAAAGCTTGTGTTCATAATATATGCCTAATAATGCTGGTTAGCATTTACTCAACAATTTGTTTTGTGTAAATACTTATGTAATAAAAAGTTTAGTTTGTTTACTATAAAATAACACATCCCAAGAGTTAAACATGATCATTCACCTGAAAGCTGAAACATTCTTACTACAAAGAGAGAGAGAGAGAGAGAGAGAGAGAGAGAGAGAGACAGAGAGAGGAAAAAAAAACACAATAGAATTCCAGCAACTTAACACCTGGAGAAAGAATTTTTATTCAGAATTCAAAAGAGTAATGTATGTCCTGAAAAATATGTATTTAATAGAACATGGTTGGGGCTTTGAAAATTTAATCTAAAATCCTAATCTAAGCTTCCAGTTGGAAGATATTAGAAGACATGCTGTATCCACCTTTCCTATTTCCTTTCCATCTTTTCCAATTTTCATTTTATTCTATGACATATTTTCTCAGCATAACTCACCTCAACTTATAGATTCTCAACATTAGAAGAAAAGATAAATTCAGAACATTCAAGACATTTAATAGATTTAATTATTAGATATCTTATGCATATTATGTTACCTGTAACATTCCATTAAAAAAATGCCCATTTCCCTGTTTGTTGATTCACATTAAAAACTATTAAAATGTTTCTTACATGCAAGACCTTATTCTGGGTACTCAAGATACATACAAATAGGTTTTCTAGCTTCAAGTGGCTCATAGTAATGCAGGAGCTTTACAATTATTTTTTCAATAACTAAGCACAAAAGCCTCTGAAATTTGAAATTTAGAATGAGATAGAAAGACCCTGAGTGGATTTTTTTTTAATTACAATGCAAAAACCTTGTGAAATTAAAGTCTGACCACAGAAATATGAAGAGTCTCTGCTTATCAAACAGGTTGTTATTTTAAACAAAATGCATATTCTTAGATTAGATAAAGATTTTACAGTATACTCTTAATAAAAAAGACTTGGAAAACACAGTGTAAACCCTCTCTAATACAGGTGTGAGAACAGAATTTAAATTTCTAATATTCCACAACTTTTTTAAATTAGAGATAAGCTCTTGCTATATTGCCAAGCTTGGTCTTAAACTCCTGGGATCAAGAAATTCTCCTGGCTTGATCTCTTGAATAGGTGGGACTACAGGCACATGGTACCATGTCTAGTTAAATTTCCACAATTTCTAATATTATTTTAGTCTAATTATATAGAACCAAGAATAAAAATAAAGAAATAGCTCTCTGCAAAAATACTGTATGATGTTAAAATAGGTGTACAAGAAATAAAAAGAAACTATATGCTATGTGTACACATGATTCCCATAATAAATCATCTGATGTAACAAACATTCATTTAAACAGAGGTATTATTAGTCATACTCATATGATATACAACTCAAAGTAAAAACACTTACTCAGATAAGCCTAGACCAAAATTTGTATCTCCTCTGTTGTGGGAAAGCGTTCCCAAACAACATTTTTCTGTCACTATGTATTTTCCAACAATTTTTTTTCAGATCACACCTCTCAAAGTATTTATCAACTATTTCTTATTTACAAAGTAAAAAAATTAAAATTAACCCCTCCTATTTCTTTAAAATAGTTATCTCTAATAAAAGTTTTAATACTAACATAAAACAATGATAGGTAGACAATTGCTAAGTTTTAGAAGAAAATAATACAAAAAATGAGATTCAGAGTGAGAAAATTAATTTCACAAGAGAGTACTCTACCTCAGATTCCAAAGCAAACTTATCCTTTGTCACAGGCTGTGCAACATTATCCAGTAGGTAGCGACACCTACAGAACAAAAAGATATGACAAAAATGAGCACGTTCATTTCTTAAAACAAAAACCATCAGTCTATACATGCATGTCCCCTCCAAAAAAAATTGGTAAAACAAAGTCTGAGGAAGGTCAGTTATCCTTACATTAAATAATATTTCTTGGTATAATTAAGATATGGCTTCTGTATTAGAAAACATTTCAGTTACCTATTTCTGCCTCCACCTCTCCCAACCTATGAAATATCCAGTGCAGACTCACCCTTAAACCCGTAACAAATAGTGACAGGCATTATAACAGCATGGCCAGACAATAATTTGTCTTTATAAATTATCTACCCTAAAGACTAAACTGAAAATCCAATTAATATCTGACACAACTTTTGTTACTGAACTGCAGTAAACCTGATAACCTAAAACAAGGTAGAAAAGGCACTGTCTCTTCTGCATTATCTATTTCTGATTCAAAGACTAATCTGTGTCACGGGAAAAGGGGAGTCTTGGATCTTCAGCATGTAAGCTACTTAGATTGCCCATCGATTCTCTTTACTCTAGAACTCTACAGGGAGCCCCCTGAAACACTGCAAATGTTTGAAAGCTGAGTGTAAAAAAAGTCAAAGTACAAATGTACTTTGGGAATATTCTTCACAGAAGATTAAAACATTAAAAATTATAAAATCCAATTAATGTCATTATATAGATCCTGCCTTATTCAGGTCTACAAAAACCAGCAAGCTTAAGAACCTTCATAGACACTCAGATACTCAAGAGACAGACTGCTGGAAAAGTCTCCCTCCTGAGTACTTACAGCTTAATTTCATTCATCACTATCTAAATATCTTCCTTCCTATGGGCTCCCCCTTCTGGATCCCTCTTCTGCAGGGATCCATGGCAATCTCCAATCTACATCTTCAAATTTGTCTGTCCTCTGCAAATTCCATTCTTATCCACTTTCATTGGGTTCAACAGCTCATTATTCCATTCTCATCCTTTTCCACTGTGTTCACTAGAGCCACTCCCTCTTTCTAAAACTAAAATCACTCAATGACAGAATGATGTAAAAGAAGACTGGGTTTTGAACTAGAATTATTAGATATGTCATGCATATTATGTTACCTGTAACATTCCATTATAAAAAAAACCCATTTCCTTGTTTGTTGATTTACATGAAAAACTACTAAAATGCTTCTTACATGCAAGACCTTATTCTGTGTATTCCAGGATACATACAAATAGGTTTTCTAGTTTCAAGTGGCTCGTAGTAATGCAGGAGCTTTACAATTATTTTTTCAATAACTAAGCACAAAAGCCTCTGAAATTTGAAATTTAGAATGAGATACAAAGACCCTGAGTGGATTCCTTTTAATTAAAATGCAAAAACCTTGTGAAATTAAAGTCTGACCATAGGAATATGAAGAGTATCTGTTTATCAAACAGGTTATTTTAAACAAAATGCATATTTTTCAATTAAATAAAGAGTTTAAAGTATACTCTAAATAAAAAAGGCTTGGAAAACACTGTGTAAACCTTCTCTAATACAGATTTGAGAACAGAATTTAAATTTCTAAACTTCCACGACTTTTTGAAATTAGAGATAAGCTCTTGTTATATTGCCAAGCTTGGTCTTAAACTCCTGGGCTCAAGAAATTCTCCTGGCTTCATCTCTTGAATAGGTGGGACTACATGGACATGATACCATGTCTAGTTAAATTTCCACAATTTCTAATATTATTTTAGTCTAATTATAGAGCCACGAATAAAAATAAGGAAATAGCTCTCTGCAAAAATAGTGTATGATATCAAAATATGTGTACAAGAAATAAAAAAAACCACATGCTATGTGTAACAGAGTGATTCCATGATTTCTATGATAAGTCATCTGATGTATTAAAGATTCATTTAAACAGAGGTATTATTAGTCACACTCATATGATATACAACTCAAAGTAAAAACACTCAAATAAGCCTAGACCAAAATTTGTATCTCCTCTATTGTGGGAAAGCGTTCCCGAACACCATTTTTCTGTCACTGTGTATTTTCCAGCAATTTTTTTTTTCAGATCACACCTCTCAAAGAATTTATCAACTATTTATTATTTGCCAAAGTAAAAAAAAATTAAAATTAACCCCTCCCATTTCTTTAAAATGGTTATCTCTAATAAAAGTTGTAATACTAACATAAAACAATGATAGGTAGACAACTGCTAAGTTTTAGAAGAAAATAATATAAAAAATGAGATTCAGAGTGAGAAAATTAATTTCACAAGAGAGTACTCTACCTCAGATTCCAAAGCAAACTCATCCTCTGTCACAGGCTGTGCAACAGCATCCGGTCTGTAGCGACTCCTACAGAGCAAAAAGATACAACAAAAATGAGCACGTTCATTTCTTAAAAGAAAACAAAAACCATCAGTTTA
The DNA here is from genome assembly GCF_000001405.40 of Homo sapiens. Taxonomy (NCBI): domain Eukaryota; kingdom Metazoa; phylum Chordata; class Mammalia; order Primates; family Hominidae; genus Homo; species Homo sapiens. Next base: position 33,737,258 of record NC_000016.10, read on the forward strand.
TACATGCATGTCCCCTCCAAAAGAAATGGTAAAACAAAGTCTGAGGAAACTCAGTTATCTGCATATTAAATAATATTTCTTGGTATAATTAAGATATGGCTTCCATTTTAGAAAACATTTCAGTTACCTATTTCTGCCTCCACCTCTCCCAACCTATGAAATATCCAGTGCAGACTCACCCTTAAACCCGTAACAAATAGTGACAGGCATTATAACGGCACGGCCAGACAATAATTTGTCCTTATAAATTATCTACCCTAAAGGCTAAACTGAAAATCCAGTTGATATCTGACACAACTTTTGTTACTGAACTGGAGTAAACCTGATAACCTAAAACAAGGTAGAAAAGGCACTGTCTCTTCTGCATTATCTATTTCTGATTCAAAGACTAATCTGTGTCACGGGAAAATGGGAGTCTTGGATCTTCAGCATGCAAGCTACTTAAAGAGGGCCCATTGATTCTCTTCACCCTAGAACACTACAGGGAGCCCCTTGAAACACCGCAAATGTTTGAAAGCTGAGTGTGCAAAAGTCAAAGTACAAATGCATATGTTGTTAGGTTGTTATTGGGAATATTCTTCACAGAAGATTAAAACATTAAAAATTTTAAAATCCAATTATTGTCATTATATAGATCCTGCCTTATTCAAATCCACAAAAACCAGTAAGCTTAAGAACCTTCATAGACACTCAGATACCCAAGAGAGAGACTGCTGGAAAAGTCTCCCTCCTAAGTACTTGTAGTTTCATTTCATTCATCACTATCTAAATATTTTCCTTCCTATGGGCTCCCACTTCTGGATCCCTCTTCTGCAGGGATCTGTGGCAATCTCCAATCTACATCTTCAGCCTAGGAAAGCCCAGATTCCTCAAAAGACGGGCTAACTTAATTGAGAGTAGGATCTCTCTATTCCTCTGCTTCTGGAAAGTAAGTTAGTCTCAGTCATCCACCCCAAGCATATGCATGTTACCAACTACCCAAATGAAGCTTCATTGCCGTTTTGCCGGCCAATCCTACATTTGCCCTACCCTACATGTACATGAGAGAATTGAGAAAAGAGTCAGAAAAAAAGAGACATCCACTCTGGGTCATAGATCTATCTACTTAAGCAATCTCCAGCTCCCTAGTCCTTGAGGGATTCTAAGTCCTCTGTAAGCTGGGATGGAAGAGGATGACACCACATTCCTATCTGCTCCAGAGACTCTTTCCAGTGGCTCAAATTCTTTTAACATTTTTCAATAAAACCTTGAAGTTTGTCAGTTCCTCCAGTTAAACAAACAAAAAGACAGCAACCTCTTCAGAACTCCTTGAATGCCGTATTCTAATATGCCTTTCTTGATAGCTCCCAACATCCTGTGTTTTCAATTCCCTTATCTTTATCAAACTTGCATTAAACCAAATATTCAGATTTTTTCCTAAAACCTTCATTTCTATTCAACTAAGAGTTTGTTTCTCTTCAAATTTGGCTGTCCCCTGCAAATTCCATTCTTATCCACTTTCATTGGGTTCAACAGCTCATTCCATTCTCATCCTCTTCCACTGTGTTCACTAGAGCCACTCCCTCTTCCTAAAACTAAAATCTCTCAATGACAGAATGATGTAAAAGAAGACTGGGTTTTGAACTAAGAAACCTGAGTGCAATTCTCATTTCTCTGATTTACTGTATCCAAATAATTTTCTCTCTTTAAGTTTCAGGTTCTCCACCTGAACAACCACTTCATCAGGATGTTAAGCAAGGATTCCAGTACTAGAGGATATTTTGTTTAGTCTCTAGGATTTCTTAACATTATGAAATTCTATGCACCTCTGATTGTGTCTGTAAGAAAATGGGGAATATTTAGCTGCCATACATGAAAACTATAAAAGAATATCTTAAACCCTAAGAAAAGCAGTAGAGAAAGTGAAAAGAAATCAAGAAAATACTAAAATGTCATAGAAGGAAAAAAGAAGAATCCAGAAAATAAGAAAAAGCTACAGCGAACTAGGCAGGGTACTCAAAGAGAAAACCTAACTGGGCAGGCAGTAAGTAGAGAAATGAATTAGAAATATCCTTTTAATATATGCTAAATATAGTTAACATAACATGGTCTATATTTAGATAATCTCCATGCACAGTAAGGTAATATTTTTCAAGGACTGGACTGGTCTTGCTTATGAAAACTTAGGGTCCTGTTGACACAGGTAACTGATATCTGCCTTTAAAATTTTGATGGTTAAAAAAAAATGTAATATGGTTACCACTGCCATTTCCAAAATACTTGGACAAACTTTTGGAGTATCCATGCTTCTAAGGAACACTCTAAAGAGAGTTAATATATAACAAAATGTGACTTTCTGAATTGATCTGAGTTAAACCAGTACCGTGATCACATTGCTGCATAGGTCTGTATCCATCTATGCTTAGGGGCAAATGAAGTGATTTGAGAGCCAGGCAGGATGATGGCCAAATCTTGGGTTGGCTACCTGTTAACTGTGGAATCATGAGCCAATATTTCAACCTCTTTAAAGCAGAGTTCCCTAATTAGTAAAAAAGCAATAATAGCACAAATAGTTTGTAAAGCTGTGTGGAGATGACATGACATGATAAATATTAAGCATGTAATATGGTGTCTAGCACAGAGTAGAACACTAAATGGATACTAGTTTCTATTCTCTCTATTCACTAAGTTAACATATCACTTTAAAAAATCTATGAAATCATACCTGTTTAAACACTGTTCAACAGCAGGAAGCACTATTAAACAAAAAGTAAAATGCATTTTAAATCAATAGGAACCTATAAAATATTAAAAACATAAAAGAGCACAGTGACTTGTTCCTATAATCTCAGCTACTCAAAAGGTTCAGGCAGAAGTATCACTTGAGAAGCCCAGGTGTTTCAGACCAGCTTGGGCAACACAGAAACACTCTATCTTTATTTTTAAAAAGTTAAAAAAATTTAAAAAAAAAATCATGTAGGCAGGGCTCGGTGGGTCACGCCTGTAATCCCAGCACTTTGTGAGGCCGAGGTGGGTGGATCACTTGAGGTCAGGAGTTTGAGACCAACCTGGCCAACATGGTGAAAGCCGGTCTCTAGTAAAAATACAAAAATTACCAGGTTGGTGGTGCACACCTGTTAACTCAGCTACTCAGGAGACTCAGACAGGAGAATCACTTGAACCCAGAAGGTGAAAGTTGAAGTGAGCCAGGATCACGCATGTCTTTCATACAAGACATCAGAAGGATTTAAACCATTATACTACAAATATTCATCATGCTCTTTGACTTGCCTGAAAATTGAGCAGGTACACAATGACAATTACACTTTAGATGAATGCACACTTCAAAGCTCCTCAGTGGAAGTGTCCTGAATTGGTCAGCTTGGATATATGTTTGGTGAATCCTATTATATGGTATTCATTATTTTTCATACCCATGTGGTATAATAATGAGCTTGCACTTTGGTATTTTCTGGTTTAACCTTCAGAAAGTTTTGTCAGTCACTCATGGGAACAAGGTATAATATACAAACCTAATCAAAATGTATAAAAAATTATCAAATTTGATGTACTTACACACAATAAAGTTGCTACAAGCATTAGATATGAATAACGTTGTCCATTTGGAAATCACTCCAATATTCATTAAAAAAATATATTTTAGGAGTCAATTAAAGAATTTAACATTATTTTTGTTTCTAAAATAAGTCTGGTTTGAAAGATCATGTTATTCTCTAAAGTATTTTCATTAAATTGCTATTTTATCCAAAAGTTTGCTCTCTGAACAACAAAGCCAGTGTATGCATATTTACATTTATCTCATTTGACTAACTGATAACAACAAAACATATATCTCTGATGCCCAATAATGACAAAGAGGGGTAACAGGTGACTGTGGTTTATCACAATTCTAGCACTAGCACTCTATCCTGCTTCCAGTAGTTCCTGGAGCAGCCAAAATCAAATCTTCCTTCATGCAAACATTCTAAAAGCATCTGAAGTGAGTTCCCTCAGGTTTCCTCAGCAGAAACCCCAAAAATTATATAAATAACTTCTTTTTCCTTCTTCCTGCCTCACAATCCTTCTTCCCTGAGGAAAATAATTACTATATCAGCGGTCTCCTTACTTCTTGTTCTATAGTGTTTATGGATTATTATGATCACTTCCTCCCTCTGGTTTTAGCAGTGTGATCTGGCGCCTATAATTTCTAGTACTTCATCTTGTTCTCCTTCCCCTCTTGATGGAAACATGCTGTAGAATTAAAGGAAAATTATGCTGTCCTCTCAGCCTGTTATGTCTTGAACTGCTCTCCAATGGTTCTTCTTCCCAATTTCAATGTAGGGAAGTCTATAATCTTACTATTCAGATCATGGCCAAAAATCAGCAGAATCACCATCACTCCAGAACTTATTACAAATGCAGAATCTCAGGCCCGCTGAATCAGAATGAGCAGCTTCAATGAGCCCCCTGCTGATTTATTTGGGGAAGGGAAGTTCTCCTCTATCTTGAGTGTACATGACATTAAATGTGTATTGCAAAATTACCTGTCCCAGATTTTTGTTCATCTTTTAGTTCTGTGGCTATGTTCAAAACAGAATCTTTCTTGTCACTTGTATCCTGAATGGGATTTCAAACAAAATAATCAATACATACAGTATATTTCATAGACTATACAGTTAATAATTCAAAATATGAATGAAGAGTGTAATACCTTCAAGGCCGGTTGTTTCTGAGAAGACACTGAAAACCAAAAGGGATACATAATCACTCGTATGTAAATATGATAAAGTTATCCATACTTTCATGCAGTGTTAGCATCAAGCTGTATCCTCCTGCCTGAATTAGCGTAGGCTTTGATGTTTTCTACTTTGTGTATTGGGACACGAACATGACAGAATTACACTGTAGAAAACAGAAGTATAGTCTTCACAAAACAAACACTTCCAATTTCATAGGTGATATTATTCTTCATATGTCTGTTACTACAATAAAACAGTGTCTATATCAATGTGGATATGCCGAGTGATGAGGAAAAATGTGATCTAAAATCAGAGTATCAACTCATACACTTGGGAATCAATGTCAAAGCAGGTGATTAATGCTCCTGCATGTTTTTCATGTAAGACATCAGAGGGATTTATACCATTATACTACAAATATTTATCATGCTCTTAA